>NC_000002.12:201732042-202035072 GCF_000001405.40 Homo sapiens | reverse complement strand
CACTGGAAGCCGAACTTGTTCATGAGCGCCTCGCAGCCCTGGCGGGCGCGCTCGCACAGAGAACGACACGGCGGGATGGCCTGATCGAGCACGGTGCACACGGGCGCATACATGGAGCATAAGAAAAAGCGGAGTTCGGGAGAACACTGCACCTTCACCAGCGGGTAGAACTGGTGCACCTCGAGGCCCGCGTCCTCTTGGTTCGTGTGGCCCAGCAGGTTGGGCAGGATGGTCTGGTTGTAGGCGATGTCCGTGCACAGCGGGATGGAGATGGGCTGGCAGAAGCCGTGGTCCGGCACGGAGATGCCCTTCTCTCCGTGGTACGGCTGCGCCCCGGCGCCCGCGGACAGTGCGCCCAGCAGCGCCAGCACCAGGGCACAGAGGCCCAGGGACGAAAGCGGAGCGGCCGCGCCGGGGTCCCGCATCGCCGGCCGCGAGTGCAGCGGTGCTCTCAGCCTGAGGAGTGCGACGAGGCGGTTGGGAGAGGCTTGGATGCGGGGAGGCGCCGCCGCGCCCGACGCATGAGAGTCCTCACGGCGCCGGGGCCGGGCCGTGGGCGGCGTGGAGCAAAGGGCGCTGCCGCCTGGGTGCCCGCGCCGCGAAGGCGCCGCAGACGCCGCCGCCCTGCACTCGCAGGGCCGCCGGGGGCCCAAAACTCGTCAGCCTGGGTTGGGGGCGCCGAGGAGGGCCGCCTCGCTCTCCCCGCGGGGACGTAACGGTGCGGCTCCCTCCGCCGCGAGGAGCAACAAGCGGCTCCGGCACCCTTCAAAGTTTGCCCAAGACTCTGGACCCCCGGCGCACCGCAGCGCGCACGCCCCCCGCGCCTGGTCCGGTCCCCGCTAGGAGAACCCCTGCCGCCGCCGCTCGCTCGCCCCGGCCGCCGCCTCCGCGGTGCTGCCCCGCCTCCTGGCCTCGAGGCTCCGCTCGTCGCCGCCTCCTTCGCCTCCTCCTCCACACCCCGCTCCTTCTTCAGCCCCAAAAGCTCGGCCCCAAGTTTCAGCCAAACGGCCGGCTCTTGCTGAGTCCGATCTCGGCCCCGGAGTCGGGAGCACGGCGAGTTCTTTTTGGAAACCCAGTCACACTGCGTCCGAAACCGCGAGGCGCTCGTGCCCGCGGCCTGGCCCCGGCCCCTCCAGCCCCTCGCAGCCCCAGCAGCGAGTCCTGGCGCCCGCCGCCGCCGCCGCCGCCGCCGCCCGCCGGGAGTGAGCGCCGACTAACGCCTCGGAGTCGCGCTGGTCGCCAGAAGAAGCGTCGGGCTCGCGGGGTTCCGGGCCGGCCCGCCCCCTCCCGTCCCCTCCCGTCCCCTCCCCTCCCCTCCCCTCCCCCCCCATTCACAAACCACTCCGGGGGCGGCCCCAGGCCCCGGCGGCCCAATGGCGGCCTTTGTTTTTTCGGTGGCCGCCTTCGGATTGGGCGGAAGTCGGAAGGGGCGGGCGCGGGAGTGGCGGAGGCGGTGTCCGCGGCGCTCTGGGCGGATTCCTGAGGGGAGGGGCGGGGGACTGGGAGGGAAAAGTTCGGAAAAACTTTTACCCTGAATTCGCTCAGGGACGAAAACGCGCAGAAAGGGAATTTGCTTCAAAGATTTGTTCCTCTTCCTGGTGCACTCAGATGCGCATTCCTGAGCAGGGGCGCCTTCGCCAGCGGCGTTTGAGGGGAGCGAGGACCGCGCAGCGCCCCTTCGGGGAGAGACGTGACCAGGAGTCGCGTTAGGACTGCAAAGGCTGGCTCTGGCGGGGCTTTCGGGTCGCCGGGTCCTCAATGTGGGGTTTGGGACGGGACGAGAAGGGGGTGCGCCTTGCGGATCGCCTCTTTCCCCCCGGACCCAAAGAGTCCACGCGAGGCCACAGTCCCCTCTCCCCTCCCCCGAGTTATAAAAAGGAGGAGGGGCCGCCTCCGAGGAGAAACCCGAGTCGGGCGGAGGGGGCCGAGTGACGGCGGGAGGAAGGACCCCTCGGAGGAAGGGCCCGAAGCAGGGAGAGCGGGGAACCCGGGCTCAGGCCACCCCGCCCGCGCGCACGGCCTGGAGTCTGGGGAACTGGGGTGACTCTAGCGAGGTTTTAAGGAAACGAAGACGGCGTTGGGGAGACTGGTTCTAGAAGTAACCTGAGACCGAGCGCCCAGGAACACTCTGTACGACGCGCCGGGCGTCTCAGTGGCCCCGTGTGCCTTGGTTCTGCGGCGTGTGCCCTTTCGGGATCCCATCTTCGTTGCAGAAGCAACCATTTGATCCTCCATTTAGAATCTGCGTAGGAATGTTTTAATGCGTCTTAGAAACCAGGCTAATTAAAGAGTTTTCAAAACACAAAGCGGGGTTATCCTCGTTCTCGGGTAGCGTTTTCTGATTGGCAAACGTTCTTTTGTTCTCGGTTAAATCTTCGTCTTGAGCCAGGCGCTGGGCGCTCGCGCGCGCTCTCTGGTTACTCCTGCGGGGGTCATAAGTCACCAGGGGGCCTCTCCCCTCTCTCCGGGCTGCCAGGAATATCAGGAATTCCCATGCAGGAAAGTGACATGTTGAGAAGGAAAAGAAAAAAATCAATCAATCAATCTCTCCTCCTCCTCCTCTTTCCTCTGTCTCTCTCTCTCTCTCTCTCACACACACACACACACACACACACACACAGCAATCCTGTGCTTTAAAAAACGTTATTCCTGGCGGAGCCCTTCTGCCTCAGTCCCGGGTGCTGGAGCTCTGAGCGATTTCTGATCAGGTTGAACCTTGGCAGAAGTTGCTGTCTCTGCTGCCTCCCGTGCGCTTCTTCTACAGCAGGAAAAAAACTCATTCTGAAATCGAAGACAATTAATTGGGTTCCCTTCCATGGGAGACTTTGGCTTTCTCTGTTTTTCTTTATTTATTTTCGATCACTGAAGATTGCTGGGAATCGTTCTTTCCGATTCACGGTTCTTTGTCCTTCCCCACTCCTGTTAATAGGTCGAAAGGGCGGAAGGAAGCCTTTGGGCCAAGGCAGAGTGTTAGACTGATCACATCCTCCATCCGGCCCTCAGCGGGAGTCGCCTTCTTCCTCCCAAGCATCAGTTTCGCCCTCCCTCCCGGACCCCCCCACCCTTTTTTTCCTTTTCTTTGGGACATGTGCTGAAGGTAATACGATACCTGCTTTAAAAATGTTTCATTCCTTCTTTGTGTTTTTAAAAGGGCCCCCCTTTTCTTTCTAAATTATTATTTCTATTACCTAACATCGGGGAGTGTTGATCTTCGGTTGAAATATGTTGCTTAAAGACAATGCTGCTGCTTTGCTTTGTCATTTAAAGTATGTGTGGTGGGGGGTTAGATTCCTTTTTTCTCTCCATGAGCTTCAGGATATCCTCCTTTTCTAAATCAAAATTTCATGCTTATTCATCAGGCCACTGATCTAAGTCATCTTTGCTTATTGAGGAAGAAATACCAAGCACTGTCATCAAATAAAATGAAAACTGACAGGATAAAATACTGTCTCAACTGCAACTAAAACCAATTTAGCTGATGAGCTTCTACTCTCCATATTATAACCCCAGACAGCTCCGATGTTAGGCAATAGGGATAATAATTTAGAAAAAAAAAACCCTTAAATACAAGGGACGAATGAAAAGCAGTCTATGCCTAAGATGCAGAAAACCCATCCCAGATGGAAAGTGTTACAGATGTGAGTCCTCTTGCTCTGTCCCAGGCAGACAAGTCCAAAAAGCAGAGAAGCAAAGCCAATTTTTAAAACAGATTGTTTTGTTTTTAAAGATTTTTAAAAAATCAATCCAAAATTATTCTCCAAAATAAGAATTTGCTGTGAGAGGGGGAGCTCTGGCTTTCCAAGCCTTGCCTGGTATAGAATGCTATGATTTTAAGGAGCCAAGTCATAGAAGATCAGAAAAAGTAAGTTCACAATGTAAGGGTCTAATCATGTTTTAGGTTCTATGACAAATGTAGTGACATCTGTTTATATTCTGTCCAGGATCATTTTAATTTTGCTTCCTAAGCAACCCCTTCCACACCCAACTCCCAAAGCCACTAACTGGTATCTTCTTGGGAGAGCCAAGGGTGGAAAATTTTGTGACTATCTGCTGCAAAATTTCCAATTGTCCCTGCCCTTTAAAATAACAAAGGCCTTTATTTCTTCACATGTAGTCATATGGTCCCACAGAAAAGTGATGCTATTCATTGGCTCCAGTTTTGCAAATGCTACTTATTTTGGCCAAGTCCCAGGTTTATCTAGTTGAATTACATTCTGATGTCAGGCCAGATTTGAAAATGGCCGTCTTCGTGTGCCCCAGTCCTGCGGTTGTAATGAAGCTCCTGCTGCAAGAATTACTCATGCAAGACTAGAAAGGGCAAATTTTAGCACATGCTTTCCTTTCTGGCCTCTCTTTTACTAGACAATTTTGACGTAATAACATGGAGAACTTGGAATTTCCAGTTGTCAGGTTGTCATTGACTTGTGTTCATTTTTGTTGGGGTGTTGGATCATTCCAAAAATGGGGATATTCTTATCCCTAAAACCCTTTCAAGGGTTATGAAAGTTAGAGATATCTAAGTTGCAGAAGAGGAGGACCATGCAATAATCATGTTAGATGTGCAGGCCGCATCTTGTAGAGATGATTTATATGGTAAATTCAGTCACTGAGTCTGACCAACACTTCCCTTGTCGATTGAGAGGGGTTTTTGTGTTTCTGTTTTTGTTTTTTGAGACAGAATCTCACCCTGCCACTCAGGCTGGAGTGAGGTAGAGTGATCATAGCTCACTGCAGCCTCGAACTCCTGGTCTTAAGTGATCCTTCTACCTCAGCTTCCAGAAAAGCTGGGACTACAGGTGAGCGTCACCACACTGGGCTAGTTGAGAGTTTTATACGTTGACTATTGTATAATCAGGGTGTTGATCAGGGCTGTGATGGCCTCAAGGCTCAATTGGAGGAGCCACTTCCAAGCTCACTCATGTGGCTGTTGGCAGGCCTCAGGCTGTCACTAGCTGTTGGCCAGAGACATCAGTTCCTTGCAATGTGGACCTCTCATAAGGCCACTCGTAATATGGCACCTTGCTTCCCTCACAGCAAAGGCTCAGAGAGTCTCTCCCTCTGAGAGAGGGAGGGAAAGAAGGAGGGAGAGAGAGAGAGCAGGAAAAAATGACGATCAAGATAGAAGTCACAGTCTTTCTGTAACCTAATCTGGGAAGTGACATCCTACCACTTTTGCCATATACTATTCACTAGAAGCAAGTCACCAGATCTTCCCACACTCAAGGGGTAGCAGGGATTATACATAGAGTGTGCAAAACCATTGGGGGATCATAGGGAGCCATTTGAGAGGCTGCTTACTACAAGGATTATTCATTTATTCATTTCCAGAGTATTATGAAGATGAGGCAACAGAGAGAAACGACTCTTGGAGCTCTGTCCTTGGGGAGTCCAGAGAAAGGGTCACAGATAAAAATACAGTGTTGACTGGTTATGTTGCCACTTGCAGATGTTAGAGTCAGAACAGAACCCTAACTCTGGCCAACCAGTTTTCCAAACACATGTCCCTGGGAGAGAAAACATGGAGGAAGTTGATTAATAAAAGACCATGAACAGTTCTGGAAAAAATGTCCAAATGTAGAGCGCTGGCCATTCTGGGGAGTCAAATCTGTACTCAAAGGTCAGAGCATATGGACCATAGTCTGTAGAAAGCGACTTCGGGTATCTGGGTTATGATGTAAAAAGCACCTTTGGTAATTGCTACCCATGTCTCCAATGTGGGTCTGCACAGTACTGATGTCTAGGAAGGATTGCAGAGGTGGTTGATACAGACTGGTTTAGTTCTGCCTTTCACTATTGATTTCTTGTCCTGCCTCAGGCAAGTCACTTAACATCTCTTGCTCCCCCAGGATGTTGGGAGAATTTGTGAGGTAATATTTACGAAATGCTGTGTGATCCATAGGCAAAAAATCATCAGGGCAGAATCCTGGTCTAGTTATATGGATACAAATCTTAGGGATCAAATAAAAGGCCAAGTTAGCTGCATATTTTGGGGCTTTGGCTCTTTGCTGAGGTTGTAATTTTTTTTTTTTTTTTTTTTTTGAGACAGAGTCTTGCTCTTTCGCCCAGGCTGGAGTGCAGTGGCGCGATCTCTGCTCACTGCAAGCTCCGCCTCCCGGGTTCACGCCATTCTCCTGCCTCAGCCTCCCAAGTAGCTGGGATTACAGGTGCCCGCCACCACGCCCGGCTAATTTTTTGTATTTTCAGTAGAGACGGGGTTTCACCGTGTTAGCCAGGATGGTCTCGATCTCCTGACCTCGTGATCCGCCTGCCTCGGCCTCCCAAAGTGCTGGGATTACAGGCGTGAGCCACCGCGCCCGGCCGAGGTTGTAATTTTTTATAGTGGTATGCTGGTAAATGTTTAACAATCGACTCTCCAGGAAAAAAAGCCCTGATGTGTACATTTGCCAATTTCCGTGGTGTAAATAATGCTACCATAGCCGATTTCAAGCCAATATGATGTCACTGACCTTAGTGTTTGGAAAAGATGCACATAATCAGCTCCACAAGCCCCTAAGAGCTTGCCCTGGTGTACCACTGGGTGTGCTAGAACTTATTATCTTCAGATTAGTTTGAGCATCAAAAATTGTTTGTTTGTTTGTTTGTTTGTTTGTTTTGAGACGTAGTCTTGCTCTATTGCCCAGACTGGAGTGCAATGGCCCGATCTTGGCTCACTGCAAACTCCGCCTCCCGGGTTCACGCCATTCTCCTGCCTCAGCCTCCTTAGTAGCTGGGACTACAGGTGCCCACCACTGTGCCTGGCTAATTTTTCTTTTGTATTTTTAGTAGAGATGGGGTTTCACCGTGTTAGCCAGGATGGTCTCCATCTCCTGACCTCGTGATCCGCCTGCCTCGGCCTCCCAAAGTGCTGGGATTACAGGTGTGAGCCACTGCGCCCGGCCTCAAAAATAGTTATTTTCTAAATACAACGACTACCATTTATAAAGTTCCAAGTGCTTTAGGTACAGCATCTCTAATTTCACAACAATCCTGTGCAGTCCAAGTTATAACTTCCTTTCCATAGTAGCCAGCCTGAACTAAAGCTTAGGTCTATATAACATTTTCCACTTCATACTGCACTGCTACCTGATGTCTTTTATGATAAACACTAATGTATCTTCTTTTATATGTCTGATAAAAAGCTATTCCAAAATTTAGAGAAACCCCAGAATTTCTAGGCTGGGATATATCAAGTCCAGGTTAGTGATGACCCCTTGAACATTCCACCTAATTCAGGTTTCAAACCAAGTTGGAAGAATCTGTTAATTTTCTCTAGTTACCTAAGGAACAATTTAATTCCATTTCTGAAACTGCACTAGTGGGCATTTAGATTGAGAGATTTGGGAGCCCTACTCCTGCCCCCTAGGGCAAGTGGGAAACTTGTTGTATATCAGGCTCTCCCAGTAAGATAATTTTATCAAGCAGAGAGCTAGGAGGAGAAGCTGTAGGAACCAGACTCAAGGTAGTAATGAAAGCTTCCAGGGAATCCTCTGGAAGGGTAAACATGGAACTTGAACAGTGGAGTCCAAGCCTGGCTGGTCATCAGAATCACCTAAGGAGTAAATAAAAGAAAAAAGAAAAAAATTTTCTGAAGCCTGAGCCCTACTTCAGATATGTTGAGTCAGAATCTCTAGTGGGGGACTTGGGGATTTAATTTTTAAACACTCACTCGGTGATTCTTTGGAATTAGTCAAGTTTGGGAACCACTGAACCAGGCTTGTATTCCACAGCGGTACATTATGTTACTGATACCTTATAGGATGCCTTTTGTTTTTTTGTTTGTTTGTTTTTGTTTTTGAGATGGACTTTTGCTCTTATCGCCCAGGCTGAAGTGCAATGGCGCCATCTCGGCTCACTGCAACCTCTGCCTCCTGGGCTCAAGTGATTCTCTTGCCTCAGCTGGGATTACAGGCGCCTGCCACCACGCCCAGCTAATTTTTGTATTTTTAGTAGAGATGGGGTTTCGCCATGTTGGCCAGGCTGGTCTTGAACTCCTGACCTCAGATGATCCACCCGCCTCGGCCTCCCAAAGTGCTGGGATTATAGGCCTGAGACACTGTGCCCAGCTTGATGCCTTTAGTTTTGCATAAAGTTTTCACTCTAGTTGATTACTTTTTGAACTGAAGGATGGAAATAATGAGAACCATAAGGGAGTGTGACATGTGTCATGTGTGAGGGGTGTGAATGTGTGTGTGTGTATGTGTGTGTGTGTGTGTGTGAGAGAGAGAGATGGTTGGATAAATGTCGTTGCATGGTGTGATGTTGGGTCTGGGACCTTATTTATGAGTCTCAACAAGGTCACAGTGGCTATTCTGAAATGCAACAGCTGCTACTTCCACAGTTCGCTTCATAGCATTTCCTTAGACTGACCTTGCCATTTGTGTACCTTGTGCCACATGAATCCTGTCCTCAGAGGATTGAGTCTGGAGTAGACGATGTGACCCAGCCATGAGGTTGTCTGGCATGAGACCTCGGTCCAACAGTTGTGCCTGCTGGATACAGAGAGGCCAACTGATCGGATGCTTTCATTTGGGGTTCTGAGTGTAAAATATGCTGGCAGAAGCTGGGAAGCATTCAGTGAGAAGGGAACGAGCAGAAACCAGGAAGCAGTAGAAGCTTGAAGGAAGCAAGAGCTGTGAGGCAGTGAAGTGAGTAGAGACAGCAATTAGTTGGTGGCAGCAGGAGCAGAGGAAGGAAAGACGGGAGAGCAGCGGCCTTTATAGTGGAAAAATACGAAGGAAGGAAGGAAAGAAACAAAGGAGAAAGGAAGGAAGGAGAGAGGGAACACCTGTTTCAGAAGGAGAAGACAAAAAGACCAAGTCCTGAGAGCTGTTTCCTGGCTGCTTCCTTCCCTCAGAATTCTACCATCCCTTTGAATGAAGCCGTCTGACTCCTTGTCTGTTACTAGAGAGAACCTTACTAACCACAGTACAAGGCTTAGAAAAGGGTGAAAACACACGTCTCTTCCGACTTTCTCCTGGAGAATGTGTCCACAGTGGCAGAAGGCTGACCACAGAGGATCAGCACCAGTCTAGGAGAGGTATCCGCTAAAGGCTGATTAACAAGGCTGGGTCTTGCAACCACCTTCTTCTTGCTCAATGGCCTGGATAAAGAATTTGAGAATATACCTCCCAGGGCTGCAACTGACATTGAGTTGACTGTGATTGCAAAAGTGTTTCCAGATAGGAATTATCTGTAAAGGCCGGGGAGACATCTTTCTTTTGGGTTGTTTTGAGAACTAAGTGCACTGAAGAATCTAAAGTTCTTAACATGGTGTGGGGGCTACTAGTTGTCCCCCAATATCTGTTCCCCTCTTCTTCCATAGTAATGAAGCCCTCAGTCGTCAGATGGACATATGACCAACTGGAATAAAGATCTCATTTTCCAGCCTCCCTTTTGGGATCCACTGAGCCCAGGCCATGGGGTGTCAGTAAAAGTGTTGTGTGCAACTTAAAGGGAGTGGGAAGTACCCTTCTTCCCTCCTCCTGACAGCTGCAACTGCACAAGCTGTTGTGGACCATGAGGTGACACTGGGAAAGGAGCAAAAGAGAGAAGGGGCCTGAGTCTCTAACACAGATGTGCACCATGCTAGTCTGGGATGGACTCCCTCTGGATTTCTCAAATATGAGAACAAAATAAACTTTGATCATGTTTTAGCCAACATTGTTTTAGATTTTCCAATGCCTCACAGCCAAGCCTAATCCTATTTTTATCACAACGTATGTGGCTCATGGTAGGTACTCATCAAAAGTCAGTTTCTTTTGCCACTTTTCTTTGATATTACTGTATTCTCTCTTGTATTTCAGTTATTTTGGTGCTTTCTTACCCCACCTATTTATTTGAAAGGTCTTTGAGAGTAGGAACTATGTCTTATTTTTCTCCCTCGTCTTTCACAATGTAGACGTTCAATTTGTTGAATTAGATTGTGCAATTCATCAGTCAGATGAAGTTCAATGAAAATAAAGACCTATACATTGCAGAGAAACAGGATGGTGAAAGGCTAGCTCGGGACAAAAGACTTGAGAATCACAACGGACCACAAGCTAATCATGCGTCAACAATCACTGCTATTGTTTTAACTTATTTGTGTTTAGAGACAGGGTCTTGCTCCGTCACCCAGGCTGGCGTGCAGTGGTGCCATCGTAGCTCACTGTAGCCTGGAACTCTCTGGGCTCAATTGATCCTCCCGCCTCAGCCTCCCAGTAGCTGGGACTACAGGCGCATGCCACCATGTCTGGCTAATTTTTAAAATTTTTTGTAGAGACAAGGTCTCTCTTTGTTGCCCAGGCTGGTCTTGAACTCCTGGGCTCAAGTGATTCTCCCACCTTGGCCTCCCAAAGCACTGGGATTACTAGGATGTAGCACTGTGCCTGGCCCTACTATTGCTTTTAGATTAAACACATAAATTTGGCATGCAGAAAGTAAATGAAGCGGCGTGAAGGAACCAGTATGAAGAGTAACCCAAAGAAGTTAAAAAGGTGACTCTCAAAGGGGTGGTGGAAGGTTGTTGTAGAGAGATTTACTTTTTAAAAAGCCTACTTTCTGGGCCCCACTCCTAGAGAGTCTGTTTAAAAGCTCCTCGAGTGAGTCTACTGTGCAGTCAGGATCCAAAGTAGCTGATGAGAAGACAAGTTGAAAGTTTGTTTCTCTTGGAAAAATATATGAAGTCATTTAACTGTCTTCCCAAGTGTATGAAAATTTGTTTTGAGATGGATGTAGTGCATTTCTCTCTCCAGAGGAACAGAGAAAGACTTCAGTTACAGCCAGGGAAATGAGAATTCTTGGGGTCTTGGTCCAGCCACTAACCCCTTGTTCTCCGGCAAGTCAGTGCACCTCTTGAGGCTTCGTCTGCATCTGTAAATGGTAGAAACTGGGCTTTGTGATCTGGCTCTGCTCTGATAGCCTATGGCTCTATCTGGGAGTTCCTCGCCTAAGCTAGGACTTTCCAAGTAGGGACTTTCTTGTCTTCCCAGGTTCTGATGGCAGCGCAGCAGCCAGGCCCAGCAGCTCACAGCCTGTGCCCACTTGTGCTGAGAAGGCTGGGCACGCGATACCCTGAGTGTTCCCTGAAAGGCCACTTGCCCATCGCTTTTCTAGCCTTTCACATTTCCACTTAGCCGCCTTTCCTTCTCTCCCTTTCCCTGCCTCCCCCTTATTATTCTAAATAGTACTTTAAGCTCTAGAGCCAGGCTCTTCAATTAAGGTGTAGACAAAGTGGTTTGACTCCACTTGATTAAAAACCCTGTGAATGGGAGAGAACACAAACCTCAAAACATTTGCCTTTCAAAGCCAGAAGAGGGGGGGAGAGAGAAACTGTTATGTGATCTCGAATTTGCCAGATGTCAGCTTAGAGGGGCCTAAAGAATTCCTAAGCCTTTGTTTACCAAATCCTTCCTCAGAGCCTCAGTGAACCCAGAGCCTGTGGCTACCTTGCATGAGAGGCCACCGAGAGGCCAAAACTGGATGGGAAGGGGCAGGGTGGTAGGGGTCGGGGTGGGGAGAGGTATTTGAATTTTGTTTTTTCCACTTAATTATCTGCGGCTGCTTTTGGAGAAATCGGTTCTCTTTGCATTGGGAAATTAACCCTTAATCTCCACAAATGAGGGCAATCAACCCATTTACTAAATAAACACAGATCATTGCAGACTGGCTGCTCCTCTTTGTGATTTAATTTGAGAATGGTTTCACCTGAAGGAGGGGCCGAGGAGTGGCTGGCCCTGAGGAACCTGGCAGGGTCCCCAAAGGGAGGTGACGGATCGAAGAGGTGGTTAAGAGAGGGTGGAGTGAGCCAGTTTGAGACTGAAGAGGGCTTTGAGATTTCCTTTTCATGAGTAAATCCGAGTCCCTCCCTGGCTCGGGTCTTACCTTCTGAATTTATTTGGGGCCTTCCGTTGTATGGTGTTAATTTTGGCTTTGAAAGTGTGAAGCCGGTTAAAGCAACTTTTATTAGAATGCTGCCTATCAGAAGCCTCTGGGATGGGAACAGAGAAGCCCTTTATTTCTTAGCTAACTTTCTCATTAATATGTTGAGGAATCTCTCCTTGCTTTTAATTCCCTGCGTCAGTCACCAGTTATTTTGTTTATAGGTAGTCACAGAAGGTTATTTAAATCCACACAGTCACACTGCAGTGGGGCACAGTGCCAGCAGCAAAGTGCGTTCGATAAATGATTGAATGAACGAGTAAGGTACAGCTCAAGTTAAAAGGGTGTAATTAAACCACATGGTCTTCGTTTATTTTTAAAAATGTATTTAGAGTCATTATGTTCAGGCCCTGTGCTGTGTGAGATGCGGGGAATGTGTGTCCCCGCCATCATGGATCTTATAGTCTTTTCTTTCTTTTCTTTTTTATTTTTGAGACAGTCTCGCTCTGTCACCCAGGCTGGAGTGCAGTGGCGCCATGTCGGCTCACTGCAACCTCTGCTTCCCAGTTTCAAGCAATTCTCATGCCTCAGTCTGTCAAGAAGTTGGGACTACAGGTGTGCACCACCACGCTTGGCTAATTTTTGTATTTTAATTTTATTTTATTATTATTATACTTTAAATTTTAGGGTACATGTGCACAATGTGCAGGTTAGTTACATATGTATACATGTGCCATGCTGGTGTGCTGCACCCATTAACTCGTCATTTAGCATTAGGTATATCTCCTAATGCTATCCCTCCCCCCTCCCCCCACCCCACAACAGTCCCCAGAGTGTGATGTTCCCCTTCCTGCCTCCATGTGCTCTCATTGCTCAATTCCCACCTATGAGTGAGAACATGCGGTGTTTGGTTTTTTGTCCTTGCAATAGTTTACTGAGAATGATGATTTCCAATTTCATCCATGTCCCTACAAAGGACATGAACTCATCATTTTTTATGGCTGCATAGTATTCCATGGTGTATATGTGCCACATTTTCTTAATACAGTCTATCATTGTTGGACATTTGGGTTGGTTCCAAGTCTTTGCTATTGTGAATAGTGCCACAATAAACATACGTGTGCATGTGTCTTTATAGCAGCATGATTTATAGTCCTTTGGGTATATACCCAGTAATGGGATGGCTGGGTCAAATGGTATTTCTAGTTCCAGATCCCTGAGGAATCGCCACACTGTCTTCCACAATGGTTGAACTAGTTTACAGTCCCACCAACAGTGTAAAAGTGTTCCTATTTCTCCACATCCTCTCCAGCACCTGTTGTTTCCTGACTTTTTAATGATTGCCATTCTAACTGGTGTGAGATGGTATCTCATTGTGGTTTTGATTTGCATTTCTCTGATGGCCAGTGATGGTGAGCATTTTTTCATGTGTTTTTTGGCTGCATAAATGTCTTCTTTTGAGAAGTGTCTGTTCATATCCTTCGCCCACTTTTTGATGGGGTTGTTTGTTTTTTTCTTGTAAATTTGTTTGAGTTCATTGTAGATTCTGGATAATTTTTGTATTTTTAGTAGAGATGAGGTTTCGCCACATTGGCCAGGCTGGTCTCGAACTCTTGGCTTCAAGTGTTCCGCCCACCTGGGCCTCCCAAAGTGCTGGGATTTACAGGAGTGAGCCACCGTGCCTGGCCCAATCTTATAGCCTTGATCGACAAATGAATCTGGTTTTCTGTGATGACCTTGAATTTGTCTCAAAATTATAATGGGAGTTTGGCCTGAGCTAGGAGCCAGCCTATCCTGTGATTTAAAAATGAAGGGCTAGGCTGGGTGCTATGGCTCATACCTGTAATCCCAGCACTTTGGGAGGCCGAGGTGGGTGGATTGCTTGAGCTGAGTTCAAAACCAGCCTGAACAACATGGTGAAATTCTGTCTTTAACAAAAATACAAAAATTAGCTGGGCGTGGTAGAACGTGCCTAAAGTCCCAACTACTCAGGAGGCTGAGGTGGGAGGATCACCTGAGCCTGGGAGATTGAGGCTATAGTGAGCTGTGATAGCACCACTGCACTTCAGCCTGGGTGACAGAGTGAGACCCTGTCTCATAAATAAATAAATAGGAAGGGCCGAGTTGGAGAATGGTTCAGGGATTGATTTTTTTTTTTTTTTTTTTTGAGACAAAGTCTCACTCTGTTGCCTAAGCTGGAGTGCAGTGGCACAATCTCAGCTCACTGCAACCTCCGCCTCCTGGGTTGAAGCGATTCTCCTGCTTCAGCCTCCCAAGTAGCTGGGACTACAGGCACGCGCCACCATGCCCAGCTAATTTTTGTATTTTTACAAAAATACAAAATTTTTGTAATTTTGTATTTTTAGTAGAGACAGGGTTTCACTATGTTGGCCAGGCTGGTCTTGAACTCCTGACCTTGTGATCTGCCCGTCTCAGCCTCCCAAAGTGCTGGGATTACAGGCATGAGCCACCGTGCCCGGCCTAGGGATTGATTTTTTTATAAGTGATCTCAGACTCCAGTCATTCATTCCCTTTATTTTGGGGGGTGAGAAAACTGAAGCCCAACATGGTAGAGTGAATTGTCCAAGCGCTGGACAATTCACGACAGAAAGAACTGGAACTAGAATCCACACGTGTGGGTTCCTGGGCTTGTGTTTTACCCAAGAACTTTGCACATAAGGGCACAACTTTATTTTCTCTGCTTCCTCCCCACCTCACGTTGCAAATAGCTTGTGTGAGTTCCAGAGTGAAGGATCCAAGTGACTGACCAGAGTGAGGGGCTTTCGGGGTGGCCCGTGACTGGGAGACCCACAGAAAGCTGGTGAGTGGGGCTGATCTGCCTGGTGTCCATAGCCTGAGCTGCCCCGGACAGCTGTGCCTTGTCAAGAAAGGACTGGAAGTGTGTTGCAGAAACCACTGCTGGCATCCAGCCTCACCCCAGAGGTAGGGGAGGGACCTGGCTGTGCTGCTGGCTGTTTGTGCTGGGGAAGGGGCTGTTGGCTTGTTTCTCTGGCTTCCAGCAGACTTGTGAAGAGTTGTTACCAAAACGGAGGGGTTTTGAAAACAGCCCAGGAGGCCAGAGAGGAAACATTTAGAGAAGAGATAAACAAAAGAAGCGACAGACTTCTCACTCTAACAAAAGGGGCTTTGGTTTACCTGTGAAACTTCACTCCTCCTCTTCCCCTAGCCTTAATTTATAAAGCTGGTCCATGGCTCCAAGAGATTACCCTATTTTAAAGCCCTAGTTCTGAGGACCATATTGGTCTTGCTGTGTTTTGGCACCCAGGGTTGGTGATGTCCTGACTTAAATTCCAGCTGAACAGTTAAGAGTAAGCCGGCTAACTGACTCCGGTGTCTGGTATTAGCTGTGTCGTTACTATTTTTATTAACAGCTAACATTTATTGAGTGTTTACCATAGTCAGGCATTGTGCTAAGCCCTTAACCCACACTTCTTGAGTCTTCATCCTCATAGCAGCACTTTGAGGTGGCTACAGTTTATTTGACACATTTTACAGATGGGAAAACCAAGGCATAGAGAGGTCCAGGGTTATACAGGTAGTAAGTCAAAGAATGGGACTTTTTTGAGACGGAGTCTCACTCTGTGACCCAGGCTGGAGTGCATTGGCACCGTCTCGGCTCACTGCAACCTCCGCCTCCCAGGTTCAAACGATTCTCATGCCTCAGCCTCCCAAATAGCTGGGATTACATTACATTCATAGTGGCATCTGCCACTATGCCCGGCTAATTGCTTGCATTTTTAGTAGAGATGGGGTTTCACCATGTTGGCCAGGCTGGTCTCAAACTCCTGACCTCAGGTAATCTACCTGCCTTGGCCTCCCAAAGTGCTAGGATTACAGGCTTGAGCCACCATGCCAGCTTAAGAATGGGACATTGGATCCAGTTCTCTCTTTGAAGAAAAAAAAAAAAAAAAAACACTTGTGGGAAGGAAATAAGAACAAGGAAGAAATTTAGCCTGCTCCTAACAGCACAAGCCATCTGTGTATGTCTGGCCTGGAGAAGGCTCTTAGAGAGCAAACAGACAGGATGAGCTCGTGTTTTCTGTGGAAGCCTCGGTGAGGATGTGTTTCTCTCTACCTCCTATGCAGCCAGCTGTCCCAGAGAAGATCACAAGACCAGGATGTTCATGGGATGCTGCATCACTGTAAGGAATACAGGATGTTTCCTCTAGAAACAACCTCACATTTCTCTTCTAAGAGTGGTAGAGTAGTTTTCCCATTCACTATTTTGAAAGCTCTTAGTTTTGGTATAGTGGGGACTCATCTTTCTTTAGAGATGCAGTTTGATAGTTTTGGTGGAGAGCCTAGGTTTTGTGGATTTTAATCCTTGTTCAGTAGCTTGTTAGTTATGTGGCTTTGGACACGCTTCTTAACTCCCCTGGGCCTCAGTTTCCTCATCTGTAAAATGGTGATAATATTTAATAATAGCACCTGCTTCATAGGATTGCAAAGGTCAAATGAGATAATACAATGTACTTAGTACTGAGCATGTTACAAATACTCAGTAAGGAATGATTATTATTTGTAATGGTTTAAAGAGGCAATTTGATCTGGGCAGATGGGAGCTAAAGTTTCTGGTTTCTCAAAAGGCTGCCAGCATCATGTATGCTCAGTTGAGAGTGAGAATACTGTAGGAATGGCAGGGCCAGAGGAAAGTCACATTTCCATCCTGAATATTTCCAATGCACAAATACACTGAAGAGATGGATGTTTGTAAGTTGCTGCAGACCACAGGAGCTGTTGAAGAAAAAGCTTTCTTTTCCAAATCTGGATGCTTATACCCCATAGAAAAGATATTTTGGTCATCCCATGTTTATTTCTACCCATGCCCTTTTTAGGCATAGGTCTTTCAGAACCAAAAACTGTGCTAGGTATAAATAAAAGAAGAAAAAATTTCTTTTTCAGTTTTAGGCAATATGCATATAGCATTTATCAACATGATTATAATCTTCAGAGGAGCTGACCTTCTGATGGAAAACAGGGAAAAAACTGAAGTCCTAATGGCACATTAAAAAATGTTCAGCTTGCTTTATCTTATGGTCCTGCCTGTTTCATCTGGGATACAAGCCAATTCAAAATGCCCTATAGCTCATTTTAGATTTGCAGAGCCTGTGGAACCCTGCCCATTCTTGCAAGTGGAAGGGTCAGAAGCAGTTATTTGCTGCACAGCAAACCACTGGCAGGCAGCATCTGCATCTAATTTTTTTTTTTTTTTTGTGGAGTCTTGCTCTGTTGCCCAGGCTGGAGTGCAGTGGCACAATCTCGGCTCACTGCAACCTCTGCCTCCTAGGTTCAAGTGATTCTCCGGCCATAGCTTCCCAAGTAGCTGAGATTACAGGCAACCACCACCTTGCCTGGCTAATTTTTGTACTTTTAGTAGAGACGGGGTTTCACCATGTTGGCCAGGCTGGTCTCGAACTCCTGACCTCAGATGATCCGCCCACCTCAGCCTCCCAAAATGCTGGGATTATAGGCATGAGTCACTGTGCCCAGCCTAAAACATATTTTTATTTCCTAGGAGGCTTTGCACTAGATGGTGCTTAATAAATATTTGTTGAATAAAAACGTTGTTTTCTACTTTTCTTTATGCAGTTAAATTTGTTGGTTTAAAATAATTTTCCTCATAATTTCTGAGAGCTTAAACACTGAAGTTTGTGTTTATGTGTGTATGTAAAATAACAATTATAGGAGTTGAGTCCAATCTTCCTCCCCAACTATAAGTCCCTGTTACGGTGGTCCCTATACCTATCACCATGGCCCCCCTTGAATACATCTGCCTTACTATCTTTAAAAACACACAAAACCCCCAAAAACAATTAATTACAAAAATGCTGTTTTATGTTGTAGCAAGTAAAAATGGTGCCCTGTCTTTCATGACTTCTATAAACCAGTAAGGGCTTTGAGCACCCAAAGGCTTAGAACCCCATCTTACTTTTCAAAAACAAACAAACAAACACACAAAAGAAACACAGATTCTTTTGATAAACATAAAACCCTCACAATTGCCCAGAAAGTCTAATGTGTTTTTTTTATCTGCATGTTTTAGATGCAGAAATGGACACTTAGAGAGGCTAAATAACTTGTCCAAGATCATGGAGCTAGTAACTAGTGGGGCTGTGATTTGAACCCGGGCCATCTGGCTTCAGAACTGGAGGCACCAGTTGATCACGCTGACAAGTGTCAGGTGTCTGTGCCACTGGCCAAAACACAGTTCTGGCAGGAGAGATCTCAGCTCTGCTTGAACTCCAGGGAGAGAGGGCTTTCTTTGCATGTTCCCATTTCATTTTTGGACAGCTTTAATTGTTAGAAAGTCCTTCACTATATTGAACTGAAATCTGCCTCCCCAAGGCTTCCATTGATTTTCACAGTACAAATTTAATCCCTCTCCCACACAACCACCCCTCAGATATATGTGTGCCACCCCGCCCCCACACCTCCTCCTCCACCCTGTTGGTGGGAACACTGGAAACAGGCCCTCTCAAGGTTCCAGGCCCCTAGTGCGGCTGAGACCACAGGGAGGCTAGATGGGGCTTATACAGGAGGCGGAATGTTAAATCAGGTATTGCCAGTTGTTGTAGGTAATGTTTAGAACCCTGGACAAAGAATTCTCTAGGAACCAGCTAAGAATGGCTCACCATCCCTGAATTATACACTTCCCTGTAACATGGACATTGCCATAAGATGTCGTTGATCCTGAAAGTGGCTGAGTCTTTTTTTTTTTTTTTTTTTTTTTTGAGACAGAGTCTCGTTCTGTCGCCCAGGCTGGAGTGCAGTGGTGCAATCTTGGCTCACCACAAGCTCCGCCTCCCGGGTTCATGCCATTTCCTGCCTCAGCCTCCCAAGTAGCTGGGACCACAGGCGCCCGCCACCATGCCCGGCTAATTTTTTTGTGTTTTTAGTAGAGACGGGGTTTCATCGTGTTAACCAGGATGGTCTCGATCTCCTGACCTCATGACCCGCCCATCTCGACCTCCCAAAGTGCTGGGATTATAGGCGTGAGCCACCGCGCCTGGCCTGTAGCTGAGTCTTTATTCCAACCTAATTAGTTTCAGTGGGAAGGGAACCATAGACAAAAAATTATTGAGGATGAAACCCCAAGAGACATCAAAATGGGTAGGATGGAGCGCCCAAATGGGGATGCAGAGCAGGTTCTGCAGCAGGAATGATCATGTGATGCCTAATGGGTTTGAAATGGCAGTAGACACTTGCTAAGTGCATACCCTGGTCTGAGCACAAAAGAGACTTAGAAATGCAGTTTTAAAGTCATTTCTGTTCCCTCCATTGATTACGTTATAGAAATAGAAACGCATGGGTGTGTGGCAGGTGGTGTATAGTAGCAAAGCAACCAGGGCCTGCTCCTTTGGAATATCTCAGCCAAGGAGACTGAAGGAGTAGCACGTTTTGGCAGCAATTTTTAGCCGTTCTCTCCACCCCCAACTCCCAGCCTTTGGCTAGACTTGGCACCTGATGGATGGGTGGCTTATCTTTGTATAACCACATGGCCGAATATCTCCAAAAGGCCAGCAAAGATATGGTAGCCTCAAAGCTCAGCAGGACCCAAATCCTGACCAGATCCAAAGATCCTTTGGAGAGGCAGCAAACATGGCCAGCAAAGGAGATGCCCTAATTGTGTCTAAATGCATGTGTTCATTCATCCATCCAAAACCAAGTGTGCTGGCCCCTGTGTGTGGACCCACAGATACAGTGGTAAACAAGCCCAGTACAGTCTCCGTGTCGTGCCGTACAGACTTACTGCACACATACCACGTGCCAGGCTCTGTGCTGGCCTGACTTGGTATGTAGGCCCTTAATGTCCCATCCTTTTAGGGGTTTTAGGAAGGAGATGTGGACGGCAAATGTCTTCCATGCTTTTGGAATAGGCTTCTGTTGGGGGTATGCTGGGACTGCTCGTGCTGGCTGTCTTCTTGGAGATGTGAGATGTGCAGCCACCAAGGGCTCCTCAGAGGAACACCCACAGGACTCTCCATCCACGCCTCCATCAGGCAAATTCCCCTTTGTCTAAATTTGGATGTTGTTCTCTCTAACGGAGCAGAGGGTAAGTCTAGCAATGTCAGCCTCCCTTGGAATCTCAGGCCAAGCCTTTGAGCAGACAGGCATTTCTCATCCTCAGTCTCTCAGCATCTCCCAGCGATTAACATAACCTGACACCAGGCCCATCAAGATAAGGATCCTAATGGCCACAATGTCTTCCCTTTCCTCCCCCAGCCCTTCTTTATTGCTCTGCACATTACGCTCACTTCCAGCAGGGAAGAGTTTAGAAGCGTGGGGCTAGGCGACCCCGTTCTGCAGGCAGCTCCCCGCAAGGCTTGTGCGAGGGCTCCAGGGACAGAGAAGCATTTCCCTTTAATAAGCTTCTCACACTACATTAAAGATAAAAGGGGAAGGGAAATATTTATATTCTGACAAAGCAGCTCTTCCCTTCAGGCTCTTGTTTTATTTATTAACTTGCTCTGTCCCTCTCTCAGTCTTTCTCTATTTCAGGGGCGAGGCATTTCCTCTCCTTCTCCCCTTTAGTCACTAATTTTGTGGGTGAGTGACAGTGACAGAGGGACTTTAGAATCGTTGTCAAAGAGATGGGATTTATAGGTGGGTGCCATTCCCAGGTGACACACACAGCTGTTCCTGTACCCTCTCGGGAGATGCTCCCCCATTACCACACTTATTATATAGCCCTTGGACGGCAGGATGAATCATGCTGGTTATGTTATGTCATTTAAAATGAAGCTGTGTCAGTCCAGCAAATTGCTCAGAGATACAGTAATCTGGATGCTGACTCCGTACACCTGGGACTTCTTCGACCTCTTCTTTTATTGCATATTTTCCTCTCTCCCAGAGGTGATCTCTTGAGGAAGCTTATTTCCTCCAGCTAATCTGCCTAGAGCCAATAAAACACAGATATGCTGTTTTGCAATGATTATCATTAAAGTTGCAGGCTACTATTGTTCCAAAGCCTACTCTAGTTGTAAAGGAGTTAATTCTCTTAAACATGCCCTGCCTAGATTATTAGATGGTCAGGATGGTTTAGCCTCTGTTCTGTTGGCCCAGGGAATATTCATCTTGTTTTCCAAGTAGAAGCTCTTTTGTTTTTTGGTAGTGACTTTTTAAAAGTGACATATGATCATCATTTAAAATTTCAAGTACAAAGAAAGCAACAAATGTCCTACCTATCCACTTGTGGAGAAGCAATATAGGGTGATGGTTGAGAGCAAAGACAGCAAAGACCCTGGAGTCTGAATCCCTGGGTTTGACTCTTAGCTCTCCCATGTACTATCTGTGTAACCCATAGGAAACATCTCCATTCCTCAGTTTCCTTACCTGTAAAATGGGGGTGATGATATCTACTCCTTAAAAATTTTATGTGGGGGGCCAGCGGTCCTCATGCCTGTAATAGCAGCACTTTGGGAGGCTGAGGTGAGTGGATCGCTTGAGCCCAGGAGTTCAGCCTGGACAACATGGCAAAACCTCATCTCTACAAAAAAATATTTTTAAAAAATTAACTGGGTGTGGTGGCGTGCACCTGTAGTCCCAGATATCTGGGAGGTTGAGGTGGGAGGATCACTTGAGCCCAGGAGGTGGAGGCTGCAGTGAGCCATGATCACGCCACTGCACTCCAGCCTGGGCAATAGAGTGAGTTTATGAGGATTAAATTTGTAGATACATGTAAAGTTCTTAAGATAGTGTTGACACGTAGTGAGCACGTAAAAAGAATTAGCTATTGTTACAATTACCATTGAAAAATAATCAGAAAGCAAGAGAGGTCACAAATAATTTTATTGTAACATGATTATATTATGCATGCTTTTAAAATAATTAAAAACATTAGGCTTGGTTTTACCTGAACTTAACAGTAAAAAGGAACTCAGGTGAAATTAATAAACTTCAAAGATTAGTTCCTGAATGACAAGACATGTTAGTTTCTAGAAGATCATCCCAAGATTAGAAAAATATAATGGGTGATGAAAATTAATTGAAAGGTTGGGTGGGTGGTTTTGATTGGCTTCCTGCCAGGTAATAAGATGATTTAGTGCTCTCATGCTTCTTCCCCACTCCCAATTTTTGATGCTTCTATAATTTTTAATTTGTTTGACTTTATAGCATCTACATTCTGATTTGCATCTATTTATTTCTCCAGAGGTCTAGTCCTCTTTCTATATTTAATTGAATTCAGTGTTTACTGCTAGTCCTTTTATCAAGAGTTTCACATTACTAGTTCTCTAATTTGGTCAATTTTTTTGACTGGTTGTATTTCACTGTCGAGTAGGCTTTTTTCTCCTATTTTTTGCCCCTGCAGAAGGACTTAGTGGTGTTATATTCCCCAAATTCTTTCATATTTGAGAATGTTTGACTGTTATGTCACTATGTATGTGAGTGACATCTTGCTGAGTGTAATGTTCTTGAGTTGCCTTTTCTTTTCCTCAAAACCTTGTAGGCATTTTTCTATTGCCTTCTGGCATTAAATGTTGCTATTTGGAAGGATGATGCCAGGCTTGTAGTTTTCCCCTTGTCAGATCCTAGGTTTTTTTTTTTTGTTTTGTTTTTTGTTTTTGAGATGGAGTCTTGCTCTGTCACCCAGGCTGGAGTGCAGTGGCATGATCTCGGCTCACTGCAGCCTCCACCTCCCAGGTTCAGGCGATTCTCCTGCCTCAGCCTCTCTAGTAGCTGAGGTGCACTTCACTACACCTGGCTAATTTTTTTATTTTTATTTTTAGTAAAGACAGATTTTCACCATCTGTCTTTACTAAAGTTTGAGAGCTGGTCTCAAACTCCTGACCTCAAGTGACCCACCTGCCTCAGCCTCCCAAAGTGTTGGGATTACGGGCGTGAGACACTGCACCTGGCCAAGAATTCTTGTTGATCGATCTATATCATATTTCCCTAGTTTAGAATGGGTCCTTCCTTCCTTCCTTTCTTCCTTCTGTCCATCCGTCTGTCTGTCCTTCCTTCCTCCCTCCCTCCCTCTCTTTTTCTTTTCTCTTTCTTTCTTTCTTTCTTTCTTTCTTTCTTTCTTTCTTTCTTTCATTCTTTCTTTCATTCTTTCTTTCTTTCTCTCTCTTTCTTTTCTTTTCTAAGTATCTAGACCTTGTCTGGCATAGAATGGGCCCTATTATTTTATTTTATTTTGTTCATTTTTTGAGATGGGGTCTTGCTATGTTGCCCAGACTGGTCTTGAACTCCTGGGCTCAAACAACCCTCTGGCCTCAGCTTTCCAGGTAGCTGGATTATAGGTGTGTGCCATTGTGCCCAGCTGAGTGGGCCTTTTAAATCTGAAGACTCAAGTGTTCTTTGAGCTTGGAAAAGTTTTTCTGTATTATGTTCTCAAATATTTTTTCAGTTCTATTTTTTAGGATAGGAGGCTTCTGTTTCAGTGATGGATATCAATTTACCCTCTATTTCTATTCATTTCTTAATAGTTGCTTTAATTATTGCTTTCCCCCTCTGTTTTAACTTGTATTACCTCAAGTATTTTCCTGATGTGTTCCTTTCATTTTGGGGGCTGGTGCTTTTTGTGCCTTTAGTTTTTTCTGACTTACAGAAGGTGATGATTTCTTGGTCCTTAATTGTTTCTTTAGCTGCCTGATCTCTCCTTTCATCTCATTCTTTTGATAGTTTGTTTCAACTTTGAGTTGACTGAGTATTTGTCCCTAAGGGTTACCAAAGAGGCAGAGGAACATTCCCGCCCTTGACACTGTAGTATAGCTTGGGGAGAGAGAAAAAGTTAAATGGCAATCAAAACTCTATATGCTCAAGAAGAGTAACTAGACATCAGGTGCTGTGAGTGCTCAGAAGAAGGAAGAGGAGTTTCAAAAGTTGGTGGTTGGGATGTTCAAACACCTGGGACAGAGGGATGCGCAGCATTTCAGCAGGAAGTCCTCTGGTCTGTGGAGGACTGGGTAGGAGCAGGCAGATGGCAGACAGTGGGAATCACAGTGTATGGCGGGTTCATTTAGCACAGCATTTGGGTCTCCAGGCTTCAGAGTCACACAACCTGGGTTCAACTCTGCTCTACTACTTGTAAGCTGTGTAACCTTGTGCCAGGTACTTGATCTCTCTGAGCCTCACTTTCCTAGTCTATGACACAGCAATAAGCCATTTCATGGCATCATTAAGACTAAATGAGATAACTCATCTGAAGGGGAAGGCAATCAGCACATTGTTATAAGTGCTTAATAAAGGTGACTACTATTGTGGAAGCCCTTGAGTTCCTAACTAGATTACTGAGTCCTTAGGAGAAGGAATTGTGTCTTATTCCTCATTGTGTGCCTCACGCATAATAGATGAGCAATAAATGTATGGATGACTTTATTTTATCATTTAGGTCATATTTCATTGCACGTAGCAGAAACCCTAACTCAAACTGGCTAAAACCAGGGATGCATGTAGGATCCCATCATTCTGTAGGTCAAATCCAGCCTGCTTCCTGTTTTTGTACAGTCTGTGAACGAAGAATGGGTTTCGCATTTTTAAGTGTTTAAAAAAATCAAAAGAATATTTGGAGAAACTTGAAAATTATATGAAATTAACATTTCAGTGTCTATAAATAAAGTTATATTGGAACACAGTCATACATTCATTTATGTATGGTGTATGGCAGGTGTTGGCAACCTTTTCCTATAAGGGGCCTGATTGTAAATATTTTAGGCGTGGGAGACTATATGTCATCTGTCACAGCTACTCAACTCTACTGTAGTAGCATGAAAGTAGTCATAGGCAATAACCTTAGAAGAGAAGATCTGAGGACAGGAAATAGGGTAGAAAAGTGGAAGGGCTCCTGGGTTCTAGGTCTCCTGGGTTCTAGGCTTGGCTTTTACCAACCAATAGTAGGATATTCATCAAGTCACGTCACTTCTCTGGGTCAGATTTTATGGGAAATGAAAGAGTTTAACTAGATTTCAAAAGCTTCTTTTAGCTTCAAAATTCCTATTTTTCTATTTTGGTTTTCCATTTTAACAACCTGGACTTTTTCTGAAGGTGTGTGTCGCAGTTAGAATACTTCGATTGCAAGCAACAGAAGCCAATTCTAATTAATTTAAGCAAAAAGACATTTATTGTGAAGATATGCGGGTAGGTCACAGAAATAAAGGAAAAGCAGAAAATATAGGCTCAGAAAGGACAGGAGCCAGAGCAAAGCCCAGGGTTCAGGCCGCAGGAACCAATGGATACTCTCTTCAGGGTACTGCAGTCTCCGTTGACCTCTGACCATTCTCAAGAACATTCAAGACTGAAATTCCGGTGTTGTGTTTCTAGCCTGGCTTAGATTTGGTTAAAAGAACCACTACGATTGTATCCAACAGGAAGCGATAGTTCCCCAAAGCCAAATGAGGAGCTGTTACTAGAAAAAGAGGGGATGGAAGCTGAGCAGGCCAAAAGGACAGATGTCCATGACCGTGAAGGGCACAGTTGTTTAAGTGCTAGACGTTGTAGCACGAGGAGCCAATACTGACTCTTGAGTCATTTGCTCATTCTCTCAATAAACTTACTGAATTTAGTCATGCCATTTTGGAAGACACCAAAGAAATATAGTAATGATCTATAAGACTGGTGGGAACGGGTGCTTGGATTTTACTCAGGAAGACCTGGGAACAAGATTGTATTCCCTTTTAATTGGAATCATTAAAATATATCCAGGCTTATGCAACTGCAGCTCATTATAGGGAGATGTTAAGTAATTCTCTAATTATATGTATTACACTGTAGGCAGAAGATCCTCAGACAAGTGACTTATCTCACATGTCAAGGGGCAGAGCTAAAAGCAGGACTTGACTTCCTGACTTGAATAACTGTTCTGAACCAGCTGCCTAGCAACCATGGCCTCCGTTCAGGAGCAGCTACCATGTGAGGAGCGTCGGTGCCCGGCTGCTCCACTAAACTGTGAATTTCTCAAGGGCAGAAACAGGGTCCTGTTCCTCTGCATTTCCCCCAGGGCCTTGTCTGGCATCAGACACACAGAAGAGAGATCTTCAGTAAGGAGTCAGCTTTACAGTTTCCATCAATGAAATGAAGCCTGTCTCTGCATTAGATGATGACTTGAGCTGAGAAGTACTGAAAACATGCCCAGCTGCTGTCAGCAAAGCCTGGTCTGGGGACATGGAAAGGACATATTTCAGAGCGAGAGAATTTCAGACATTCTAACAGGACACTGAGCTGTAAACTCTGCAGTGTTCACATTAGACGACTTCTCCATCTCAATGTGTATCTTATTTCTTCTGGCAAATAATGAAAAATTATGACCTCACAAAGCAAACCAGTGAGTGCAATTGTCTCTATTCATCTCTCTCCTTCTCGACAGGAGAAAGCTAGGAAAAATAAATTCCTATTTTTCTATTTTGGTTTTCCATTTTAACAACCTGGACTTTTTCTGAAGGTGTGTGTAGCAGTTAGAATACTTCGATTGCAAGCAGCAGAAGCCAATTCTAATTAATTTAAGCAAAAATACATTTATCATGAAGATATGCGGGTAGATCACAGAAATAAAGGAAAAGCTGAAAATATAGGCTTAGAAAGGACAGGAGCCTTTCTAATTGCCTTGAAATTTGCTCAGAAGGAAATGTTTATAGAAATTTGTCTTCAATCAGGGCCAGGCACAGTGGCTTATGCCTAAATCCCAGCACTTTGGGAGGCTAAGGTGGGCAGATCCCCTGAGGTCAGGAGTTCGAGTCCAGCCTGGTCTACATAGTGAAAGCCTGTCTCTACTAAAAATGAAAAAATTAGCCGGGCGTGGTGGTGTACACCTGTAATCCCAGCCATCTGGGAGGCTGAGGCATGAGAATCGCTTGAACCAGGGAGACAGAGGTTGCAGTGAGCTGAAATTATGCCACTGCACTTCAGCCTGGGCAATAGAGTGAGACTCTGTCTCAAAAAAAAAAAAAAAGAAAGAAAAGAAAAAAGAAAAAAATGGTTTTTAATCAAGTACTTGTGCATGTGTGCACTCTTTGTTTAGGAAAAGTGGCTAACTCACTTGACCTACCTCTAAAGGCTGGTACCCGGGCCTTTCTTCAGCTGTCTGATTCTGCAGCTGCCCGAGGCTCAAGCAGGCTCACCCCTCCTGGGCCTGAGCAGGCAGGATTAGCCCCACAGATGCATGCTGGAAGGGTGGATTTCAGAGATCATGAAATCATTTATTAAATAAACATGCTTATCCTTTTTCTTGTTATTTACCTTCACCTGAAAAAGGAGGTTTCTTAGTACTTCCTTTATTTCTCCCCCTGAGCCAATCAGTTGGTCCCACTAAACCTAGATATGTGGGATGACAGGGACTTCCAGCCTCAGTTTCACAACAACCTAGAGTGTCTCCAACTCTCTGAAGGCATGTTGAGAAATCCTCAAAATTAAATTAACCTCAGTTCACTTTGGCTTAATAAATCAGTATCACTCTGCACTGTAAGGCACAGAAGGGAGAATGTTGGGAAATCAACGACTTTGTAGATTGTCATATCTCCAAAAAGGCTTGGTCCCTTGGAGATTACTTTGGGCTGGTTCATCACCACTTTTCTTATCTCTATGGCAAGAATATGGTGTTGATTTTTTTAAGGGAAGATATTTTTCTTTCTGTATCTCAACAAGAACCAGCCCTCTACACTTACCCCAGTGTCCTTAACTGTCTCCTTACTGTGTCCATATAACTGTGGTTCTTTCATGTCCCTGCTTTGCCCTCACCCTGTGTCTATTGCCATGTCATGGTGGTCTCTCAGCCTTTGTGTGACAGCAAATCTCAGCTACTTATTAATAAGGCTCAGCATGGGCCGACTTCCACCATGCCAGTTTCCCTGGCAACACCAGTGGGCAGTAAAGATCTTAGACAAACTTTCTAGTAGGTCACCCCTGAGCTATACCTCCCTTAGAATCCAAGAGATTCTCCAGAGAGCCCTGCTCCTATTTTGGTTGGACCTCATTTTTCTCTGTATAGCCACAGAGATTAGAATTACACAAATCTAGAGCAGTGTTGAAAGATCTTACAAGAAATGTCCAGATAGAAGGGTGGCAGCAATACGAACAGCCGTCAGGGTCTCTGATGGGGCCACCCAAATGCAACTGGCACCATGCCTGCCCTCCAGGCGGCCAGCATTTGCTTACTGTGAGTCTCCTGCGACATACCGCAGGATCACTGTTTTTTGACAGTTCCCATCTTTTCTCTCACTTTTCCCTATTTCTCTCTTTATTTATTTTTTGTTTCTTTTTCTTTTTTTTTTTTTTTTTGAGATGGAGTCTCACCCTGTCACCCAGGCTGGAGTGCAGCAGTGAGGTCTCAACTCACTGCAACGTCCTGCTCCCAGTTCAAGTGATTCTTGTGCCTCAGCCTCCCAAGTAGATGGGACCCCAGGCACGCACCACCACGCCTGGCTAATTTTTGTATTTTTAGTAGAGATGGGGTTTTGCCATGTTGGACAGGCTGGTCTCGAATTCCTGACCTCAAGTGATCCTTCCACCTCGGCCTCCTAAAGTGTCGGGATTACAGATGTGAACCATCCCTGCCCAGCCACCTATTTCTCTCTTCACAAAGTTTCTAAACTTTGCTGTGTCAAACCCATTTAAACAATGATTCAAATACCAAGAGCACCCAAGGAATGTTTCAGGTTTCTGTCTCATCACATGGCTTTGAGGAAAGAGCAGAAGTGCAGGCAGGGCATACCCATGGCTGTGGGGGTGGAATCTGCAGCCAGGCTGGGGTGAGTGATTCTGGGGCTCTTGAGGCACAGACCTGTGGATTCCCCGGGGTGAAGGATGTGTGTAGGAACATAAGGAGAACTGAATAGCACTAGAAAGGACATGTGTGTCCCTGATTTCAGCATTTCTCTGAAGCTGAACCCACTGACACTCCTGTCACCTGACAATTAACATTCTATGCAGAGGGATCATTTGTTTAAGGCTTTTTCCTTTAGGAAGATTATCGGGAGGTTTGCAGAAAGGAAGCAATTTTAGCAGGGATGAACCCATAGCAGTGAGAGCTTTGGAAAGCAGGGCAATGCCGGACTACCTACTTTTTTGTGTAGTGTTTTGTTGATCAAATACAAACCTTTGCCAGAGCCTGATTCTGATTTATCTTTGTTACATCAGAGGACAGTTAGCTCCTATGCTATGAGAGAAGGAACAAAACAAAACCCAAAACTTGCCCCAAAGTTTATCAATGAGACTACGTTCCTTTAGTTTCTTTGGTCCCATCTGAATTGGTGGACACCAAATGTGCCTGTGAAAACTCTTCACTGTAGTGTCCAGAGCCCTGCTTGTAGCCACCAGGCCACTGAGATGATTAAAACTCACCCAAGGGCTGCAGACAATTAAAATAATGATGTGCAGCTTCACAAATTGGCATGAGTGACTTGGGTGATACCAAAGAGGAAAGGAGGATTTTGAGTCTCTCCAGTAAATCAGCTTTAATGAGGATGCTCGTTGCTTCTCCTGCCATTCTTTCTAGTTCTAAAATAAAGCTACCAAGATCTGTTGATGTCCCCAGGCAGGATGGCCCTCTGTCTAAAAGCCACACTTCTATCTTGTCATCCTAGTTTCTCTTGAACTCAAAAGGTCAGCTTGAATGAGTTATTGCATATGACCTTTGCAATTTCCATTTGATCCTATAAGGAGAGAGGGAAAGATTAGGTTTGAGTTGTTAGAAAGTTCAGTGCTTGCTTCAGTTCTCTCCTCCTGATCCCGGGCTGGTGTGTTTTCCAACCTCTCCAGGAGTCTGAGTGCTTAAACAAAGCTCCTTCTGAGCTTGAATCAAACATGAGTTGAGGAGGAGGGCATGGGCAGCTGTTTTGATGGACCACCTGTTTGCAAAGTAGTGAAACCTTGAAAGAGGAAGTAAAAAGTTTTTTTTTTTTTTTTTTTGATAGAATTAGCTTGGGCAAGGTAACATCTTAAGGGGGCGAACTGTAATGGAATTAGAAATGGGTGGATAAGCTTTTCCTGAAAATATCCTGTGTTAAAACAATTAGGGGGAAAATGCTTGGCAGGATGCATTTCAGATTTGGTGCAACTGAGGCTGTTTGGGGCCAGGGAAGCAATTCACAGAATCCGGCACATATGTATCAGTCAATGTTTGATGTTATGGCTCACGACTAAACAGTATATACATAGTATACATGTTACAGATAAAAGCCTTCCACTGGCTAATGTTGCACAGTGATCAGCAAATAAGCTCTCTGGGTTTACACTTGTTTTTATTTATATCATTTATTTATCTATTGTTTTGAGATGGAGTTTCATTCTTTTTGCCCAGGCTGGAGTGCAATGGCGCGATCTCAGCTCACTGCAGCCTCCACCTTCTGGGTTCAAACGATTCTCCTGCCTCAGCCTCCCAAGTAGCTGGGATTACAGGCGTGCGCCACCACACCCAGCTAATTTTGTATTTTTTTAGTAGAGATAGGGTTTCACCATGTTGATCAGGCTGGTCTTGAACTCCTGACCTCAAGTGATCCACCTGCCTCAGCCTCCCAAAGTGCTGGGATTACAGGTGTTAGCCACTGCCCCAGGCCTATTTTTTTAGTTTTTTTTTGAGACAGAGTCTCACTCTGTCTCCCAGGCTGGAATGCAGTGGCCCGATCTTGGCTCACTGCAACCTTCACCTCCCAGGTTCAAGCGATTCTCCTGCCTCAGCCTCCTGAGTAGCTGGGATTACAGGGATGCGCCACCATGCCTGGCTAATTTTTATATTTTTAGTAGAGACGGGGTTTCACCATGTTGGTCAGGCTGGTCTCAAACTCTGACCTCGTAATCTGCCCGCCTCGGCCTCCCAAAGTGCGGGGATTACAGGCGTGAGCCACCACACCCGGCCTCTGTTTTTTTAGTTTTTAAGGCAGGGTCTCGCTCTGTCACCCAAGCTAGAGTGCAGTGGCGTGATCTTGACTCACTGCAGCCTTGACCTCCCAGGTTCAAGCGATCCACCCACCTCAGCCTCCTGAGTAGCTGGGACTATAGGTGTGTGCCACCACGCCCAGCTAATTTTTGCATTTTTTTTGTAGAGACTGGGTTTCACCATGTTGCCCAAGCTGGTCTCAAATTTCTGAGCTTATGCAATCCACCTGCCTCGGCCTCCCAAAGTGCTGGGATTACCCATGGGCACCACAACACGTTCAGCTACACTTGTTTTTTGTTTTTTTTCAAGATGGAGTTTTGCTCTTGTTGTCCAGGCTGGGGTGCAATGGCGGGATCTCGGCTAACTGCAACCTCTGCCTCCCTGGTTCAAGCGATTCTTCTGCCTCAGCCTCCTGAGTAGGTGGGATTACAGGCATGTGCCACCACGCCCGGCTAATTTTTGTATTTTTTTTTTAGTATAGATGGGGTTTCTCCATGTTGGTCAGGCTGGTCTCAAACTCCTGACCTCAGGCAATTTGGCTGCCTCGGCCTCCCAAAGTGCTGGGATTACAGGCGTGAGCCACCGCGCCCAGCCTATGCTTATTTTTAAGTCACTAGCTTGTTCTTTAAAAAGCCACCATTACCATCAACAAAAACAACAAAATTTCCAATTGTATCAATAATTAGTTCTAAAAAGAGAAATCTAAATAAAAATTTGTCTCATCTCACCCTTTAAATTTATATCATTTGACATACTCACAGTTCCTAATAAGTAAATATGAGTTAAACTATTAGGCTAGAAAAGGACATGTCAATTAGCTGGGCATGGTGCCACGTGGCTGTAGTCCCAGCAACTTGGGAGGCTGAGGCAGGAGAATTGCTTGAACCTGGGAGGTGGAGGTTGCAGTGAGCCAAGATCCGGCCACTACACTCCAGCCTGGGCGACAGTGTGAGACTGTCTCAAAACAAAAAAGAGAAAAGGACACGTCAAGAGTGGCCCACTCTACAAAAAACGTGGCTTATTCTCAAGTCAGATATGTGTATGTATATGTATGTTTGTGTGGATAATCTTGTTTTCAGATCTCCAAAATGTCCACTAAGTGGTCAGGAATTTTCCCCTGTATACAGCACAGAGCCTGTATACAGCAGATGTACTTTACTGGATACATTGTACTGAGCATCTACCATGAGTGGTAGCACAAATAAAACTTTCAAGATTAACCATGGAAAATCCCTTCAGGGGCCTTTTTTTTTTTTTTTTTTTTTTTTTTTTTTTTTTTTTTTTGAGACAGAGTTTCACTTTCGCCCAAGCTGGAGTGTAGTGGCAAGATCTCAGCTCACTGCAACAACCTTCGCCTCCATGTTCAAGCGATTCCCATGCCTCAGACTTCCAAGTAGCTGGAATTATAGGTACCCGCTGCCACATCTGGCTAATTTTTGTATTTTTTTTTAGTAGAGACAGAGTTTCAGCATGTTGGCCAGGCTGGTCTTGAACTCCTGACCTCAGGCGATCCGTCTGCCTCGGCCTCCCAAAGTGCTGGGATTACAGGTGTGAGCCACTATGCCTAACCCCTTCAACGGCTTATAAAGTATAGTAACATCCTTCACCAAGTTCAACACAGCTAGGTTTTTCTCCAACAATGGATCAGATTGCTATTTTGTTTTAGTTGGGAACCAGATGAATCAGTCGGCACTTATTTACAGGCCAGATGTACCCTAAACACTTATTTTTCAGACTCTAGCGTCTCATTCAGCCTCACCTCTGAGAGGTACGAAGAAAGTAAAACTAGCCAAGCTGACAGTGGGTCCGTGTCCCTCCTCTGGCCGGCTCTGGGACCTCAGTCACCGAGTGGATAGGTGATTACAACAGCCACTATTGAAATAGTTATTTTTTTCTTTCTCTTTCTGTTTGGGGGGCAATAAGGGCCAAGGGCACACAGTTGAATTTGTATCATGTATATTATGACTCTGCAGTAAACATTTATTGAATTAATAAATGTTTGAGATTATTTTATTTTGTTCAGTTGCTCTATTGACTTTTGTGTGAATGTTAGCTATTTTTCCCCACTGAAAAAATAACAATGGCTTGAATGTCTTTAAGTAATGGCAAAGCATGTGGAAAAGGCTAAAAATCACTTTTAAAAGGAGGAAAAAAAAGTCTAGACTACTTGAAGTCCTGATCATAAATATTCTGAATTTCCTAGGGGCACAATATATAGCAATACTGGCAATTTTAATACCATCACTAATCATTTCGAATACTCTGACATCCTTTCACTGTAATATTTGTGTATTTAGTGGAAACTTTTAAAAAAGTCATGTCACTAGCCAACAAAAGTCATTTCATAGTTATGATGTAATTGTAAGGTAATATTTCAGGGTTGTCAAGATCAAAGACTTGAAATATGACTTATGAAAAAAAAAAGTTCAGGAGAGACCCCTCCGAATAACCTTTTAAAGGCCCTAAACCAATAGCATCTTGTCTTCTGTTTTCCTTAGGGTTTTGGAAACAGAATCATACAAAAGATACATTCTCCAGAGGCACATGAATAAAATTAAAGAGTGAAAATAAATAATTCTAGATGAAATTTCTCCCTCTGATTTAAACAGTGAGAAATAGCTGTACTCAATGTGTTGGCAATAAAAATAGGAAAACTGTACTTAAATTGTGAATTGGGCCCAATATCAAGATCTGAAAACGGATGTCATGAAAGCCACTTTATGATTATTACATTGACTGAAGGAAATATTTTTATGTGTAGAAATTATCTGTCTATGTTATCTTCCTGGTCTATATGATACAAAACTAGACATCTTTAAAAATTAAATTTCCATTTGTGCATTTTTTTTTTCTTTTTGTAGAGACGGACTCTTGATATATTGCCCAGGCTGATCTCAAACTCCTAGCCTCAAGCGATCCCAAAGTGCTGGGATTACAGGTGTGAGCCACTATGCCCGGCTCTTTCTGTACAAGTAAAGCCAAATTGATGTGTAAGTGTTTCTGTATTATTGCTATTAACAATTGATCTGGTCTGAATAAGCTGATTCCTGGGTGGATTCAGAAAGTTATTTTTCTTCTGCTTGTCTAAGGGGATGAAGAAATGAGATATAGGCCGAGCATCGTGGCTCACGCCTGTAATCCCAGCACTTTGGGAGGCCAAGGTGGAAGGATTGCTTGAGCCCAGGAGTTCAAGACCAGCCACAGGCAACATGGTGAAACCCATCTCTACAAAAAAGTAAAAAAGTATAAAAATTAGCCAGGTGTGGTTGCTTGCGCCTGTAGTCCCAGCTGCTCAGGCGGCTGAGGTGGGAGGATCACTTGAGCTTGGAAGGTAGAGATTGCAGTGAGCTGGGATTATACTCTAACCTGAATGACAGAGTGAGAACCAGTCTCAAAAAAAAAAAAAAAAAAAAAAAAAGAGAAAGATGTCAAGTTGTAATTCTCCCTTGTAATCCTCCAACTTCCCCAAACTAAAAAAAAAAAAAAAAGAAAGAAAAACAAACTAATTATTCACATATAAAGCATTTTTAGATGATGATAATTATTTTAAAAAAAAATCATGATGTGCCAAACACTTTAAGAAAAAATAAGGAAAAAGAAGTGTTGGTGTTACTTCCCTCCCTCTGGTAAGTCAGAGTAGGATCCAACCCAGGGTCTTTGGTTTTGTTTTGTTTTGTGTTTTAGGAATACTGATCCCCAGGGATGAAAGAATTAACTGGAGATCACATATAAGTTAAAAAAAAAACCCTCAATTATATTTTTCCTCCAGATAGATATAAACATTTGCTTTTGTCAAAGGTTTTGCCACCTCCAATGAAAAACTGGAATTGGTACAATGTGCTATGCCACCACCTGAGACTTAGATAAGCTACTTCCTAGGAGAGGTATCTGCCAAGGGTTTTTCCAAGGTACTTGTCACTTGATGGCTATCCTCCCAACCAAAGGACAAAGATGTGAATAACAACTGTAGTCATGATAATAGTAGTAATAGTATATAACCACCACAACAATAGTACCTACCATTTAAGAGGGTCTGCTACTATGTGTCAGACACCAACATTGGCAATTTGCACATGTTCTTAGTTTGTTAATCTTCACAATGCTCCTTTAATGAAGAGTTTATTATTGCCATTTTACAAATGAGGAAACTGAGCTCAGAGATACTAAGTAGCTTCATGTCTGGTAATACGTGAGTAGTAGAGCTGCAATTTGAATAGCTGTCTGATTTACCCACACTCTTTTATACTCTCTTTGCTAATGCTCTAGCCAACTGATAATGGCTATTTCGTGGGAGAGCCAAAGAAGTGGGGAGAGGGCATCTGGGAATTTTTCAGGAGGACTGGAGAATAAATGACTGCACTGTCCTGGACACTGCTTTACTAAGTGCTGAAAGCCAGGCAAATTCACTGTTGTAATCCCAGTGTTAGGCACAGAGGAAATCAATAAATGTGAAGTGAATGAAGATAATAGAGGCTCGTTATATTTGTTCTGAATGGAATTGAATTTTAAAACCGCTGTCATATCAACAGTCAGGGTGTCTCAATGTCTGTATAGGAGGGGTTTCGGGAATGGCACACTGGTTGAAAGGGGGCCCAGGTAGACTGTCCTGGAGCATGTCAACGGGCAGGTAGGTGGCTTTGATAATGGTGGTTATGGTAAATAGTGACGATGACAACTCAGGATGCACTGAAGTCCTTGCAAGACTGCCCAGCATGGAGACTGAGGATCCTATCCAGCCCAATGGTGGGTCAGTGGTTGCGTGACCATGAAGAGCCTCCCACCTACCATAGACATTACAGGGGGCCTGTGGAGGACAGGAGGGATTGGCCTGGTGCCTTTCACCACCCTGGTCAGCTCTCTGCTGCCAGCAGCACTGCAGCTGGGCTGCCCAGGGTGTTTCCTGCTATGCGATGACAGTGTGATGGAAGAGCCAGTGCCTTGCAATCCTGCAGCCCTGCCAAACACTGGGTACGTGCGTGTTCACATGCAGTCAGCTGCATTCCCGAGAACCCACCCAGCCTAATGGGGCCCACAGACAGGGGTGGGAGAGTCGCTTTCCCTAATGTAACATCTTAGCGCATTAATCACAAGCAAAATCAAAGCAATTTTTCCCCAAACATAAACCTATGTCGATTACATGGGTTCAGAACAGGGCTGCAGCAGGGTCCAGCTGGACTCGCCGGCCCCGTGTCCATGGATGGAATCAAAGAGTACAGAGGATGTAGGAGATAAAGTTTCTCTGTTAGGGAAGAGTTTGAAACTGGCTTCAAAGGAAAGAGAGGGGTGTTATTGTTGAGGTTTGGGTCTCAGAGGAAGACATCATTCCAGCTGAACACTTAACAAACCAAGCCCACAGAAATGGAAATTCTAGACTTTCTGGTTGGAAGCACCTGGAGGCCCAGGTTTTACTCATCTCTCTTCTCTGAGTTGCAGCACTTTTTTTTTTTTTTGAGACAGAGTTTTGCTCTTGTCACCCAAGCTGGAGTGCAGTGGCGCGATGTCGGCTCACTGCAACCTCCGCCTCCTGTGTTTAAGTGATTCTCCTGCCTCAGCCTTCCAAGTAGCTGGTATTACAGGCGCCCGCCACCACACATGGCTAATTTTTTTTTTTTTGGTATTTTTAGTAGAGATGGGGTTTCACCATGTTGGGCAGGCTGGTCTCGAACTCCTGACCTCAGGTGATTCGCCCACCTCGACCTCCCAAAGTGCTGGGATTACAGGTGTGAGCTACCGCGCCCAGCCAGCACTTTTAATATGTCTCTCAGAGAGTAGCCCTGGATTAAGCAAGAGCTTCTCCCATTCTCTGGAGGTTTCTTCTCTGCAATCCAACCTCCCTTGCCAGCCTCTGAGTGTTTTTATTATTATTATTATTCTCGCTCTGTTGCCCAGGCTGGTGTGCAGTGGTGCAATCTCGGCTCACTGCAACCTCCACCTCCCGGGTTCAAGCAATTTTTGTGCCTCAGTCTTCTGAGTAGTTGGGATTACAGGTGTGAGCCACCACACCCAGCTAATTTTTGTATTTTTAGTAGAAACGGGGTTTCACCATGTTGGCCAGTCTGGTCTCGAACTCCTGGCCTCAAGTGATCCATCTGCTTCAGCCTCCCAAAGTGCTGGGATTATGGACATGAGCCAACATGCCCAGCTTCTCTGAGTGTTTTAAATCCAGAGACCATTTTCTTTCTTGCTAGGCATCTATTTGAGTTATTGTGAGTGAAAGCACACTGTAAATGAAAATGTACTGTACAAATAGGAATGTCATTGAAGATGCTTATGTTCTTCTTAGAACCTAGAACTGTGCCGACCTGGAGCACAAACACAGCGAAGATCCGTCAAGGCCTGGTCTGGTGGCTCACGCCTGTAATCCCAGGACTTTGGGAAGGCTGAGGTGGACAGAATGCTTGAGCTCAGGAGTTCAAGACCAGTCTGGGCAACATGGCAAAACCCCATCTCTACGAAAAATACAAAACAATTAGCTTGGCCTGGTGGCATATGCCTGTGGTCCCAGCTACTTGGGAGGCTGAGGTGGAAGGATTGCTTGAGCCCGGGAGGTCGAGGTTGCAGTGAGCTGAGATTGCACCACTGCACTCCAGCCTGGGAGACAGAGCGAGACCCTGTCATGAAAAAAAAAAATCTGTTGAATAAATGAAACGATTGGAACTTGGAACAGCTCTCTTGTTGGCTGCTGTGAAAACTGTCTCATCACAGCCTGCTTCCAGTTTTACTACATTCGCCTTGTTTCTATAAGCAAGAAAAAGTGAGGATGTCTGATGAGACATGTCTACAGAGGCAGGGTGTTACATGTAACCTTTCCCAGAGAAAGAGAGGCCATCATAGCCCAGGAAGAGTTTCTATCTTTTCTTTCTTTCCTCGGCAGCCTGGTTATCATGTTTCTAGGGAGAAAAAGATATTTCCCAGAACAGCCCAGAGAAAAGAATTAAATAAAACCTGGGCCTCTGGGTGCTTTGAACAAGAAGCTATTGGACTTTTGACCCTTTAAATTCTACCAAATTTGAGGGGGAGGGCGGTACTTTCTCACTTATGAAATATATCAAATTGGGACAAACATATAATAAAATTAAGCTCATAAATTTTAACAATCACACGTGCTTGCTCTTAGAAGCCTCTAAAAATTTATGCCCAAGTTTCGATTTTATCTGTAACTATAACTTTGTTTTCACTAGAAGGGGAAGTTCCTCCAGCAGAGGGTAATTTAATTTTGCCAGTAACCAGACACATTCTGTTTAGACTTGGAATCTTTTTAAAATGGTAGCTTTCTATCAATCACCTACCCAAAGCATGTTTGGATTATGGACTCTTCTAGAAAGGGGCTGTCTGCTTATTGATGATGTGGTGACCAAGGGGGACGGACCACCTTATCTGCAGCAGCTTCGCAGAGGAAATATGATCAATATCTATGTGTTAATTAGCCGGAAATGGCTTGGCCACTGCTCTCTTGCCACGTGGCCTCCCCCATCCCCTTTCAGTTCAACACTTCTTTCTCTGTGAATGGCCATCGGACACTGAAGGGAGAGAAGAATTCAGCAACAGTGAAAACATAACTTTCCACTCCATCACAAGAAGCCAAACACAGCAACCATATTCAAAGAGTTCTTTGTCCACAAGATAACGTTTGAATTGGAAACTTGTTTAGCCAGATTCTCTTGTTATGATTTACTGCTTCATCAGGTAGGGGCAGGGACAGACACGATCCATCCTTTAAATAATAGGAGGATTCCCACAGGAAGGTTCAACAACTCCAAATGTGTATTTAAAAAAAAAAAAAAATCCCTCCTTTCCCTGCACCTCAGCTTCCAAGGTGGAAAAATGTGCCTCTGACTGCTTGCAGGTGCCCAAATAACCATAGACAACAGCGTGTGACTTTCAAGTTGGAGAGGAAAAAGTAGCCAAGAGTAGTCATATTTAGAATACCTTCTCTCCCAAGGTTTCAAGACGGGAACAGAGATGGGAGGAATGGGAAGAGAAGGAGAGAAAAGACGGAGAGACATCTCCCTCCATTCCTGGGAGAACAATCGCCTTTGTTCACAGCAGGCTGAGAGAGCTGCTTGGGAAACGCCGGATCTGGGCTCAGGGCAGGTTAGAGCCTGTGTGTACGCGTGAGGTCTCCCGGTGACCAAGGGCCCAGGTGGGTGGGCCTGGAATGCTGATACTGGAGCGGGGCTGAGGGGGTGTGTTGGCCCATTGTCTGCCCACCTGCACCCAGAGCTCCCCACTGTGTCGCCTCCTCAAGCCCCCTGCAGCATTCCCGGTGGGGGATGGAGGGAGCAGGGATTTCCTGCCTCCCTCGGGAGAGCCTGGTTGGCTTTTAGGGATGGACTGATATTCCAATTGCCCAGTTGTTGGGGAGTTGGAGGGGTAGGAAGGGTCTGGTCCAGGATGAGCCATAATTACCTGGGGAGTTAAAAAGGAAAACAAAACAAATTCCTGGGGCCCTTAAGATCTTTTGAATCTGAATCTCCATGGAGATCAGGCTTGAGATCTCCATGGAGATCTGGGTATTTCTCATGCTACTGGTGGGGAAACTGATGACTTGTAAGATGCCTTTTAGCATGAATATAGTCTATGTTTTGTCTTAAACCTGCTAATGCATATGAACTAGTTGGGAATTCCAAATCTAAAAATTGGCCAAACTGCTCTGGGGCTTGCATGGTCCCCGGGGGCAGCCTCCTGCAGCTAATATGTTTCCTAAGATGGGTTTGGGGAGGCCTGTTCACCTGGAATCCTTCAATCTCTGGACTCCCAGAACATGGACTGATAGAGTCATCGGGCTTATGTTTTCAAGGCCTGATGTCTTGGAAAAGTCAGGCATGGTTGATTGTAGACCCAGGTCAGATGCTGGGAAACCAGAGAGAATGGGACTAAGAAGCCACTGACATGCTGAAGACCAGGATATCCTGCACAGCAAGGCCTCTCCAGGCTCCATCTCATCCCTCCTCCTGGCCCACCTGAGCTCTTGGGGGTGGCCCACCTGCTATCTTCCCTGCTTGGCTACCTCCCCTCTTTGCATTTTGACTTTTCTGCTCCTACACCCCTTTTGTTTTGTTTCTTATGCTTTATTTATTCATTTTCTTTTATTCCTCATGCCCCACTCCCTTTTCTCAATTCCTTAGGCAACTATTCTCATGTCCTGAGAGTAGATCTTTTGGTTTGTGTGTGGTCTTGCAAAATGTGTATTGCTGTCTTGGTCATCAATTCATTCAACAAGTATTTGTTGAGTACCTGCTTTGTGCCAGGCATTCGGGGATACATTAGTGAAGAAAACTGACAAGGATCCCTGGAATGTGTATTCTAACAGGGGATGCAACACAATCATCTATACACATAAAAAGACAAAAAATTATCAGTATGTTAGAAGTTGGTAAGTGCTGTGGGAAAAAATAATCCAGAAAAGGGGATCAAGAGTACTGGAGGGAGAAGGAGAGTTTGGGCAGGTCGCTGTATTTTTAATTCACATATATAGTATTACTACATACCTCATTTTATCTTCTGCTTTTTTTTTTTTTTTGCTTTAGCACCAAATTTTAAAGATTCTCCCAAGCTGCTATGAATGCATTTAATTTGTTGCTTCTAACTGCTGTGTCATATTCCATCGTGTGTATTTACCACGATTACTTATTCACCCACCCGGAGATGGATGCTCTGATTGCTCCCAATTTCCCATGCAATCTGCATTATTGGAGGTTAGGAAATGTAGTTGAGATCAGCTTGGCATGGTGGCTCACGCCTGTAATCCTAGCACTTTGGGAGGCCAAGGCAGGCGGATCACGAGGTCTGGAGATCGAGACAATCCTGGCTAACACAGTGAAACCCCGTCTCTACTAAAAATACAAAAAATTAGCCAGGTATGGTGGTGCACGCCTGTAATCCCAGCTACTTGGGAGGCTGAGGCAGGAGAATCGCTTGAACCAGGGAGTTGGAGGTTGCAGTGAGCCGAGATCGTGCCACTGCACTCCAGCCTGGCAACCAAGTAAGACTCCGTCTCAAAAAAAAAAAAAAAGAAAAGAAAGAAAATGTAGTTGGGATCTTTACAGAGTGGATGCAACAGCCCACACTCCCATCAGCATGTACAAGGGTGCCTATGTCCCCCTAACCCTGCCAACACTTGGTATTACCCGGCTTCCTGGATTTTTCCCCCAGAGCATTCTGGTTTCTGTTATTGCCTCTTCTGCTAAAATAACCTTCTGTTATTGCTTTCCTTGCCCCTGTACTCACTTCAGCTCTCATTTTCACTCCCTCCTCTCCACTTCCTTCTGACTGCTGACATCTCTTGCGTGTACTGCTGAGCTGTCTGTTTTTCTACCTCAAGGTTCATTCCATTTGGGCTTCATATCCTCAGGTGAGAATTCCCATATCCTAGTTGCAAGGAAGTGTCCTAACGACTATAAAGACTATCCTGCCCTTCCCTGGTGAAGCAGTTTTGCTTCTACGCCATTTTCATGAAGTCCAACCCTGAGTAGGGCCTGCAGTGGTTTCATCAAATCTAAATTATCCCATCTGCCTTCAAGACTTCAACCAATTTGGCCTGCTCTTCCCCACCTACTTGAGCGTTTGCACATATTCCTCCCTCATCCAGAACCCCCCTCTCTCCCACTTTTCCTAGATCAGCCTGGCTCATCCTGCTCTCAGCAGAGTTTCACTTTCTCCTCTCCCCCAGTTCTCAGATAGGTGGCCCTCAGCACTGCGCTCTGTATTCTCCCTGTTGTAACAAGTCTTCAGCCTCCTTGTTGCAGACACCACTAGCCTCAAGCTCTCTGATGGAGGGTCTGTATCTTATCCACTGTCATAGACCCAGGACTGACAGTTCGACTGATATTCATTGACTAAGTGAGGGAGGGAAGGAATGAGTGAGTGAGTGAGTGAAGACTGTCCATCTCTCACACATATGATTGTTGCCAGCATCAGGTTTTCATGTCTACTTGAAATACTTCTCTCCTTGTTTTAGTCCATTCAGACTGCTATAACAAAATATCATAAACTGTGTAGCTTATGAACAACAGCATAAGCTACGTTATGCAGTTCTCACAGTACTGGAGGCTGGGAACTCCAAGATCAAGGCCAATTTGGTGTCTAGTGAGGGCCTGCTCTCTGGCTGGTGAACAGCACCTTCCTGCCATGTCCTCACATGATGGGGGTGAGGTGTCTCTCTTGGGCCTCTTTTATGAAGGCACTAATCCCTTTCCTAAGGGTGGGGCTCTCATGACCTAGTCACCTCCTAAAGGCTCCACCTCCTAATACCATCACCTTAAGGGTAGGGATTTCAACACAGGAATTTGGGAGAGACAAACATTCAGACAATAGCACGCTTCTACGCATTCATCTGCTTCTCCTGTTTTTCAAAATTTGTTTTAAAACCCAGCAACTCCGTAAGTCTTACCCATACCCCCAACACGATTGCTATTTCTCTCTCTCTCTCTCTCTTTTTTTTTTGAGACGGAGTCTCGCTCCATTGCCCAGGCTGGTGTGCAGTGGCATGATCTTGGCTCACTGCAACCTCCACCTCCTGAGTTCAAGAGATTCTTGTGTCTGAGCCTCCCAAGTATCTGGGATTATAGGCACCCACCACCATGCTGGCTAATTTTTATATTTTTAGTAGAGACCGGGTTTCACCATGTTGGCCAGGCTGGTCTCAAACTCCTGACCTCAAGCAATCTGCCCGCCTCAGCCTCCCAAAGTGTTGGGATTATAGGTGTGAGCCATGGCGCCCGGCCCTCTCTCTCTCTCTCTCTCTTTTTTTTTTTTTTTTGACTCCTGCATTTTTTGTTTGTAATACACTGGAGCCAGTTTTCCCATTGGACTTAGGGTTTGTGAATGCCTCTGGCCACATTATAGAGGAAACAGACTCTAATAGGGTCTTCCTGCTTTCTCCTCTCATCTGCCATATTCAGTCCTTAAGGAGTTTCCTAGAGGTTTTCTCTGCAGTCCATCCTCTTATGTTACATCACTTGTGACAGTGATTTGTAACAACATTGGTTGCTTTATGTTCTCCAGTATCCATTCATCTATTTACCCAGGTTATAGTTCCCAGGCTTCCTTTGGAGAAACCACCCCTCCTTTACTTTCAGCCCACCTTCGGAGGGGGTGGGGAGACAGCATGGGATGTAATCCTTAACCAATCAGTCCATTCATTCCCCAGGCCACGATGATTGATTAGCAATGTCATATGACCCAGTCAGAGCCAATGAGACACAATGAGGCTTTTGCTGGGACTGGAGAGAAAGAGCAAAAGAGAACTTTTTCCTGCTGGACTTAACCTCAAGGGATGTTAGGTTAGAGGTTCTAGCAGCCACCTTGTCATCATGGGGAGAAAGACCATCTGAGAAGGAAGCCAATCCCACAGAAGCGGATCCAAGATACCGGAAGAGTGAAACGGTCTTCTAAAGCTGTACCTGAAGTCACCTTACTCCTGCCATTTTTTAGTACGTGAGTCAAAGCTGTTTTGGGACCATGGTAATTCATTCTTTGGTATTTATATTTGGTGTTTAATATTGAATAAGGAGCAGAATATTGTAGTGGGAAAAAAAGCAGTGAACCAGGAATAAGGGTTTCAGACAGACTCATCTACTTGCTAGCCACATGATCATGGTCAAGTTATGACACCTCTCTGAGTGTCAAACTCCTCGTCTGTGCAATAGGGAGCTGGACAAGATCAGGGCTCACATCGCACCAGTATGTACCAGCCCCGCGCTCCATCTGCCTTCTGGTCTGACACACCACTTGTTAAATATCTTAAATCTGGAGCAAATAAGCTCAACATTCTTGTACTTCTGTTGTTCTTTGATTTTAGGCAGGGAAAATCTGATCCTTTATAATCCCTGATATTCAGATCCAAGCACACCTCCTATAAGGTGCAAGAAGAAGCATGTTGTATTAAAACCAACAAATAGAATATTTCTACTCCCCATACATGATTTCTGCCCTCACTAAGTTTCCTGCAGATTCATCTTGCCTTGGTGGTGTCTGATTTAGGAAAAAGAGAAAAAGTCGGTCTAGGCCTCAGCCTGGAGCATGACTTCAGGCATGTAATTTATCTGTCATTACACTGTGGGTGGAGGTGATAAAGAAGATAATTCATGGTGACATCAGTAATGGAGTTGCGAAGTTTTTGTTTTGTTTTTGCTTGTTTTGCCTAGATTCTGAGACTTTATAGATTTTTTTTCTTTCTGTGTTTAGACTTTTTTTTTTTTTTTTTTTTGAGATGGAGTCTCACTCTGTCACCCAGGCTGGAGTGCAGTGGCGCCATCTCTGCTCAGCTCACTGCAAACTCCACCTCCTGGGTTCACGCCGTTCTCCTGCCTCAGTCTCCCCAGTAGCTGGGACTACAGGCTCCCACGACCACGCCCGGCTAATTTTTTGTATTTTTAGTAGAGATGGGGTTTCACCATGTTAGCCAGGATGGTCTCGATCTCCTGACCTCGTGATCCGCCTGCCTCAGCCTCCCAAAGTGCTGGGATTATGGGCGTGAGCCACCACACTTGGCCTCTTGTGTTTAGACTTTTAAGATTTTTTTTTTTTTGGAGATGGAGTGTCTCTGTCACCTAGGCTGGAGTGCAGTGGTGTGATCTTGTCTCACTGCAACCTCCGCCTCCGAGGTTCAAGCATTTCTCCTGCCTCAGCCTCCAGAGTGGCTGGAATTATGATTACAGGCATGTGCCACCATGCCTGGCTAATTTTTGTATTTTTAGTGGAGACGGAGTTTCAGCATGTTGGCCAGGCTGGTCTCGAACTCCTGACCTCAAGTGATCTGCCCGTCTTGGCCTCCCTAAGTGCTGGGATTACAGGCATGAGCCACCAAGCCCGGTTCAAAAATTTTTTTTAAACACAAATGTTTCCCCATATTTTTTTGCTAAAAAATAATCGTACAACTTTTGCCCTACAATTCTCATTGATATTTTTCATTGTTGTCTTCAAGCTTAGCAATATATTTCTCAGACAAATTAAATATTTCTGGGCCTACTTGTGTCAAAGTAGCATACAGAACATACAAATCAGTAATAGAATTTTTTTGTCTTAGAGATGGGGTCTCACTATGTTGCCCAGGCTGGCGTGTGGTGGCTATTCACAGGTGCAATCGTAGTGTGCTGCAGCCTCAAACTCCTGGCCTCAGGGGACCCTCCTGCCTCAACCTTCCAAGTAACTGGGAGTACAAGTGCATGCCACTATGCTGGTTCAGTAATAGAATTTCTAATAAATGAATTCACATGGTCCAAACCTCCTGGGCTTGGCATTTGAGAAACATGGTCAAGGACTGTTTGATTTAAGTGTATAACTAAGTTTTGCTGATTATCATAATACCTCCAATAGCCCATGATGGAAGAAATGAACACAATTAAGAAAAGTGAATATATAAATAAAAAACCCAGCTGGGTGCGGTGGCTCATGCCAGTAATCCCAGCACTTTGGGAGGCCGAGGTGGGCGGATCACTTGAGGTCAGGAGTTTGAGACGGGCCTGGCCAACATTGTGAAACCCTGTCCCTACTAAAAAATACAAAATTTAGCTGGGTGTGGTGGCACAGGCCTGTAATCCCAGCTTCTCCAGAGGCTGAGGCAGGAGAAACGCTTGAACCTGAGAGGCGGAGGTTGCGATGAGCTGAGATCGCGCCACTGCACTCCAGCCTGCGCAACAGAGAGAGACTCTGTCTCAAAAACAAAACAAAACACAACAAAGCACCCCACAGAAAATTCTCTTGGCTCAAAGGAGCTTAACTGACTTGAGAGATCTTTACAAAGTAATTTTGATTCACTCATTCCTATCTATTGGCAAATCCTCTTGGTTCTGCCTTAAAAGGACATCCCACGTGCTTCTGCTTCTCACCCTCCATTGTTTCTACCTTGGCTCAAGGCTCCACTCTCTCTCACTGGACTCTGCCATATGTTCCTGTCTTCCATTTTTGGCCCCTTCCAGTTTATCCTCCACAGTATAGCCATATATCACATCCCTGCTCAATGTCCTCCTTATGGCTTCCCACCACACTCAGTATAAACCCCATGGCCTTACCTTGACTTTCAAGGCCCAGCCCGTGCTGGCCCCTGGCAGCCTCTCCTCCCACTCTGCTCCAGCCTCTGGACTCCATGCTGTTCCCAGAAATGCCCAGCATCTGCCTAACCCAGCGCCTCTGCCCTTGCCGTTCCCTCCACCTGGACTGCTCTTTCTCAGACACATTTGCAGTTCCCCACTCACATCATTCAGGTCTCCCCTCAAGTGTTGGCAGAGTGTCCCTCAGGACTATCTGAAACAGTAGCCAGCACTCCACTCTAATTAGCTTTGTCTTATTTGGCATGTAGTCTTACCTGACATCATACATTTATTTGTTTACTGTTCTTTGATGTCAGGAACTGTTGTTTGTGTTAATTCAATACAATGTCTTCCAAAGCTTAGAATAAGGTCTGGTACATAATAGATGCACAGTATATGATGAATGAATGAATTTATTTAAAAATATTTTTTTAAAAAAAGAAAGAAAAATAAGTATTTTATTGGTTGATTGATTGAGACAGGGTCTTGCTCTGTTGCCCAGGCTGGAGTGCAGTGGCATGATCTCGGCTCACTGCAACCTCTCCCTCAAGTGATTCTCCTGCCTTAGCCTCCCAGGTAGCTGGGACTACAGGTATGTGCCAATGCACCCAGCTAATTTTTAAATTTTTTTTGTAGAAATGAGGTCTCCCTATATTGTCCAGGCTAGTATTTTATTTTATTTTTTATTTTTGAGATGGAGTCTTGCTCTATTGCCCAGGCTGGAGTGCAGTGGCGTGATCTTGGCTCACTGCAACTTTTGCCTCCCAAATTCAAGTGATTCTCCTGCCTCAGCCTCCTGAGTAGCTGGGATTACAGGCGCCCGCCACCATGTCCAGCTAATTTTTGTATTTTTAGTAGAGACGGGGTTTCACCATGTTGGCCAGGCTGGTCTCGAACTCCTGACCTCAGGTGATCCGCTCACCTTGGCCTCCCAAAGTGCTGGGATTACAGGCTTGAGCCACCACGCCCGGCCCAGGCTAGTATTTTAAAATAAATATTTAAAACCTATGTGCTGGGCATTGGCATTGGGTTAGTAATGTATATAAGAAAATAATTTTGGGTTGTAAAATAAAAAACTCTCTGAAAACATATTTATAAAGAGAGTTGTGGCCGGGTGTGGTGGCTGACACCTGTAATCACAGGACTTTGGGAGGCTGAGGCCGGTGGATCACCTGAGGTCAGGAGTTTGAGACCAGCCTGGCCAACATGGTGAAACCTTATCTCTACTAAAAACACAAAAAAATTAGCAGAGTGTGTGGCATGGACCTGCAATCCCAGCTACTCGAGAGGCTGAGGCAGGAGAATTGCTTGCAACTGGGAGGCGGAGGTTGCAGTGAGCCAAAATCACGCCATTGCACTCCAGCCTGGGTGACAGAGTGAGACTCCAACTCAAAAAAAAAATAAATAAAATAAATAAAATAAAATAAAATTAGACATGTTAAAATCTGTAAACAAAACAGAAACACAGGGGGTATAGCTTAGTGGTAGAGTATTTGACCGCAAAACAGAAACATGAAAACATTTAAAATAGCTGTAGTCTCAGGTCCCGGTGGGCAAGGGGCATTATCTAATAGCCTAAGTGATGGTTAAGTATGTCTTGGGACCTATTAGTCCTAACCCTGGGGAAAGGCTGCTCAGCCCTGTTGATTATAGACCAGCTGTGCCTGAAGTCACAGGTTCCTGCCCTATGTGAGCCTGTCAGCTTTGTTTTTACCACAACCTGGATCTGTGGCTTTTACCCCAACCAGCCTCCCCTAACCAAACATGACTGTGGCCTCCAAGGAGACCACTTAAGGAGAGATGAATGGATTTGCACAGAACCATCACTGATCTGGAAAACCACTCAAAGCCAGCTGCTATGTCTGAAGACTACACAGTCGTGGTGGTGGGGAAGTGTGATTGCATGGAGAGGGAGTGGGGAGTGATAGTCTCATGGTGGGGTAGTTTGGTCTGTGAAGCATTCTGGGCCTCATAAATGGCGCCTAGTTCAGGAAAATTACCTGACTTACTTTTACCAAATCCATTAATTTTTTAAATTATTATTATTATTGTTTGAGACAGGGTCCCACTCTGTCGCCCAGGCTGGAGTGCAGTGGCGCAGTCTTGGCTCACTGCAACCTCTACCTTCTGGGCTCAAAGCAGTCTCCCATCTCAGTCTCCCAAGTAGCTGGGATTACAGGCATGCACCAACCTGGGCTAATTTTTTTTTTTTTTTGAGATGGAGTCTCGCTCTGTTGCCCAGGCTAGAGTGCCGTGGCGTGGTCTCGGCTCACTGCAACCTCTGCGTCCCAGGTTCAAGCAATTCTCGTGCCTCAGCCTCCTGAGTAGCTGGGATTACAGGTGCATGTGACCACGCCTGGCTAATTTTTGTATTTTTAGCAGAGTCAGGGTTTCACTGTGTTGGCCAGGCTGGTCTCGAACTCCTGACCTCAGGTGATCCGCCCGCCTTCACCTCCCAAAGTCCTGGGATTACAGGGGTGAGCCACCACCCCCGGGCTAATTGTTGTATTTTTAGTAGAGATGGGGTTCCACCATATTGCCCAGGCTGGTCTCAAACTCCTGTACTCAAGGGATCCACCTGCCTTGGCTTCCCAAAGTGCTGGGATTACAGGCCTGAGCCACTGTGCCTGGCTACCAAATCCATTTAAAGTGGGCACAAACCATAATATCCTCATTGTCAGTTTTCAAATGAAAACAGCTTTAAAATATCCCTGAAAACCCCCAATAGGGTCTTCTGTTTATTGCCCACGTGTGTGCGCTGGTATTTCACGTGCTCCTCTATCACTGGTAAGAGCTAAGGTGGTGCAACTCCTCACAGGTGGAGAAAATGAAGCAGAGAAGCTTGTGTGACTCACTTAAGGTCATCTATGTCGGCGCCACTTCTCAGACTCCAGCTGTCCTCATATCCCCAGAAATGCTTTTTCAGGTCAACAGTGCCTTTAAGTCCTTGGATTCCAGCTGGTAATAAATTTTTCCTGCCATTAGTTAATAAAGGAAATAGGGGTTGCCTAGAAGCAAGCAGATATGATTGGGAGGAAGCTGAGGAAACATTCTAGCACCTCTGTTTTATTCTTTGTCTTCAGAGAGAAGATTCTATATCACATACAAGGAAGCAGAGCATTCAGTGACAAGCCCTGACTCTACTGTGGCTGAGTAACCACCCAGTCACTCTGGTTGTTGGTGAAGACTCAGCATTGCCCTGGCACTTTAATCACTGGGGTCCCGGGGGCCCACAGGGCTCAATATCTTACACATGCAGTTCATGTACCAGCTGTTGCAGGAAACAGGTTCTCTGGAGTTTAAAAAAGAAAGGCAATTTCTCTAATTTGGATCAGGCCAGGTAAAATGGTGGCTGAGGCTGTCCCTGTTCTGGGTCTCAGGAACTCAGAGCAGGCGTTCATAGGTCACGAGATTGGCATCAGACAAGAGTAGATAAATAGAAAATTTTTTTCCGGTACAAATACAGGTCTGTGCGGCCCCGTGTCACGTTGTACCTGGTTATATGTGCTGAAGTCTCTGAGCTACTCCCACAGTCAAGCTGGTCACAAATCGGATTGGGCCTCATTTTCACCCTGAAGGAAACTGAGGCTGAGAGTTGCTGAGGCCTGCCCTAAAGGTTGTGGCAAGAGACTCAGCTGGAGGTGAGGTTCCTCTCCTCTAACCTCAACAGGACTCTCCCCACTGGTACGCTACAACAGCTTGGAAGGTAATCGCACTTGTCAGCGTGGGCTTTCCGGAATATGTGCTGCTCATATTCTGGGAAGGGCAGGCAGCGGGGGTGAGGGTGAGACAGGAAATCTTTCTGGAGGCTCTGAAGCCATTCCGGTTTTGGAGCATCCCCAGCAACTCCCACAGAATCAAGCCTTTTAAACTGCCTTTTGGAGAGGTTCGACTGAGAGCAAGGCTGCCTCAATCTGCTTCTGCCCAACTTCCTTTCTGTGAGGCCCCACAAGAGGACTAGAGCAGCGCCCCAGGGAGGATGCGAGGAGAATGGGCTGATTGAGCGATGTGGGCACAGGGCTGGCTGGCTGCCACCGTGCTGTCTGTCAGCAGGCTACAGGGTGGCTTTTCTTCTTGGTTTGCTTGCAGAGCCAGGGAGGCTGGGTGCCAGGGAGAATATTTTCTTTGTTTGGGAAAAGCCGTGTCCATCTGGCTTGCTCTGTAGCCTGTAGCCTCTCGCCTGAGAAGCTTTCCTGCCACTGGACATGGATCCCACTGGCAGGGTCTCTGCTGTGACCGACAGAAGATGCCGGCCCTGGGAGAGGCAACCAGTGAGGGCCCTACACAGAGCATGCCTGCGCCTGGACTGACCCAGCCTTCAGTTCATCCACCCCACAGACATTGGCTCAGGGTCTCCCCTGGTGGAATGTGGACCATGGCCTGTTGTTACAGGCTCAGGTAGATTGTCGACAATGGTGCTCCAGTATTCTCGGCCTGGGGGAGCTTGCATCCTGCATAGCCCCTTAATTTTTGCAGATGAGGACACTGAGACTCAGAGATCTGAAATAGCTTGTCCAAGGTCACACAAGAAAGCCAGGTTCAAGGCCTGGCTCCACCACTGCCTTGTCTTGTGGCCTTGAGCAAGTTCCTTGGCCTTGCTGGGCCTGTTTCCTAATCTCTGAAGGGGGATAAGTACCTAGTCCACAAGGCTAATGTGGGAGTTAAATGAGATGATCCAGCTGAGGGCCTCATCAAAGGCCCTCTGCTCATGGGAGGAGTCCCGTACAGTCCACCTCCATCTCTGAATCTGCATTACCCTTGTTTTATTATTGTCATGCAGTTGGCAACAACCACTACAATCAAATGAAGACCTCGGAAGCCAAGGCTGTGCAGCTGTTGCACAAAGTTCCTCGAAAGTCCCTCTTGCCTTCCATCCTCCCCATGTTCCCACATGGTAGAGATGGCAAGTCTCCTTTCTTTCATTTTACTGATGAGATAAAACTTCAGTCAAAGATGTGTCCTAAACCTGTGCTCTCCACTTCCTGGTTTCCCTGCTCTTTCTGTCTCCACCTGCTGCCAATTAGAATATTCCCACTGGTAGGATATTCCAGCCATGAGGGCGCTGAGTGTGGGAAAGAAGGAATACCCCCTCCCACCCCAAATCAATGGAAATCACCTCAGCATTCTTCTTACTGTTTTCTATTTTTTCTTGGGTTCATCTCCAGGGGCTGCGGGTTGGGGGCTAAGGACTGGGGGTCCTTGACTGACTGCACAGGGCTGGATCTGACGGAGCAGATAGAACGCATTTCCCAGCTCTGGGGCTGTGGCCAGTGACAACTTTAACGGCAAAGAATTACCATCAATTGTGTCCTGTGGCTGAAGGGATTTATGGACATTTTATGTGACTCTATGGACACAGACCCAAGGTTCCAACTGAACAGAGCTGGGAAGAAACACAGTGGCCCTTGTTAAACGGAAAGAATGAGTTTAATGTATACAGGGAGAGGGTAAGGGGTGGCGGTGGGGAGACAGAAGGAAAGGAGGTTCCCCGTGTTAAATATTTACAATTTGGGACTTGGGTCCTGTATTTCCAAAGGTGGTGGCAGGAGGGTGATTTCCGTAATATATTCCTCCCTCAAAACCCACCTTGCATGAGAAACTGCAGCAGGCACAAAATATTGCTCATGAATATTAATCAGTAAACTCCCCCTGCCAGTTGGGAATGGGGGCTGGTACTAAAATACTCCCTCCCCAACCCCCAAAGGCAAACAGCCCCCAAGGAAAACCCTGAAGCCAGCTCCCCAGGCTGACAGCAGAAGTATTCCTGGCCGTGGGGTCAGAGGGCATGGCCAGGGGAGGGGTCAGCTTTGTTTCCACTGTGTGTTGGTGAATGCCAAACCTTTATGGAACTTTGCTAGCTGTGTTTTGGGCTATTTAGCTGCAAAACCAAAAGATTTATTTTTTCCCTCTCTCTCCTTTTGGGTTTTGTCTTCCACTGGCAGCAGTAACATATGCAGGTCTGGAGGCCGTTAAGGCAGGCCAGGCTCTCTCCCATCCGAAGAAAAGAAAAGACAGGTCTTAATTAAAAGAGAACCCAACATTTGTAAAGCCAGCACAAACATTCCCAACATCCACCACCATTGCTTCTGTGATCTTTTCAATAGACAAAGGAAAAATGAGTGGCATGGGAGGCATCTTTCATGATACATTTTATCTGTACAACCTGTTACCTTTTTTTTTTTTTTTTTTTTTTTTTTGAGATGGAGTCTCGCTCTGTCACCCAGGCTGCAGTGCAGTGGCGCCATCTCGGCTCACTGCAAGCTCTGCCTCCCGGGTTCACACCATTCTCCTGCCTCAGCCTCCCAAGTAGCTGGGACTACAGGCACCCACCACCACACCCGGCTAATTTTTTTTTTTATATATATTTAGTAGAGACGGGGTTTCACCGTGTTAGCCAGGGTGGTCTTGATCTCCTCACCTCGTGATCCACCCGCCTCGGCCTCCCAAAGTGCTGGGATTACAGGCGTGAGCCACTGTGCCCAGCCAACCTGTTACCTTTTATAAAACATTTCCACAAGCTCCAGTATCTACTGCTATCTTTGCATCAGTTCTGAGAAGGGGCTTATGGTCCGCTTTTACAGGTGAGAAAACTGAGCCTTTTGACTAACTTCATCAAGATTACAGGGATTTGGAAGAGGCAGAACTAGCACTCCAGCCCAAGTTTCTGTCTCCAATCACAGATATTTTCTCAATAGATCAACTAAGTGATGTAATTAACTTCTCTGGATCTCATTTTTCCAAATCTGTCAAAGAAAGCTGTTGCCTAAGTTCCATTCAAATCTTCTGAAGTATTCTTCCTGGTCCTTTATAACAAACAGTCCATCAAAAGGGTGTCGAAGCATGATAATATGAGAAGGAGTCAAATTGTGTATCTCAGTAGCATTTAGGGTTTTACATTAAGTCCCCAGCGTGTGACAAAGATGGGATTTGTTTCCATGCTGCTCTCAAACACCAGTCAGGATGGTTATAAAATCAATCTGGAATATCTCCCATAGAGGCCCTCTGGCATTTTGGATGTGGAAGCTGCTTCTAGCATTGTCAGGTGTCTAAAAGTATGTGATTTTAGTCAAGAATACCATCCTGTTTTCAATACCATGATGCTGTTAGTGAAAATGTGACTATGAAGTATACTATTGGTTGTCCGTACATAGATTGTACTTTAAGGAGTGTATTCATGGCAGGGGTTTGGGGCAGGAATTTGTGATTAGGTCCTTTGTGAGGGACAGGTGACAGGACATAGCAATGCTTAGGCTCAAATCATCTTTTTTTTGTTCTTGGGTAGGAAGCTATATCCCAATTTACACAACCCAGATGAAAGTGTTCTGGTGACTTTTTGGAGGCCACCAGGATATGTGTTTAGAGTCTTGATCTAGTTGCTATTGTCTTAGTTAGTGTGGATGTAGCAAAGTCTTTAGCCTGCAGCTGTGACAACTTATACTCCTTAGGAGCAGGTCTGGGTGGAGAAACCCAGGGATGAGGTCCCCTGACCCAAGTCCGAAAAGCCCAGATGCCCTGATTTGGTAGAGAAGCAAGTCCTTTGGTACTGAGCTCCCCACCTGTCCCTCTCTGGTGCCTTTTGCTTCTGGGAAGAAGAGACCAGGGGGCATCAGGGAACCAATGTGGCTTGGCAGTTACTTTGCTTCTCTGAATTCCAGTCTGTTGGGAGTGTGACATCACTGGAGAGGATGCCAGAGGTGAGCACTGTGGGAACATTTCTGTTTTCTCCTGCTCTCCAGTCTGTCTGTAATAACAAAGATGAGGCAACTGATAACAGAGGTGAGGTAGTGGAGAGGTCAGCCGTTTGGCTCTGGAGTTAGACTCCCTGGGTTCAAGCCCTAGCTCTTCTGTACTGGGATCTTGGCAAATTCCTTGACCTCAGTGTGCCTGTTTCTTCATCTGTGAAATGGGGAGAATATTCTCACCACACAGGGTTGCTGAACGGATTAAGTTAGACAGTTATCATAGCTCACAGCACAGCACGAATGACCGGCTCACGTTAGTTCCTGCCGCCAAGCTTCTGGTTTGGCTGTGGCATAGGTTGAGAGCATCCCACCTCCCTGGCCCCTGGGTCAGGGCCACATACCCTCCTCTGGTTGTAGAACACTGGGAAATTACCCATGCTTTGTCTTTTCACTTTTCTTCAGAAATGTGGGACAGCTCAGTCTCTTTGGGTTCGTTGCCAGAACATGAAGCTCTAAGCAAAGCAGTGTGGCGCATATGGGACCACTTTTTGACAAGCTGGCTCCATGCAGGCCGCCAGGTGGAAGAACACTCTGATCCTCAGGGAAGCCAAATTCCAATAGACTCTGTGGGGTACAGCCAAGACAGGAAGCAGGCTCTAGTGTCCCCACATATTCTGGAACAGTGGTCTTAAGGGGGCCTAGAAGCTAGCCAGAATCTATGCAAATTACAAGGAAGCATTTGTCCTTTTCCCAGATTCTTAAAGGGGCCTGAGACCCCAAAATGGGAAAGAGTCATTGTCAGAGAGGACGATGACCTCAGACAGCCAGGAGGGGGAACCTGGACGAATGGCCCAACGTGGGATGATCATCAGTGGGTGGATCAGGCTCCTGCCCGGGGCTCCGCTGGGAAATGGCCATGTGTGAGAGTACAGGATGTAGGGCTGGTGCCATCAGAACACAACCACGTGTCTCCTGCTGGCAGGCAGTGGGGACAAGAAACCAAGAATTCTGCTGTTCAAATAAGCGATCTGGGTTGATAATATGACTGATATGAATACACTTGCTAATGGTTGTTCCCTTTTTAAGGTCCCAAATTAGAAAACATGACAGATTCAAGTTTCTGGTGGTATGTGGATGCTCCGAAACTTGCCGAGAGGATGAAGGGTATTGGTTTCTTTCTGGGGTGGAGATTTCCTTCATGAAGTAGTTTACCTCAAGTTTCTTCGTCTCTCTTTCTTTCTTTATGCCTGCCCTGTTCTCAGCAACAGGAAGAACCATGAACAATAACAATCACAACCGGTACCATTTATAGGACAGTAGCTGTATACAAGGCACTTGTGTTGAATGTTTTCTAGTTATTATCTAGGTTAATCCCAACACTATTCCTTGAATATAGGCATTATTATTTTACAGATGAGGAAACTGAAGCTCAGAGAGATGAACTCTCCTGCTAAGGTCCACAGCTAGTACACAGAGGAGCGTGGATGTGTGCAGTCCCTGCAACTCTGATGTCTGTGTACTGTCCTGCCACCTCCCACTCCGGCCCTGCATCACAGACTGGAGTTAAGAGTGTTACCCTGAGGCTGGCCAGGTGTGGTGGCTCACTCCTGTAATCCCAGCACTTTGGGAGGCTGAGGTGGGTGGATCACGAGGTCAAGAAATTGAGACCATCCTGGCCAGTGTGGTGAAACCCCGTCTCTACTAAAAATACAAAAATTAGCTGGGCATGGTGGTGGGCGCCTATAATCCCAGCTACTCGGGAGGCTGGGGCAGGAGAATTGCTTGAACCCAGGAGGCGGAGGTTGCAGTGAGCCGAGATCGTGCCACTGCACTCCAGCCTGGTGACAGAGCGAGACACTGTCTCAAAAAAAAAAAAAAAAAAAAAAAGAGTGTTACCCTGAGGCCAGGTGTGGTGGCTCACGCCACCCAATCCCAGCACTTTGGGACCGAGGCAGGCATATCACCTGAGGTCGGGACCAGCCTGTTCGGGACCAGCCTGACCAACATGGAGAAACCCCGTCTCTACTAAAAAATACAAAATTAGCCGGGTGTGGTGGCAAATGCCTGTAATCCCAGCTACTCAGGAGGCTGAGGCAGGAGAATCGCTTGAACCCAGGAGGCGGAGGTTGTGGCGAGCCAAGATTGCACCATTGCACTCCAGCCTGGGCAACAGGAGTGCAATGCGTCTCAAAAAAAAAAAAAAAAGAAGAAGAAGAAAAGAAAAAAAGAATGCTACCCAGTTAGGGTCTGTCCCAGAGAAAAAGGCCAAGGGGGAGGGTGTCGAGAGCAGGACAGCTTTGCTGGTGTCTATGTGAGTCGTGGTGTTGGGTAGTGTTGGGGTGTTGTGAGGGTACGTATTGGGGGTTGTGTATGACAGAAGGAGAGCAAGACACTGTCTCATGCTTGGTTGGTCACTCTTTGGCTGGGGACTTCACTTCTCCTGCCAAAGTCCCAACCCTTGCCTGCCACACCCTGCTCAGACTGAAGGAGTTGGAGCAGCTGGCCCTCTGTCTCTTTCCTCTCTGACTTTAATGTGGGGCCGGGACAGGCTGCTAGGCTCAGTGCCAGGAAGCAAAACAAGGGGCTTGCAGCAAGGGCTTAGGTTATAAGCATCTCGGCATGGACTGGTAGATTTATAAGGGCTCTACAATTAGGGCAACCCCTGTGCATATAAATATCCAAAGAAATGAAGGATCTGCTCAAACCTTGTATAGCCTGTTGGAGAGACATGTGCTGCATATATATATATATATATATATATATATATATATATATATATATATATATCAGACATTACATTACTGCAATGATAATACAGGTAGCTAATTCTTACATAATGCTTCCTATGTATCAGACACTGTTTTCATTGCTCTGTGTGTATTATCTAATTTAATCCTCCTAGCAACCCTACAGTAGCTCCTTTTGTTATTCTCATTTTGTAGAAGGGGAGCCTGAGGCACAGAGATGTTAAGTAATCTACCCCAGCTAGCACAGGTAGTAAGAGGTGGAGGCAGGCTTCATAAACCCAGCCATGTGTTTTGTAAACCTTGTACCCATGCCCTTAACCATACCATCGCATGACCCTATCATCCCAGGCATGGTGACAGGAAACTCTGACTCCTGTCCCCAGCAGCACTGATACTTTTTTCAGTTTCTGAGATTGTTGAGGCTGGTGAGGCTTCTCGGTTAAAGTAAAAAATATTTCGGCTGGGTTTTATTTAGACCAGAGTTTCCACGGCTGTTTTGAACAATCCAGTACTCAGCCTGCTGGCTCTCTGGTGTTTGCAACAAGAGCCTTTTCTATTGAAAGACTAAGGAAAGATGGTTCAGGTGAGCCCTGGACAGAAGACAAAGGAGGTAAAAGGCAACATCTTTCCCCCGCTGGCTTGAAAATCGTCACCTTTCTCCCCAGGAATCAATTTCTTTGCATCCTGAATGTTTAAAGAAAAGACTTGTGTCATTAAAAATAAAGTTTTTTTTAAAGGAAAAAAAGCTATCTTTGACTCTTTGTGCATCTCCACATCCCCTTAGATGTGTTTTCAGAAAACCTCAGCTAAATGAGCACATTTCTAGAGTGTTAAGGGATAAATGGAACAGTAAGTGGACTGACTACTTGGTTATTTGACAATTCTCTGTGGGGGAATAACTTAAAACAATGCCCTGTGAAGATCTCAGAGATGCAAAAAAGGAGAATGTCAAAAAGGTAAAGGGATTCTTAGCCAGGGGTAACAAGGAGGGAATGAAGAAAATGTATCTAATGAAATTGTATCAGCCTGTAAGGAGCAGGAAAAAACAACCAACATTCTTAACAGGTGAGGAATTCATACCAAGCTCAGACAAGACAATAGATTTATGTACAGGTGCCCTGTTGTGTATGTGTTGGGAGGCGCAGTGGAGCACTGGGCTCCAAGAATATTCCTTGACTAGGAAGTGGATTTCTTGGCAGAATCAGAACCTGGCTAGTTCCAGATTCTCTAAGGACAAAAGAAACTCCTTCGAGCTCATATAAAAAGTCTGTTTCTGGGACATGAGGCAGGAGAATTGCTTGAACCTGGGAGGCAGAGGTTGCAGTGAGCCGAGATCACGCCACTGCGCTCCAGCCTGGGTGACAGAGTGAGACTCCGTCTCAAAAAAAAAAAAAAAAAAAAAAAAAAAAAAAAAGAAAAGAAAAAAGAAAAAAAAGTCTGTTTCTGTTGGATAGTCACGTGGAGCTGTCACTGTATTTGTCCCGAGACTAGGTCCATGAGGGACACCTCACCTTTGTGTTGGCCTGTGCCCTTAGAGCTTCTATTACTTCCTCAGGGAAATAGGAGGAGCCCCAGGGAGGCTATTAAGAATCCCAGTAGCCTGTGTCACAGCCCCATACACAGTTTGAGGCCATTACTGATCTATTTAGAGCAAAAGAACTAAACAGGAGGGACTTAGAAACAGATGTAGAAAAAAACAAAACCAAACAGATCTTCAAAACAAAACAAAAACGCCAGAAGGCCCGGAGGCAGAATAAACTAGATTCATAATAGGGTGGGGTGTGAGTGTCAAGTCTGTCCCAGGTGGTTTGGAAGCTTCCCTTCCTGTCCTCCTCTAACTCCCACCCCAACCCTCTCCAGCCAAGATCTGGAGTGGAGAGGGTACTCTCAGGGTCTTTCCGGAGCAGCCTGGCCCCTGGCCTTCCTCTCAGCATATTCTTATCACCCTAGGATTGGGCTAGAACCGGGTGAGTCTTGCAAAATATACCAGGATTTTGAAAAAACTTTTGACACTTTCCTGCATGACTCCTGAACTCATCATGTGCCTAGTAAGGCAACTCACTTTGGAAGAGTTAGGGAGTTTTCAGAGTTAGGAAGCTACCTATAACCCAGGCACCCTGTGCTGCAGAGAATGTCTGATTAGTTAATATTCTCCAGTCTGAGATCTGCAGAAGGGTGTCTCCCAGTCTCTTCCAGTCCCGATCTCTCTTCTTGGGTGACTACTTAGTTCTGAGTTAAACCTGGCTGTCAAATTGTGGTGGGTACAGTCACAGAACCATAGAATCCTAGAGCTCTGAGGGACCCTAAACACAGAATCTAGTGGCTTGAACCTTAAGATAGTGACTCTCAGAGGAATACTAAAGTCTACAGTGTCCTACAAGGTCCTACATGAGCTTTCTTGACCCCTTCCCCACCATGGCCACATCACCTCTCAGACCCCATCTCCTACCACTCTCCACATCCCTCATTCTACTCCAGCCACACTGATTTAGCTGGGCCTTGAACACACCATGCATGCAACCAGCCTCAGGGCCTTTGCACTGGCTCATCCCTTTGCCTGGAACTCATTTCCAAAATATCCGCACATCTAACTCCCTCATCTCCTTTGAGTCTGTTCAAATGCCACATTTGCAATAAGGTTTACCTTGACTACTCCATCTAAAATTCCAGCCCTCCCTCCCCATCCTCTGTGTGTACAGGAATCTTTGTTTTGTTCGCTGACCCAGACACTACCTTGTTCATTGTCCCAGGCACCTAGAACAGTCCTAGCACATAGTAGGTCTTCAATACATATTTCTTTAATGTATAAATATCACTAGATCTGCTTCTTGATGGAGAAAAGAGGAACTCATTATTAGTGTGCAGGGACTCTGAGGTGAGGTCACTAGCCAAGGTTACTTAGTTAAAAAATGCCAGGGGCAGGGTTTGAACCCAGAGCGGTTGAAATACTCTCTGATGCCTATTAGTTCTGTGACCTTAGGCAACCTTGCTGAGACTCCGTTTCTTCCCTTGTAAAATGAGGATCGGTTCATCACTCCTTAGAGATAATTGTAAGAATTAAAGGCTATGTCACTCCATAAACCTTGTCTTGTAATTTAGGTCTCAGCTCAAACGCCACCTCCTCAGAAAACCTTTCCTGGCTACCCAATCTAAAGTGGCCCCCCAGATAGTGCCAGGCATTCAGTAGGCACTTGATAAATATTTGTTTAACAAGCGACTCCCCCAATGAGAACCCATCTCTGACCCACAGGGTAAAGTCCAAATTCCTTTCCAGGGTTTCCAGGGTTCCGTGTAGGCTCACCTCCTGCTCCACTCCCTCCATACCATCCCTCAGCCTGCAAACCCTGAACCCCAGCCCCCACTTCCACGCCAGCACCCTACCTCTGGATCAGAGGTCAGCGAATGGAGTCTCAGCAAGGTTGCCTAAGGTCACAGAGTTAATAGGCGTCGGAGAGTATTTGCCCGTGGGTCAAATCCAGCTCAAGAGCTAAGAATGATTTTTACATGTTTAAATGGTAGCCCCCACAAAAAAAATCAAAAGAAGATTTTGTGACGCTCGAGCATTATATGAATTTAAATTTCAGTGTCCATAAATGAAGTTTTGTTGGAACACAGCCATGTTTATCTGTTTGCATGGTGCCTGCAGCAGCTTTTGCGCTGCAAGGGCAGAATTGAATAGCTACCACCATGAAGACCGTAAAGCCACAAAGCCCAAGTGAAATATTTACTATCTGGAATAGCGGGGACTTTCCAGAAAAAGTTTGCTAACCCCTGATCTAGACATTTTCTACTCACCCTTCAGGTTGCTCTTGGAACCTGGGAAGTCTTCGTTGGTGTGTCAAGTTGAGGGTAGGGATCCCTCTCAGACGTGCCCCAACTTTTCTATGTATGTACTCATCTGTCTGCCTCAGGGACAGTTTCCTCTTGTTCTTTGCTGAATCTCCATTGTCTACCCCAATGTCTAGAACTATTTGTTGCAGGGGTGAATGACATTTATGTCTCCTCCCGCCTAGTTGGAGAGATAAGGATGTTCCAATGTACAGTCCAGAGAAAAGGCAGGCATGAGGGAGGCGTTGAAGAGGCCTGGAGTCCTCAGGGAGCCTGTGGAAAGCCAGCGCTGCCTCTGCCGCCAGCCACAGGGGATGGGAGCTGCAGGGACATTTGGGAATTGGGGGTGTGAGGAGTCTACATGGATAAGGGCTCAGAGTTGGGAACAAGCAGGGTGAAAAAGATGTCTCCCTAAGGCATAGCAGTTGAAACTGATGGTATTTTGGAGGTTTTGGCAGTAGTTGCCGTTTATTCATATTTCTTAATTACTTTATTATACGCAAACATAAAGAAACGTCCTAGGGAGGCAGCTGTTCATGTCACTGTCCCCAGGCTTACTCACGAGGCATTCCAGCAGGAAATCACCTCCAAAACAACCTATGTAAGATTCTGTTACTCTCCTGTTTTCTGCAGGAAACAATTATGATTGTTTTAATAAAATCAGCTGGGCCATTTAACGTCACTTGGAGAAGAATCCTGAGAAGTTCTTCAGTTGCCAAAAGGAAGCTCCAGCTACAGGAAGGGCTCTCAGGGCTGTGCAGGGAGAGGCCTTGTCATTACCCCAAATTCAAAGGCAGCCAATGAATTATAGCCAGCCGGATAAACTTTTCTTTATCAAACTTTGCCCCTGACAGCTGTAAGTTGATTCAACTAGAACAAACTGAAACTTCTTTTTTTTTGAGGGGGAGTCTTGCTCTGTCACCCAGGCTGGAGTGCAGTGGCGCAATCTGGGCTCACTGCAAGCTCTGCCCTCCCGGGTTTACGCCATTCTCCTGCCTCAGCCTCCCGAGTAGCTGGGGCTACAGGCGCCCACCACCACGCCTATCTAATTTTTTGTATTTTTAGTAGAGACGGGGTTTCACAGTGTTAGCCAGGATCGTCTCGATTTCCTGACCTCATGATCTGCCTGCCTTGGCCTCCCAAAGTGCTGGGATTACAGGTGTGAGCCACCGCGCCCAGCCTGAAACTTCCTTTTTTTTAAAAAAAAAAAATTTAGTTTAATTTAATTCACCAAAAATTTGCAAGAATTGTGAAGAAGGTATGCTTCTGTGCCTGGGCTAGTGTGAGTGATAGCACAAAGATCTGCCAGCCACAACCTCGCCATGCCAAGAATTCATTCTGTGGTCCAAATAACACCTCTTTTGAAGAAGGAGCTTAGAGGCAACATTTCTGCAAGGTGGCAGAATATTCCCAGAAACCCATCAGGAAGACAGTGTTAGCTGTAAATAAGTTTGCCGCTTACTCACGGCCTGGCTGCCCTGAGATCTTGTCCATTGTTTTTCGGACTTCCCAGATGCTCTAGGAAGGGTGCAGTATCTGACCCCCAGACAGTGGCGTGCTGGTAAACGTTTAACAGCTGGCTGGGAGAGGGCGGAGCCGATTTGTGGCTTTGGCCATTAACATGGCATTACTACTCCCAAATTGGTAGCTGATTTCAAGCTACCAGTGTGACATCAACCATCTCACAAAATTTCCAGAAACTGAACACTCTGCTCCAGTGAGCCACCTCTAGGGATCTGTGTGTGGGAGTCAGGACTTGGGGCTCCCAAAGCATGGGTTTGTCTAGGATCACCACCCCAGCCTTCATTCCAAAGACCAGTTTCTTGTGGGCTGAACCTCCCCACACTGATGTGAGGCCTTGGTGTGGACGAGCAGGCATTGGCAGTCCCCAGCAGCCAGTTCCTTGATGGGTCTCCCAGGCCAGGCAGCCTCCTGGAATTTGCAGACGCCTGGCTGCCCTGAATGCTGACGGTGGGGGTGAGGGGTGGGGGGTGTACAGAGGGTCCCCTCCTAGGTCTGGTGGAAAACCTCAGATTGGCCTGCTTTGTGCCTGATCTTTAGCTCCATGTGCATGAGAATGGGTCAGTGGCAGGTGGCCTTGGGGTGGGCATGAATAGCAGTAATTGTCCCTGTGTCAAAAGGATGGGCCAGGAAACAGGAATGGGACTGGAGGAGGGGTGGGGGTGGGGTGCAGCTCTCAGTGAATTAGGTCTTTTCTATAGATTCCATAAGACTACATAATGAGCCGCTTTTTCTGCCTCCTGGTCGCTCAGCTACTGCTCTGACCTCCCAGGGGCCAGAGGAGGGGGTCAACCCTCCCTGTTAAACGTGCTCTGCCTTTGGTTACCTGGTGTTGCTCTGGGAGGAAGACCAGCTTCGGGAGCAGGCTGTTGGGGTCTGCTGCAGAGGGTGGAATACGTGCAGCCCAGCCGTCCTGCCTACCACACCCCTGGCAAGGAGCTGCACCTCGCTGAGCTCAGTTCCCCCATCTGTAAAGGAGACCAGAATAATCCCAGCCTCACGAGGCCATTGCCAGGACTGAGGGAAACTATGCTAATGACTGCCTAGGGTCAACTGAGTAAAGCACTCAGTTGAGGACAACCATTATGATTTTTCTGATTTCTGGCCAAGGACCCAGCACAGCCTACACCTGAAGCATGCGACTAAGAGTGTGACCCCGGGCAAGTACCTTCTCTCTCTGTCTCCCTCACTCTCCCTTCTCACTCAGGGTAGTCACGCTGTGTCCTCCCTGCCTCCCAGGGACAGGAGGATTAATGAGATAATGTGAGAAGCCGGCTGCTCTGGGGAAGAAAGGTGTTATGTACATGGAAGGTGTAATTATTATCCTGTAACTACATGAATGTTTAGACTCTACCTACTCTGGCAATTCCAAGGGGCTTTGACAAGCACGTTGTCTCAAGCTGGAAACTGATCCAAGGGGTGGGAACAGCTGAAAGCTTCTCTCTGCTTCCAGGAGACTCCAGGCACCCTGGAGCCTCCCAGAGGCGGTGCCCACGCTCCAGGCATCAGGGCCTCTGTGGGCACAGGGGGAGTGAGAGTCCCCTAAGGCTCCATACCCTGGATCCTGGGAAGGTCCCAGGATGGCTGTACAGAGCATTTGAGCTGGAATGGAAATCCAACTCAAATGAGCATAGCAATTTTGTGGCTGGCAAAGATTTTGGTGTAGGCTTTAGCAAATTGCAGTCTTACTCAGTTTATCTTGCCCTGTTCCTGGCACCTCAGTCTCCTGCTTCCCTCTGACTGTCATCACCACCAACACCATCTTTATCATCTCTTAGGAAAAAGCAAGAGGGTAGGGCCCTGGGCTGGGTGCTGGCTTTGGCTGCGTCAGAGTTTAGAATTGAAAACAGCCGTTCCCATTCTCCTCCTCAGATAGTTTCCCTCCAGAAATAGCTACCAGGAGGCTTGTGGGGTGGGCAAAAGCATGGATGTGTGCCCATGGAGGTGACTCATCACCCTCCTGGCAGCCCTGTGGGGAAGGGGGATGATTAGCTGTGAGAGAGAAAAAGGAGAAAGGGTGGAAAATTGGGTCCTAGAATGTTCTGCACCCAATCAGAAATGCAGACAGGAGATGGGGGTTAGACCCTGGATTTGCATCCTGGCTCTGCCCCTTGCCAGTCCCTTGACCTTGGCAAGTGACTTATCCTCTCTGTATCTCGAGCTCCTCTCTTGCAAAGTGTTGGTATGATGATTAAATGAGTTACCACCTAAAAAGCACCAGGGTTTGGACTGCAGTGTGCTCCATGTACATCAGTGATTCGTTAAAACTGACTGGCTGTCCCCACACCTGTAGCCCATGTGCAGAGCCCCACAACTGGGGGAGATGGAGGCCTGAGCGTACCCCTGGGGGCCCTTCTGAGAAATAGCGCTCAGAAGACAGAGATGCTCCTGAACTTGAGGCCATCCCCTTTCTCCCTCTGTCTTAGTCTGTTGGAGCTGCTATGACAAAATACCTTAGACTAAGTAATTTATAAACAACAGGAATCTATTACTTACAGTTCTGAAAGCTGGGAAGTCCAAGATCAAGATCAAATGATGCCGATCTACAGGTGTAGCTTTGGTGTCTGGTGAGGGCTCTCTGCTTCACAGATGGCTCCTTACTGTGCAGTCTTCACATGGAGGAAAGGGCGAGCGAGTGCCCTCAGGCCTCTTTTGTAAGGGCACTAATCCCATTCCTAAGGGCTCCACCCTCATGACCCAATCACCTTGTAAAGGCCCCACCTCCTAATACCATCGCCTTGGGGTTGGGTTTCAACATATGAATTTGGTGGGAGTACACAAACATTCAGACCAGAGCACCCTCTAGCAGCCAGAAGGAGTTCATAGGGACCCTACATAAAGGGAGGTGGGAAAAACCAGTCTCTTAGAAAAGACCCTGAATGAAGTGACTCATCGGTAGACTGTGGAATCCAGGTTTATGAAATCATGGTGATGGCGATGGTGATGGTGATGAAGATGATGACAGTAATGATTCTGTACAACCTTTAACTTTTAAAACTGTTTTTACAGTTTCCTAGTTAGGAAATTAGTGGGATTGGGCTAGATAAATGTTGGGGTCCCTCTTCCAACGTCCAGCTTTCTCATTCTGTAGTTCTATCTTGAAGCACACAAGAGAAGTTCTTAACTAGGGACAAGGTTACGAGGTGGACTTGCCTCCCCCAGCTCTCTCATCCCACCGGACCCCTCATTGGAAGCTGGTCGCTCCTTCAGATGCCTGTGGATGGATGAAGCTGCAGCGTGTGCCTTGCATAAGGGGATGTGGTTTCTGGGGAGCTGTACTGAGGGTGTTTTGACAGGGTAAGGATGAAGAAATCGCACATTTGGGGTCATCCTGGAGCTGTGGGGGTGGGAGAGGGTGTATGTATAAAGCATTTATTTAAAACACTCAGTGGGAAACTCACAGGCCGCTTAACAAGAGTATTTGGATGCTGGGAAAATGTGAGTCATCGAGCTTCCATGATGGATGGAAACATCCCTTCCAGACAACCTAAATTCTTTTTCCTGTGGTTCTATGCTCACCAAACAGCCCGTGGCTCCGTATTGGGAAAGAGAGGTTCTGACATGTGTGCCTAGTCTGCCCTGCCTCTGGGAGTAGCAACCTGGAATTTCAGTGGGCTTAGGTCTCTCAGGAAAAAAACCACTTCTGGATGATTGGACCCTCCTAATCCCAAAGGTTGAGAAATGAGATTCTTCACCCAGAGTGAGGCCCTCCCTGTGAGGCCCAGGGGAAAGAGCCTGACATCCTTAGCCATCGGCAGCAGACATCTGTTCCTATGGCCAGTCGTGGGTCTGGACAGCACATGGCACACAGACAGGTGTCTGGAGACAGTGCTCCGTGGGTCCAGATAGGTACTCTGGAGTCTGTGGATGCTGTTTCACGCTGGTGAGCTGAGCTATGGGGCTTATTGTGAAGGGGAAGTGAGGTGGGGGATGGCAGAGAAGGATGAGGAAGGGGGCAGAATAACTTTCCTACTGTTCTCTCTTCTTGTTCTCCCTGGGAAGGGAGAACGCCCAGAAATGTAAACCTAGGTGTGTGATCAGCAGGATTGTGGCCTCCCGGTAATGTCTGCGCCTCAATCCCCGGACCCAGAGGCTATGTCATGTTACGTGGCGAGGGGGATTTAGAGTTAGTAGTCAGCTGACTTTAAGAGATAATCCTCAGTCACCTGCGAGAGCCCAGTGCAATTACAAGGGACTGTGATTGTGAGTGAAAGAGGGGGGAAGAGAGTCAGAGTCAGATGACACAATGTGAAGAAGCCTAGACTGCTACTTCGGGCTTTGAAGATGGAGGCAGAGGCCACCAGCCAAGGAACGTGGGCAGCTGGAACTGCGATGGAAACAGGTCCTCCCCGCAGAAAGGAACGCAGCTCTGCCCTCACATCGGTTTCAACCCAGTGAGACCCATGTCAGACTTCTGGCCTACAGAAAAGGAAGAGAAGGAATGTGTACTGTTTCAAGCTGCTAAATGCGTGGCAATTTGTTGCCCTAATAGGAAGTGAATACAAGGGGCCTGGGACAGGGTCTCAGGGGTGAAAGAGAAAGGTCCTGAAATGATTGTCCATGTTGCTGTTGGATCCCAGGAGGGATAGAACGCTGGCTCCTGGCCTGGCTGCCTTGAGTTAAAGGTCACTGAGTCCCAGGGCCTCTCTGGCTGATGCCTCGGGGAAGGGGAAGGAGGAAGCCTGAGGTGGCCAAGGAGGCAGAAAAGAGGGTCGCATGCACGGGTCTGAAGCCTGCTGCTGCTCAGAGCCACCCCACGGGCCCACAGTCACCTTTCCTACCTCTGTCCTTCCAGAGGCCTCCCTGTGCCTGGAGACACCCTGCTGGCAGTCTCTTCTTCCCATTCCGTTCCAGAGATTGACACCGTCTGCTCTGCACCGGGGACTGTTCATCTCAGCATGGATCCCCATGCACTGCTTGCTTCTGAGGGGGCCTAATGCATCCGTGGTCCTGTTGGCTAGAAGGAGACTGGGAGTCACCTTCCATCAGGTGAAGCCAGAGGAGACCCTGCCACCGAGCTGGGAGGGACCAGGGGACAGGGTGCCCCACAGACGTCCTGGTGGAAGGTGGCTCGGGACAGTAGGGTGGGTGGGGCCTGGGTTGGGAACAGTGTGGGCTCCCTTTCCATCCCTCCGCATTCTCCCCCTGGGTGGCAGTCAGCCGGCAGGGTCTGCTGGAGCAGTGACCAAGGTCTGGGCCATTCTCAAAAGAAAGTACAGGCAGTTGTATTACCTGCTCAGGCTGTTAGAACAAAATATCACAGACTAGGTGGCTGAAACAACAGCAATGTATTCCCTCACAGTTCTGGAAGCTCAAAGTCCAAGATCAAGGTGTTGTCAGGGCCGGTTTCTATTGAGGCCTCTGACCTTGCCTACAGAGGACCGTCTTCCCCGTGTGTCTTTGCCCGGCCTGTTCTGGTGTGCACACATCCCTGGTGTCTCTCCCACTTCTTATAAGGACACCAGTTGTATTGGCTGAGGGTCCACCAGCTTCATTTTAGCTTCATTACCACTTTAAAGGCCCTGTCTCCAAATGCGGTCACACTCGGAGGTACTGGGGGTTAGGGCTCCAACATATGGGTGGGGGTTGGGTGGGGACAATTCAGCCTATAACAGCAGTGGGGGTTAAGAGAAGGTGCTGCGGGGAGAATCAAAGGAGAGAGGCTTAGAGGCTGGGCCCTGGGGTAGACACAGCCTGCAGCAGGGACAAGGGTGCCAGACTGATAACCTGGTGTTGGGTGGGGGTTTGGGTGGAGGGTGGCCGTCTAGGACCCTTAGCTGGGGTGGGAAAGGGCAGGTAGAGTGAGTGGTCTTGGGTGGCCGTGGGTGGCTCCCCCGCCTCCGCAGTTAGCCCCTTTCACATTTTCCCAAAGCTCCTCTTGGGTTTTCATTAAGACTGGAACTCACTCAGAAAGCCCACCCCCGGAGCGAAGTCTTTCTCCTGGCCTAAACAGCACCTCCAGGCCCCCTTGTGAAGGCTGGTTCTTTGGTCTTCAGATTGTTAAGGCACTGGGTTTGTGTCAATGGGGTCCTGGCATTTGCCTTTGGAAACCGGAGGAGGGGTGGTCAGATATTTGGAGGCCACACCAGGCAGTGTGGCCATCTAAAAGTAGCCGTAGGCCCTGCGAAACAAGCAGGAAAGAGGATAATGGCAGAGTGGGCTGCTTCAATTTCACTTTAGGCTAGCCAGGGGATGTGGGCAAGGCCGGTGCCTGTTGGCTTTGTGCGGGCGCTGCTTGGGTTTTTTAGCCACAGTGGTTTGCAGCCCTGTTAAGACAAATGATTGTGATTAGGAGGAAAAAGTGCAGAGGAGCTGGAGAGAGCCCCCACCCACCACCCACGGGAAACAGGAGAGAAAGAAACAGATGCTTGGGGCTGGCACTCGCATTAATGGGCAGACGGTTGTCATGCTCGACTGGTTTGGCTAGTCAGCCAGAGGCCCCGGGAAATAAAGGGCCTCTCCTCACACTGGCTTGTGGAGCAGTTGAGATCTCTGAGTTTCTCTTTGTCCTTGGAGAACGAGCTTTTGGGGAGGGGGCGACGGTCTAGGAACAGTCGGCTGTTGTTGGGGGTGGGGAGGGAGGTTGGTCTGAAATCTTCCTTCCCTACTCAGCAGGAGCGCCTAGGACACATGGCCCAAGACAGCAGGGCTGGCTCCAGCCTTCCTTCCTGAGAGCTCTGCAGTCCATTTTCTGCTTTCGTTTCCTCCTCCCCATGGCTGCATGCTGGCCTCCGCTACCGGGCTGCCCAGCAGAAGCACCAAGTCCACGCAGCTCTCTCTTGCTTTCTCTCACTCATGCCACAAAGGACCAAAGCAAAGTAAGGATTTTCATGCAATGGAATACAACTAGGCAATGAAAAAGCCTGAACTACTCCTCCGTTCAGCAATGTGAGGCAGCACCACAGGTAGAATGTGGAGAAGAAGCTAGACATGAAAGGGTAGGTCCTGTGTGATTCCATTTATCTGCACTCCTAGAATAGGTAAAATGAATCTATGGTGACAGAAGTCAGAAGGGTAGTAGCTTGCTTGGTATCAACTTGGAAAGGGCATGAAGGACCTCTTGGGCTGCTGGAAATCTATAGCTTGATCTGGATGGTGGGTACATGTGTGAATGCATCTTCAAAAATTCATCAACTTATCTACTGAAGATGTGTACACTTTATTTTTATTTTGTTTTGTTTTATTTTTTTGAGGTGGAGTCTCGTTCCATCATCCAGGCTGGAGTGCAGTGGTGTGATCTTGGCTCACTGCAACCTTCGCCTCCTGGGTTCAAGCAATTCTCCTGCCTTAGCCTCCTGAGTAGCTGGGGCTACGGGCACGTGCCACCACATTCGACTAATTTTTGTATTTTTTAGTAGAGATGGAGTTTCACCATGTTAGCCAGGCTGATCTCAAACTCCTGACCTCAGGTGATCCACTCACCTTGGCCTCCCACAGTGTCGGATTACAGGCACAAGCCACCATGCCTGGCCAATTTGTATATTTTAATGTGTATGTACTTAACCTAAATAAAAAAGTGGAAAGTACACTTTCAAATATTACATCATCTTGTTTTTTTTTGACAGAGTCTCTCTGTCGCCCAGGCTGGAGTGCAGTGGCATAAACACAGCTCACTGAAGCTTCAACCTCCTGCATTCAAGGAATTCTCCCACCTTAGCCTCCTGAGTAGCTGGGACCACAGGTGCGTACCACCACACCTGGCTAACTAAAACTTTTTTTTTGTAGAAACAAGGGTTTTGCCATGTTGCCCAGGCTGGTCTCAAACATCCTGGGCTCAAGCCATCCTCCTGCATCAGCCTCCCAAAGTGCTGGGATTACAGATGTGAACCACTGACCCCATGTGGCCACTCTTCTTGACTTCAGGATGCATAGGAGTATATTTCAAAGATTGCCGTTATTGGCGACCTGTTTAAATTCACTTTTAAAAAAGAGTTCTGACCTTCCAAGGCAGCTCTCTGAAAGAGTGTGGGGCTTTATACTCTTCAGAGAAGTCCTTTTGTATTTCTGGATGGTGAGTTGGGCCCACAGGAGTGAATCCAAGTGTGGAACACACGAATCCCGCCTTGCAAATAGACACTTCCTTCTCTAGTCTGGGTAGGAGATTGTGGTGCAAGGAATGGGGTCAAGGGTATCTTTGTTCTACTCCCCTACTCCTCTTATGATGGGGGGTAGCGTGGCTTCTTGGTTATAAGAGCAGCTACTTATTGGGGGATGCCTGGGCATCCTCCAGCACCTGACCCACTGATAATTCACAGATTGCATCTCCTCACCAGTCTTGCTGTTGGAGCTGCTGAGCAGGCGCAAGTCATACTGAGGCATGGGGGTCTACACTCTGCTTCCCCTCCCTGCCTAGCCGCTGGGGGGACCAACAAGAGCAGAATGAACAGGAAGCTATTGGGATGGCCACAGAGGAGGCACAAGAGAGGCCCAAGTATTTTGTCCCTGGGCATTCATTTCTCCTGAGTAGCTGGCAGCCCTGTGTTTAGCAGGGAGAGAGTGGGCTCTGTCATTAGTTTCTGTTTCTCAACTGACCCTCTCAGGTTGTCCCAGGGGCATTGGGAGGGCAGCTGGGTGTCAGGTAAGTCCCTGCCACCTGCTTCTTGGCTGATACTGCAGGACAGAAAGAGAGTGTAACAACCTTTTCTTCAAAGCTAGAATCCAGCTAACTCTGCCTCGGAAAAGTGCTGACACACAGCCCGGATGTGATCAGACACATTTCTTCCATTTGCTGCTGCTCTCGGTGAAAGCTACTGGTGTTTGATGAGCGGAAACAAGCCGCCCTGCTGAGATTTCCTGCCAGTGCCAAGTGTTTCTGCCAAGAGTGCTGAGCGTCCACCATGTTGAGGAGGTGCTTTTGTGCAGTCTGGCTCGATGAGATGCCTCCCTGTAGATGAGTGGGGCCTGTGGCATCCCCTGACCATCTTACAGATGCTCAGGCTAGAGCAGAGGCCGTTCATTCTCCACCAGTGACCATGTTCAAAGGGATGCGTGTGTGTGTGTGTGTGTGTGCGCGCACACGGCACGTGCATGTATGGATACATAGACATCGTGAAACCCATGGCTTGTGTGGAGCAGGGAGAGTCTGACCCTTTTTATGCTACCCTGAAGCTTTGTTTGGAAATACTTACTTTACCTGTGACACATTTTTGAGGGAAAAAGTGTGAGAGATCCAAGGAGACCCAACCCTGAAGAATCTTACAGCCACTTCTTCAATGGCATTTCCTCTGTCTATAATACTGTGCAAGTCTCTGTTGGAGCCAAGAGATGCCAGTAGTTATCTTGACAATTCTGTGGATCCCTACGAGACCTCCTGTGCTGTTGGGAAATGAAAACCTGCAGCTGGGGAGCCCATGGATGGGGCTGAGCACGCCCTCCCCTCCCACGTTTGGTGGTGTATTAATAACTGGGATAATTGCACCCCTAATGATCCCAGCAACAGTAATTTCTCTGGTGCACCCAGAAAAAAGCCTGCGATGCATTGACAAAATGACTTACAATTAAGACCCTTTCTGGGACTTCCAGGCCAGGTCTTTGCAACACTTTCTATTGTAAGCCTCTGTCCCTTCCATATATGAGCCTGCCTGGGCCCAAACTGCTCTGAACCTCACTGCCTTTTTCTCTTTCTGCCCCCAAATCCATTTTTCTTGAACAACCATGAAGGGCTGTAGTCCACAGAGCAATAGAAAGGACTCTCCATACAAGTTCTCCTTCATTCTAGCAATAGAGTATAATTTTACAATCTGCCAGGATGGCAGAGAGGAATGGGGAGGAACTCTGCCCATTGTCTTGGCATCATGGAAAATTTCCCCAGGTATCCCTGTGGAACTCTCCCCTGAAATCCAAACAAAAAGCACAAAGGCCAAGCCACACAGGAGCAGCACCACTACCAAATTTCTCAGAAGTTACCATGGATAAAAACTGGAATCCCCATTGGTTTTTCTTTTTAAAGCACAACTTTTATTAAATACCACGAGTTGGCCACTGTTAAGACAATGGACCTGTCCAAGCATCTTGTCTAGGAATCAAGGGAAGAAAGACATTGTGGGGCCCAAGAGCAGATGAATTGCTCCCAAGAATAGAAAACAAATGAGCCGAGGTATAAATGGTTGGAAAAACAAAAGGAAGATATTTCCTGCACAATGCAGACCATTGAACGGAAGGGGGCCGTGGACAGAGGCTCAGGTCGTGGGACCAGCCGAGGAGTGGTGGGACAGGCTACATGAGCTGTCAGCACACAACGGAGTTGAAGTGTCTTTTCCCCCATGCCTGTGATCCATGAAAACGCTGTGCTTCTCTCATTTTCTTGCCACAAACTGTATCTGCTCTGCTGCTAGCAGCTTTGTGGCTCTAAAAGAGGCAGAGATGTCAAGGTCTGACCCACACCCCGCTGGCTCCCACTCCTGGCCTGGCTAGCATCAAATGTTCACAATGGGCACAGGTCGTGACTTTCTTTCTGAGACCGGACTGCATCGAGGCCTGTGGCTAATTTCAGTGGAACATATGGACTCCTGTGTAACTTGACCTCATTGTCCCTGTTTATAATGGAGCCAGCAGGAGCACCACAATGGTCCTGGCCATCCCCACCCCCCAGGAGGCGTGGTTGAGGGTATTCCTTTCTCTCTGGAATACATGATCATCTTGCCCTCGGGGCACATTCACTAAAGTCATTATGGGGAGACATGTCTGTGGACAATGAGGAGCTCTGGTGTGCAGGGAGGAGCTTCTTCTGCCTGGAGCAACCAAGACTCAGTCCTCTTGTGGCGCACTGGAGGAGGCCACTAGGCAGGATTTGGGTGGGGAGGGGACAGTCTCCACCTTCCCATCCCCACCTCCCCATCACCACCAAGACTGGCCTTGCTACCCATTGGCAGAGTTCCTGGATGACCTCTTCTTGTGGTGATGGTGGCTGTGGGACTCTTGTTCTTCAGAACTTATCACAGTTAACTCTCAGTCTCCTTGGGGAGACCCAGCCTGGGAGAGGAGTTCTGCACTGGGAGATAAGGTCCAGGCCTCCCACCAAGGACCAGAATCACTGAATGCCTGAGATGGAAGAAACCTTAGCTCCTGATTCCAGTATTTTGTTTCAAATGAATAAATAAGGCCCCTAGAGAAGGGTAAGTGGCCAGTCTGTGGTCACACAGGTAGTGTCAGAATCTGGATTAGGCCAAGATCTTCCTTCTGGAGCACCATGTAAATCCTCAGGTAACATAGGGGCAGTTGTTGAGGATGCTGGCATCAAGCTGGGCTCTGTTTGTAATGTGGACAGAGACAAATGCTTCCCTCTTGCTTATATGCATACAAAATGACAAAATAGTTTCTCTTTTCTTTTCGTCTTCTTCTTTTTTTTTTTTTTTTTTTTTTTTTGAGATGGTGTCTCGCTCTGTTGCCCAGGCTGGAGTACAGTGGCATGATCTCGGCTCACTGCAACCTCTGCCTCCTGGGTTCAAGCGATTCTCCTTCCTCAGCTTTCCGAGTAGCTGGGATTACAGGTGCCTGCAACCACACCTGGCTAATCTTTGTATTTTTTAGTAGAAACAAGTTTTCACCATGTTGGCCAGGCTGGTCTCAAACTCCCAACCTCAAGTGATCTGCCCACTTCGGCCTCCCAAAGTGCTGGGATTACGGGATTCAGCCACCCCACCCAGCCTCTTTTCTTCTTTTAAAGAAATAACTCTCCATCCAGGGAGAAAAGACCTAGCCTCAGAGGGTTAGACTGGAACTTGCCAAAATTAGGGCAAACTTATCCAAGGGTAGCGTTATATCACCCACCTAATTCTTATTGACTCTGTAGGGCTGCAGCTAATACCTATTATGCAGGGCTTTGTTTTTCCCCTAATGGGACTCATTTTCTCCCCAGATTCAGAATGAGCTGCTTGTAATCTACTGCAAACCCTTCCTTTGTAGGCCTCGTGCAGCAGAGGCCCACACCTTGAGCAGGAGCCTTAGTATGCATTGGTTCGCCTTGATCCTCCTGGGTATTACAGTTCCCTCTTCATAGAGGAGGCCCCCAGGGCCAGAGAGGTGACTTACTGGAGGCCACAGCACTAGGAAGGAGCAGTGTCAAAATGCAAACCCTAGTGTGCTGACTGCAACCCAGGTGCTCTCTGTGACATCTCTTTGTGGTCCTCTGCCTTGGACTGTGGAGGGATCGTGAAGCTAGGCAGGGGACAAGGGGAACTTAAAGGAAAAAGTCCTAGAGGCCCCAGACATCAATGCCAAATGGCAACCCGGCAGCACCCTGCTACAGGACCCAGCTTCCCTTTAACCCTGAGCCAGCCCCTGTGGGTCTTCCAGGTCCCCCTGTGATTGCCTCCCGCCTCTGCCTGTTCCCCCATATGTTGTTCCTCCATCTCAGCCTCAAAGCCACTCTCAGTAGAAAACAACTTTCTGTTATAACCAAATGGGTTAGGTCTGGTTCAGCAACCTTATTATTCCAGCTCATCCCCAAGGGACCCAGCCCTGGGTCTTTAAACACCACACACCCAAAATGGCATCTCTCTGGGGAAAAAAAAAAAAGGAAACAGCAGCTTTGGGAGCAAATTTTACTAATTCCTACCCCATTGGAGAAGAAGCAAGAAGTTTCCTATGTCCAGAGAATGGGAAACTGCATTTTAGGAAAACTGAGTGTTTGAGAAATAAAGGGAACGCAGGGCAGCATGGGTAAAGCAGTGGGTGTCGAGAAAAGGAGAACATAGAAATGCGTGTGTGGGGGAAGATAGCCGCGGACGGATGGGGATAAATGGAGAAAGTCCAGCAAATGTTTACGTCTCCTGAGATTAAATCAGCACGTGTGATTGTGAGTAGGGAGAGGACTGGACCCGGGAAGCAAATCTTACACATTGTCTTTGGAAAGATGGTGGATACGGATGGGACATCTTAGTCATGAGTCACAAGAAAGAAAACCTGAGAGAAATCCCATCGAAGGCAAGAGCAGCTGGGTCCTACAGCTGGCATCGTTTTTCAGTTAGAAGTTAATCGAAGTGTTGGCTGGAGCCCTGGGTGGAAACAAAGCATTGGAAAGCCAGCCTAGCTTGGGGCCCTGGCTGGCTGCCGCTTAGCTCATGTGTAGGAACAGTGTGGCGCTGAGGAGGCGGGTGTGAATGGCGTCCTGGAGGTGAGTGCAGACACAACATCCACACATAGAGGCTGATCCAAAACCCATCCTTCTTTAAATTGGTAGAATGCTTACAAGTTGTCAAAATGCTTTTACATAATAAAAACCTTACCATCTAGGCAGGGCAAGTGTAAGAATGGGCATTTTGCAGAAGAGAAAACTGGGGCCCCAGGCAGGTGGAGTGACAGCCAGGTTGTACAGCTAGGACATGGTGGGACCAGGGTGGAACTAGTAGATTTCAAATCTACTTCATTTTAGACTAATACAGATTTTCCTCTGGAGTGGGGACTACAGGTCTCCTTTCCTGGGAATGGTCACCTAAACAGAATCAAGCTTCCGTTGCAAAGAAGAAGGGGACAGATGATGTTGAATGAATAGTCAACAGATGTCCGTCGCATGTTCAGTTATTTCTATACTGAGAGACATTCAGTTTGTTTCTAGTTTTTTGCTTGTGCACACAACACTGCAACGTAATAGCCTTGCAACATATTATTGCCCTTGGATGCATTTATTTCTTTAGGATAGATTTCCCAGGGTGGGACTGCTGGTACCAAGGGCAAGTGAGTTTTAATATGTACTGCCTGACTCTTGCCAAAAATGTTGTGGCATCCACATTCCCTGGCAATGGGTGGGAAAGCCAGTCTCCCCACATCCTCTCTGGCTTCCAGCATATTTTCCATTGTACTCTGCCACCATCCTTTTGGGAAGCTTTTACTGATTGCCAAGCAGGCATAGTTAGAGTGGCCCAATGAGTTAGTATTAGTTAATTGCCTTCAGATACTTGACTCCTAAAAGACATCTGTTCTTAAACGACAATTTAAGCCAGTCTGGAATTGACAGGTTTTGCCAATCAACTGCCACAATCTCTGGAATTTGAGTTTTGATCCATGATCTGCTGCTTAGGCGGATTTTTCCCTTCGTTTTGTTGATGCAGACACTGTAATGTGTCTTGTGCTTACTCTGTGTATTAACTGAACCTAAGCTACTTCTTATCACACTCCCCATATTTCTCGAGTTTATCCTTAGAGTATCTTGAAAGGTTTCTCTGTGTGAGTGTGTGTGTGTGTGTGCGCATGCGTGTGTGTGTGTGTGTGTGTGTGTGTGTGTGTGGTTTTTAGTTTAGTTTTGCTTTTCGTTTTTGCCTTTGACCAATTCAGAGAGATGTGCTAGGAATCAGCCATGCTGGTCACCTGTCACCTGGAGCAGCTGCTCTTTAATAGTTATTGCTTGATGTTGGAGGAATTAGCTTGAGAGAGAAGGCTGAGGTTTAGGGATGTCTACTTTGCCAATTCAAAGCTGATTTTGCAGGCAGTGGTTGAGGGGCTTTTTCAGTGTGATGATACAGCTTCTACATATCATTATGCCATGACATACGTATTCCATGTAGCAAATGAGAAAGATGACTGCCTGGTAAACCATGGACATTTAAGCTGCCAACACAATTCTCAGATAGCCTTTGCCTCAGTGCTAAAGCCTGTATTTGCATGCTATGGTAACAGTAGGTTTCTTTATCAATGGTTATTTTGTTTCTGGGATCTATTCTTAAATACAGAAAACATCACATTCTCTGGGATCACATTAACAAACCTGCACGTTGTGCACATGTACCCTAGAACTTAAAGTATAAAAAAAAAAATCTGAATTGCTTTTAGTGATCTGTTACATTGCATGATGAACACAGTTAACATGTTGTATATTTCAAAATTGCTAAAAGAATATATTTTTAACATTCTCACCCCCCCAAAAAGTGATAAATTGGTAAGGTAATAGACGTTATTAATTAGCTTTATGGAATCTTTCTACAATGTGTACAATGTATAGGTTTCTACAATGTATAGACCAAAACATCATGTTGAATACCATAAATGTACATAATTATTTGTCAGTTAAATTAAAAAATTTTCACATAGAGTATAAATTTAAAAACAAATCTGAGTTGAGTCTTTAAGAAATTTCTGGGCTGGGCACGGTGGCTCACGCCTGTAATCTCAGCACTTTGGGAGGCCGAGGTGGGAGGATCATGAGGTCAGGAGATCGAGACCATGGTGAAACCCCGTCTCTACTAAAAATACAAAAAAATTAGCTGGGTGTGGTGGCAGGCACCTGTAATCCCAGCTACTCGGGAGGCTGAGGCTGGAGAATGGCACAATGGCGTGAACCCGGGAGGCGGAGCTCGCAGTGAGCCTAGATCGTGCCACTGCACTCCAGCCTGGGCGACAGAGCGAGACTCCGTCTCAAAAAAAAAAAAAAAGAAAAGAAATTTCTGATACTATTTGCATGACTGTTTATTCCAAGTGTTGATTCTTTGAGAAATGGATGTAAATACATCAACAATTGGAAATTTGCATCTGAATGAGCATAGATTACAGTGTTATAAAATTTTAAGTTTAATGATTCAAGTAGAAGAGTGTTTTTTGTTTGTTTGTTTTTAATATGCATGCTTGTGCCTTTGATCCACGCATCCATTTTTTCAGTGTTTTCACATTTGGAGCTCACTTCATGAACTTGAGTGTCTTACATTTTCTACACAAATCAGATTGGTGTAATTTAAATACTTTCAACGTATCTTTATTGAGTTTCTCCACTGTATAAAGCACTACTATATGAAGGTTAGAATGAATCACAGGCACACTGCTTTAAAAATCTTAGTAGGTGACAGGGCATGGTGGCTCATGCCTGTAACCCCAGCACTTTGGGAGGCTGAGGTGGGCGGATCACCTGAGGTCAGGAGTTCGAGACCAGTCTGGCCAACATGGTGAAACCCTGTACCTACTAAAAATACAAAAAATTAGCTGGGCATGGTGGCGGGTGCCTGTAATCCCAGCTACTTGGGAGGCTAAGGCAGGAGAATTGCTTGAACCCGGGAGGCAGAGGTTGCAGTGAGCCGAGAGCGTGCCTTGCACTCCAGCCTGGGCAATGAGAGCAAGACTCCGTCTCAAAAAAAAAAAAAAAAAAAATATATATATATATATATATATATATACACACACACACACTAATAGGCTAACTTCAGGCACACTGCCTAAGAATTAGCCCTGCTCTGCAAGGAGCAGCTAAAAATAAATAATAAATAAAAACTGTAGTAGACCAATACCTGTTCTATTTAACTTGGAAGGTGGGTGAGTGATAGTGGATTCTGGGTTTGAATCTTGCCTCCAACTGCATGACCATGGGCAAAGTACTTTTTTTTTTCTGTGCTTTCGGTTTCCTTATATGTTAAATGGGAGTAATGATTATACCCACCCCATGGGTTATTGTGAGGATTAAAGGAGACAACCCACACAAAGTATTTAGAGGAATCTAGCCTATAGTAAGTGCATAATATTAATGCATAAATTAGGTTGGTGCAAAAGTAATTGCATCTTAGAAGAGAAGGTAAATTTGCAAGTATTTCTTTCTTTTGGCTCCATAGTACTAATTGCTGGGGAGGAAGGAGACCCAGGGAAGAAGGCATGGTAGAACCTGGAGAGCTGTATATGTGTGTATTGAAAATGTAGACCACAGAGAGGTACTAGATTGTTTGTGTTACAAAGGGTCAAGAAATGAGACGATTCAGCAATGACAAAGAACTGGTTCAGGAGGAGTGAGGAAGCGGGATGTCGGCAGGGTAGGAGGCTGAGGTTGAAGGGTCTGCACCACGCTCGAGTTCTTGGAGGGGAGGCAGAACCGTGTAATGCGGTCCAGCTGTGGTCGCTATCCTATGGGACAGGGGTCATCCGTGTGGAGAAGGGCACAGAAGAGGGTGGTCAGGGAGCTGGACAGGTCATTGACATGAAGGTTGAGGTCACCAAGGATGATGACAGGGGAAAGACGGGAAATGCAATCCAGAAGCCAGCAGAGACCTGGAGAAGGCGGTGTGCCCAGATGGCAGGGACTTGACTGGCATGACCAAATGGCATAGACATGCTGCTGCTTCCCCTGTTGTGCGGAAGACACTAGGAGAAGGCGAGGCTTCGGTAAGGGGGCAGGAAGAGGCAGGATGTTGACTCGCCTGCACTGGTTTGGGTTAAGGTGAGAGGAAAATGAAGACTTAAATGGACCATGGAGTGAGTTTCCCCAGGGTTCTGTGGAAGAGACTCCTTAAGAAAGAGTGGAATTTTAGGAAGAGCTGGTTAGAAATGAGGATGAGTGTGGGGTTGGGGAGGGATTTACACACATGCAATTATAGGCTGGGGAGCTGAGACCTAGGAAAGGAGGCAGTGGTTTCAAGGAATCTCTCCTTGGAGAGTCTATGGCTCTGCCATAGCAAGCAAGAATAGTAAAAAAGAAAGAGGAAATCTACTTGATTATTTTCCTCCAAAGAGGAGAGGAACATTTTGTTCCCTGGTGGTCTGAGCAGCTGCCCCTCCCTCCTGCTTGGCCACCATTGCTGGCAGGGTCGCCGGCTGGCTCCTGGAGGGCAGGACCCACATGCATGTGGCACTGTCATCCTGCCCTCTCCAGACACGCAGCTCAGACCTACCTGCTGCAGGACACTCCATGGTTTCTGCTAATGCTGAAGTGAGCTGCATGGCTAATTCATTCCTGGCACCTCTGAGAACATGAGCTCATCATATCATTAAAGGAATAAGAATAAACAGGAACAAGGGAGCTGCTCAGGAGTTGGGAAACCTCTGGCCCTCTGTGCCTCCCACACATCTTTGGAGAGACAAAGGGGCCAGAACAGCCCACAGTTCCTGGCTACTGCCCTTGGCAGCCTCTCTGTCTCCACTGCCAGCTCTGGGCCACCGCTTCTCCACAGCATGTGAGCCCCCCTGCCAGTCTTCCTTAGGCAACTGTGGGTACCACCCGCATCTCCAAGCCTGTGATGGCGTCCGAGGGCCTTTTGCTCAAGATAAAATCGTTCTTCCTGATTTTGAATTTTCACACTTTGCATTTCCTAGTCCTCTTACCCTGGATCCATGTTAACTCTTGCTCGTCAACAATCCAGCCAAGAAAATTTTTCTTTGGAATATTATTTGCTTTTTCTCACCTCTGAGTCATCTCCTGTCTTCTTCCACCTGCCTGGAATGTCCCCTTCCTTCTCTCTCTGAAGGGATGCCAGTAACTACATCATCCATTGCTAGAGGATCTGTTTCTGGTCTTCTGGTCCCTTCATTTGACTCCCTTTGCTATGGTCTCTTTAGCGATTCCCAATCCTTGCCTTTATTTTTTGTACCTTCCTATGCCTCCGTGTTTCTGGATTTCTCAGTCCTGTACGTGCCAGTAGGGGGATGCAATCTCCATTTCAGGTTGCATTGTTAGTGAGGCATTCTTCTTATTAAATAAATCGGGCTATATAAAATTTCAACTCAGCTGGGTGCGGTGGCTCACACCTGTAATCCCAGCACTTTGGGAAGACTAGGAGGGTGGATCGCTTGAACCCAGGAGTTGGAGACCAGCCTGGGCGACATAGTGAAACCCCATCTCTACTAAAAATACAAAAAATTAGCTGGGCATGGTAGTTCACGCCTGTGATCCCAGTTACTCAGGAGGCTGAGGCACAAGAATTGCTTGAACCTAGGAGGCAGAGGTTGCAGTTAGCCAAGGTCATGCCACTGCACTCCAGCCTGGGTGACAGAATGAGTCTGTCTCAATAAAATAAATAGAATAAAAAATTTCAGCTCTCCCCACCCCAGCATTGCATGCCCTCCTGCCATGTTTTATGTATTTTCTTAGCATTTCCTTCTTACATGACTTAATATGCAGTGGTGCCCTTTAATAGCACAACCCACAGTAACTTCAGCAAAGAGGAAATATGATTGGTGGCTGATTCCTGCCATCTGCAGCATGTTCACCCTGATATTTTATCAATCTCACAGGATCCCACACTTGACACTATTGAGATTTTTGGACCCTACTATAGAATTATGTGAGTCTTCTACATATTTTTGCAAATTTGTTTATGATTATCTGTCTCCTTCATTGGCATGCAACCTCTATAAAGACAAGGATTTTGTCATTTGGTTGGTGCCCCATGTCCAAAACAGTTCCTGCCCTCCTAGGTGCTCAGTGAGTGTTTCCTGGATGGATGGATGAATGCGCTCACCCATCCCACCCCAAAGCTGGGGCCCTCACACCTGCTATTTTTAGTCTTTGCCCACGGGCCCGTCTGAGGGCCAATAGGGCTAGTAAATTTAGCTGACTCACTGGCTGGCTGACTTTAGTGTATAAAGAGGTTCAAGCCCCAAGAGCAACCCCTCTGAGAAATTGGGCAAAACCCAGCCCAGCTTTCCTTCAGGGCAGCTGCTCCTCTGAGAAGGAAACCCAGTGCCACTAGGGTGAGGCTGTGTCCTGGGACAAGCTTCCTGATCGAGGGAGAGCCATCAGACCTGCCTGGGAGGGGATGTGGCTTTGGCTTTTCAGGAAGCCCTTCTGGCTCAGGCCTCGGTCTTGACAGAGCAGGGCTGGGCAGCCCTAGGAAGCACGTGTGCTGCTGTTTCTGGGAAGGGTGGGGAGGGAGGGGGAATGAGCAGGGTTGGGGTGGGAGCCAGATGGGACTTATGATTCAATGGTCCAGGCTCAATAGGTGATCAGGATGGAGCAAGGAATGGACAGAGAACCAGACGAGGGCCTGGCACTGCACTTCTGTGTGAATGAGGAAAAGGTGCTGCTCTGAGCAGATGTAATAGGAAAGGGTGTTTCCTCACAACGGCTGGACTTGCCCTGGTAAGGCATGGAGAAAGTCAGCCAAGCCCCAGGACAAGTCAAGGATTTGGTGTAAGGTGACTTGACCAGAGAAAGCTGAGATTGGAGGATGAGAATCTGGTCCCTCAGGGAATGGGTTACCAGGCAAGGAGCCCAGGCATGGGAGAGCAAAGCTGGGCTAGTTGCTGGGTAACAAGGCAACAGAAACTTGCTTAGTGGGAGCTGATACACCGAGGCCCAAGTATGTCAGCGTCAGGAATAACTTCAGGGTAATGAAAGCATTCCCAATCTCTGTCTGCACACGGATGGCCCTGGAGCACAAGGCACTGCTGGAGCCATGTCATGAGGCAGCCTCAGCAGAGCAGGCCGTAGTTCCTCAAAGAAAGACCCATTTGTGTGGTTTGTGGTAGCTCTGTGGCTCTCCAGGTATGGTCCCTGGACTAGCAGAATCCTCATCATCTGGGAACTTGTTAGATATGCAAATTCCCAGCCCTGCCCCACACTCACTAAGCTGGAAACTCTGGGGTGGAGCCCAGAAATCTGCATTTTAACAAGTGCCAGGTGATTCTGATACACTCTACACTTCGAGGACACTCTGTAGCTGAAAAGCCCAAACTCTTGTTTTAGAGGCTGCGCTGGGGTTGGGAGAAGGCACAGAGGTAGATGTTTATGGGAAATGTCTGCCTGCAAAACCAAGGCAAAGATTCTGGACTGAAGCTTGGAGAATGGACTTGGGCTATAGTGTTCATTCTGGTCTTAAACAGCATGAGGGGAGGCTTTTCCTTAGCCCTGATTCTAATCTCAAGGCATCATTTCTTATAGGCAAAAGGAGACACTGAGTATTAGAGAACACCAAGAAATTATTGTTTATTCTCTTGGGCATGAAAATAGTGCGGTAGTCATGTAAGAAAATGTTCATATTTTTGGGGGAGATGCATGTTGAAATATATGGGTAGAGATAGCATATCTTGCATTTGCTTTCAAAAAAACATTTCAGCAAAGATAGAAAAGGAAAAAGGGATAGATTGAGCAAATGTGGTAAAATCCTGATAATTGTTGAATCTGGGGGAGGTATATTTGGGGGCTCAATGTATTGTCCTCTCTGCTTTTTTGTATGTATGATATTTTTCGTTTTATGAAAGGATGAAACAAGCTGAGAAGCAAACAAATGTTAAGTGCTCAGCTAAAACCAACCTTATTTTGTGCAGTGTGCTGCTGCGTGAGGTTGACCTAACGGGGGCTGTCTCATGGGGTGCAGTAGAGCAGCTTACCACTCACCCTCAGCTGCCCGCCCAGCCTCCTAACCCAGATAGCCACCACCCTGCTCTCTGTCAGGACCCCCACCTGTAGCTTTCACAGTAGCCAGGGTGGCTTGAGCCTGCACACACCTGTGGGAACCAGAAATGGCCCAGCTGGATCTCAATTTTAGGGGAAAGGGAAGTTCTGCACCATTAAATAACATAGGCCTCAGGGAGGGGATCAAATGTCAGATGGAAAGGAAGAACCGTCTCCTCGGTCCCAGCCAGCTCCACCACCAGCTCCCCGCCCAGCTGCCAGCAGCGGCTGCCTCCTTCCCAGGGAAGACTGGTCCCTCAGTCTCAGCTTTCTCTGGGCTTTTCTGGAGGCTTTTTTTCTAACTTTTATGAGGGCTGCTTGGTTTTTCACTTTAAGCCCATTCCATACTTGTAAAATGTAGGTCTTTGATGCTGTTTAGCCATACAAAGCAGTCTTAGTTGTTTTTCTCATTGTCTAATTTCCGCTTAGGGATTTCTTGGTGAACAATTCAGAGGCCTGCAAAGGCTCTTTAGATGCCCACTGGGAGAATCCATTTTTTTTTTTTACTGTTAGATTGAGAAATTCATTTTCTTTTGTTTGCTGCTATGCTACAAGGTTTATTATTGCTGTTGTTTTAATGGTCACTTTTTTTTTTTTTTTTTTTTTTAAGACACAGTTTTACCCTGTTGCCCAGGCTGGAGTGCAGTGGCATGATCTCGGCTCACTGCAACCTCTGCCTCCCGGTTTCAAGTGATTCTCATGCTTCAGCCTCCTGAGTAGCTCGGAGTACAGGCATGCGCCGCGATGCCCAGCTAGTTTTTTGTATTTTTAGTAGGGATGGGGTTTTGCCATGTTGGCCATGCTGGTCTTGAACTCCTGGGCTCAAGCAATCCACCCACCTTGGCCTCCCAGTGTGCTGGGATTACTGGCATGAGCCACCATGCCCAGCCAATGGTGTCATTTTTTTCTTTTTTGGGAAAGGGGTAAGGGGTGAGTTTTACCTCAGTTCTGAAAGTCTCACTAGGCACAGGAGTGACTTCACTGTCCACCATCTTTATGGATTGTCCCTAGAAACCTCCAAGCCTAAAGTTCCTCCTCAGCCTTCATCTCCTGAGCTGCCTCCGCATTTTCTCATGTTGTACAACCTCCATGCTGGTTTGAAGGGGAAAGCTCTTTATTTTCCCATTTAAAAAAATAAAAAACTAAGGCTCTCCTTTCATTACAAAGCTCAGGGAACTGATACAGTTATATTGACTGTATTTTTGCATTATCTGAGCATTTTAGAGTTCCTGTTGCTAATTTTCCATAATGTGTTTTCTTTTTCTGGGGGGAAGTGGCGGGAGACAGAGTCTCATTCTGGTACCCAGGCTGGAGTGCAGTGGTGTAATCACTGGTCACTGCAGTCTCCACTTCCTGGGCTCAAGCGATCCTCCTGCCTCAGTCTCCCAAGTAGCCAGGATCACAGGTGTGCACCACCACGTGCTGCTATTTTTTTTTTTTTTTTTTTTTTTTAGAGACGGGGTTTTGCCATGTTGCCCAGGCTGGTCTTCAACTCCTGGGCTGAAGCAATCCACTTGCCTTGGCCTCCCAAAATCCTGGGATTACAAGCGTGAGCCACCACACCCGACCCCATAATGTTTTGATAAAATAAGCCACAGGCTTTCCCTTTTGTGCCAGAAGAGGAAACAGGAGCATGAGATTGATCAATAGCTCTTAGTCAGGGATGACTGGGAGTCACAGCTCTTCATGTACTTAACACACTCTTCACTGAGTATTCACACCTCAGGCTCTGTGCTAGCCAGTCAAGGAGCAAGTGGGCACTGCTGTGACAGAGCTGCGACCCCTCCTCGTCTCTCTGGGAGGCAGGGCAGGTGCTGGAACTGCCCTGCCCGGTTTCTACTAGCTGAACAGACTTGGATATTTGTTTTTTATTTTTTCGAGATAGAGTCTCACTCTATCACCCAAGCTGGAGTATAATGGCGTGATCTCAGCTCACTGCAACCTCTGCCACCCAGATTCAACTGATTCTCCTGCCTCAGCCTCCCAAGTAGCTGAGATGACAGGCGCCTGCCACTGCACCTGGCAAATTTTTGTTTTTTTAGTAGAGACGGGTTTTCACCACCTTGGCCAGGCTGGTCTTGAACTCCTGACCTCGTGATCCACCCACCTCGGGGTCCTAAAGTGCTGGGATTACAGGCGTGAGCCACCGCATCCAGCTGGACATATTTTTTAATCTGTTTATCCATCTGTAAATTGGGGATAAAATAGTGGCTACCGGATAGGCTTTATGTGAGGATGAAATGACATCATGCAGGTAGAGTGACCGCATAATTATTAGACGCATGCTCTCTTCACCGCCGTATGTCATGTGATGTGTTCGTGATGTAAGCCCCTCCTAGTTCATAAGCTCCTTGAAAGACCCCCACTCCATCCAACCCTGTCATCCTTCTGAGAAACACTTCCGGCTCCCCACTGTCTTCTAATTTAAGTACAAATGTTTCTCATCGGCCTCTTTAATGTTTATTGAGTACTTACTGCATGCCAGGTGCTTTTCATGCACTTTTCACATGCTCATTTTATCCTCTTTTCTTTCTCTCTGTGTTAAAACCTTAAATTCCAACAGACACCGAACCTTCTGCAGAAAAGGGCCATAGGAAAAGTACCTAAGGAAAGTTGAGAATCACCTTGAAGGCCCCCGCTCAATTCTTCTCCTATCCATCTGAATGGCGGTTAATTCTGCAAAGAATTCAGCCTCACCGGCCCTTTGCCTCCAGGCCGCTTCAGATAGGAGATTATAATTGTTATGGAGCCAGCCCAGGCCCCAAGATTGAAACAGAGATAATTCTTCGCCATTAACACGAATCTGGAGTCCTGTGGGACAAATTGGAAAAAGAGGCGGGGAGGCAGCAGGGGAGAAGGGAGAACTGTTTAATCTCTTTATTTTCAGGAAAACAGTCATTTTAATGATTCGCCCTTTAATTTATAAAACAAACACAGCTGTGGCTTGACGTCCTTTATCTGATTTCAGAGGCGCTAACCTTCCAGTGCCGGCTCCGGAAGGGCACCCAGCGCGGAGACCGACACGGGTCACGTCCTGGGCTCAGATTGCTGCCTTGACTTAGGGAGCAGGGGCTGGGAACCCAACTGCTGCCGGCGCGGAGGCCTTGCCCACACCTGTGTGGCACGGAGCAGACAATGAGCCACTTTCCCCATGTGATCCCTTTGAAACAATCGGAGATTGTTTCATCAGCTCCTCAAGATGTAGGGCAATGCCTGACACTTAGTGGGACTCATGAAAGGTTCCTCCAGTCAAGCAAAAGGCATTTATGTTAAGTGCCATGTGGAATCCTGGAATGGATTCTGGAACAGTAAAAGGATGTTTGTGGAAAAACTGGTGGAATTTAAGCCTGTAGTTTAGCTAATAGTAAAGGCCAAAGTTAATGTTATTAGTTTTGACAAATGTGCTGTGGGTATGTAAGATGTTAACATTAGCGGAACCTGGGAGTACAGGTGAAGAGTATGGAGGATCTCTCTGTATTAGCTCTCCAATGTTTCTGTAATATTCCAAAACAAAAAGTTTGTCATTCAAACAAAATTCTGAGGTTAGAAAAAAAGGCAGTTATGGAGGTACATGAAGAAACAAAACATGACATGAAAGATGACATTGTCCCTATGAAGCTTTGATTAAAAACATGTATATCAAAGAGTTATGAGAATTCAATAACAGCATAAGTGACCAGTGCTTCTCAAACTTTTAGGGGTACACAGGTACCCCAAATGGTTGAGGTGAGGGGCTAGAAATTTAGCACAAGGGTTCTAAAAACCTCTTTGAATATTTTAGCTTCAAAATCATAAATATTTTCGTTCTTTTTGTATTACGTAAAATAATGATTCTGCCCCCACAATTTCAGGTAAAATTACTTGAATACTTTGGGGAGATTTTCCATGTTTACTTTGGGGCTTTAGGTATCCCTGGTTATACATTCGTGACCATGGAGGTATGTGTCCTTATGACAATATGAAATTTAAGCCCTGTGTTTTTGGAAAATGGCAACAATTAAGAAATCCTCATTCCCCATGTTTTTATGTTCTGAAAGTGGGAAACTGCAAAGGGCTATCCTACCATTGAATACTCTGAGATAATACTTCCACATGGCTCCCAAAAGACTTGGGGTGACTCCCTTGCCTACCTGCCTCTAGAAAACCTCAGGCTCCCTTTCTTTTCTTTGATACTATGTGGAGAGACAAAAATTTTACCCCTACGCTCTTAGAATTTTGTTTTGTTTTGGATAGGCCTGAGAATGAAATTGGCAAGACAGATCAACAGGAGAAAAGCATTCATTGGCCAGGTGCAGTGGTTCACACCTGTCATCCCAGCACTTTAGGAGGCCAAGGCGGGCATATCACCTGAGGTCAGAAGTTCAAGACCAGTCTGGCCAACGTGGTGAAACCCCGTCTCTACTAAAAATACAAAAATTAGCCAGGTGTGGTGGTGTGCACCTGTAATCCCAGCTATCCAGGAGGCTGAGGCAGGAGAATTGTTGGAACGTGGGAGGCAGAGGCTGCAGTAAGTCAAGATCACAGCACTGCACTCCAGCCTGGGCGACAGACCAAGACTCTATCTCAGAAAAGAAAAGAAAGCATTCATTATTTAACACAAGTTTTATGTGACATGGAACCCTCATAAGGAAATGAAGACTCAAAGAAATAGTTGGAGTCAATTACTTATATACTGAATGGGACGAAGAATAGTAAGTTGTGAAAAAGCAACTAAATTATGTGGGGGAGGCATAAAGATAAGAGTTATTTTAATAAGTTCTGTGTAGAATTCTCTCAGTCTCAACCATCCATTCTTGATAAGAACATTGCTTTCCTTCTAGTATAGGGAGGGCATCTTTCACATGGAAATAGCCTCTTCTGCTTTTAAGAAACAGATGGAAGGTCAGAGTGATCTTTTTGCACCTGCTTTTTTTTTCAAATACCTTTAACCCAAAATACTCAACATGCCAGAGTGGGATGGGCATGGTGACTCACACCTGTAATCTTGCTCTTTGGGAGGCTGAGGTGGGAGGATGACTTGACCCTAGGAGTTTGAGACCAGCTTGGGCAACATTGTGAGATCATATCTCTACAAAAATTAAAAAAAAAAAAAAAAAGCCAGGCATACTATGATGTGTGCATGTAGTCCCAGCTACTCAGGAGGCTGAGGCAGGAAGATCACTTGAAGTGGTTCAAGGCTTGCAGTTTGAGGCTGCAGTGAGCTATGATGGTGCCACTACATTCCAGCCTGGGCAACAGAGTGAGATCCTGTCTCAAAGCCAAAAAAAAAAAAAAAACACCCCAAAAAACTAGAGTGCAGTGGCACAGTCTTGGCTCACTGCAACCTTCGCCTCCCAAGTTCAAGCAGTTCTCATGCCTCAGCCTCTGGAGTAGCTGGGATTACAGGTGTGCACCACCACACCCAGCTAATTTTGTATTTTCAGTAGAGACAGGGTTTCACCATGTTGGCCAGGCTGACTTCAGGTGATCTGCCTGCCTCAGCCTCCTAAAGTGCTGGGATTACAGGCGTGAGCCACCGCGCCTGGCCGACCTTTCTCTTTCACAGTGGGGACTCTGCATTGACTATTGGCTCAGTCCTCAAAAGTGGGACCAAGAACAAAAGACAGACAGATCTGTGAGGAACTTTGAAGCCATTTCCCCTGTGATAGAGGCAACACCCCAAAGCAGCGAAGATAGTCTGATGGCTGGTTCTGGAGCCAAGTCTACACTGGCTCCATATGAGAGAGCTGCCACTTGTAGTTACAAGCTATGATCCCAAAACTTTCTGCGTGCTTCTAAGAGACACCAGAGAATTTACAGAAGAAATCTGTAGGTGGGGTCATTTTTCCCTTTCTCCACTACGAACAACAAGAATAATAATAGCCTTCACTTGCACAGACCATCCAGGTGCCAGCTACTGTTCCAAGAACTTGCACACATGCACATACCCATGTATATATATCTATCTATAAGGTAGGTATATATTATCCCCCTTTTACAGAGGAGGAAACTGAGGCTCAGAGAGGGTAAGTAACTTGTCCATGATTACACAGCTAGTGACAGAGGTGGCCCTTATACCTCAGAAGCTTGGCTTCAAAGTTTGCATTTCCTACCACTCTGCTATGCTAATGCAGTAGCCGCATACACCTTTCAGGCAGCCCCTATCCCATGTGAGCCACAGGATGCAGACCACCCGAGTCTGCATATTGTAAGTAAGGTATAATGTCGGTCTCAGCCCCTGAGAAGTTCAGGGAAGACTTGCTCACCAGAACTGTCAGTGCATTTTCTTGTCCATGCCAGAGATGATAGAGTGTGCACATTAAGAATCTTATAAGTCTCTTTCAAAGAATTTCAAAAACATTGGTCTTCAAACTTCCAGGAAGAAGGTGAGAATTCAGATGGCTCATTCATTCAAAATGCATTTATAAGGCTGGGCGTGGTGGCTCACACCTGTAATCCCAACGCTTTGGGAGGCTGAGGCAGGCGGATCACTTGAGGCCAGGAATTCGAGATAAGCCTGGCCAACATGGTGAAAACCCATCTCTACTAAAACACAAAAAATTAGCTGGGTGTGGTGGCAGGTGCCTGTAATCCCAGCTACTCGGGGAGGCTGAGGCACAAGAATCGCTTCAACCCGGGAGGCGGAGGTTGCAGTGCGCCAAGATCATGCCACTGCACTCCAACCTGGGGGACAGAGTGAGACTCCATCTCAAAAAAAAAAAAAATGCATTTATTAGGGGCCTGCTGTATGCCAGGTACTTTGCTGGGTTCTAGAGAAGTGATAATTCAGACTTGGTGGTCCCTGAACTCAGGACACCTCTAGTCCTGGAACATGTGAAGATGAAGTGGAAAGGGAAGGATGTTTCTCCAGCCATGGGAAGACCTGGGTGGGGGCCCATTCTGCCATTAACCTGCTCTGTGACCTCTGGACTTCAGCTTCCACAGCTGTAAAGTGAGTGGGACTGGACAATCTCTGAAGACCGTTTCTAGCTTTAAAATTTGATTCCATGCCAGGTACAGTGGCTCACGCCTGTAACCCCAGCACTTTGGGGGGCTGAAGCAGGCAGATCGCTTGAGCTCAGGAGTTCAAGACTAGCCTGGGCAACATGGCAAAACCCTATGTCTACAAAAATACAAAAATTAGCGGGTCATGGTGGCATGCACCTGTAGTCCAGCTACTCGGGAGGCTGATGTGGGAGGATTGCTTGAACCTGGGAGGTCGAGGTTGCAAAGAGCCGAGATTGCGCTGCTGCACTTCAGCCTGGGTGACAGAGCAAGACTCTGTCTCAATAAAAAGAGAGAAAGGTCATCTTTGAGGAAACTGCTGCCCTCCGACCTACTTTCCTTTCTCTGGCATGGCTTGGGGGAGCACCTACCTCCTCAAGGTCAGGTTTTTCTTTCCTTCTCTCTACAAAAGTCAGCTTGGGAAGGGTGTGCCTCTTTGGACCAGCATTCCCTTTGGCTTCTGTCAGCATGAGACTTGAAGCCTGCAGAAGAAATTAAACACAAAGACTTGGGACACAGTCCAAAGAGAGACATTTCTATTTTAACTAAGAGTTCCTCCTCAAACCAAATTATCTTCTGTGGCAAGGCCATTTATAGCTGGGACTAGGAAAGGTAGGTAACAGTAACAAGAGAAAACATATTGGTCTAGCTTTTACATGTGGTACGTATTGGTCTAGCTCTTTATTGGGTAGATAAGTAGCTGAATGAGACAAGTGTCTCTTGAGGAACTTTCTATTTATGAGGCAGCTACCCCATGAAATTCCAAAAATAATTTTAGGAGGTTTAATATTAAAGACACTTACGTAATAAATCCATATGTAGACAGCTATACCCAGAGACACATCAAGATATAATAAATGGAGATATAAATAGAAAAATATATACATATAGTAAATGGAGATATAAATAGAAGAAAAATCTATGGTAATATATTTGTTGTGATAGAGTACTAAATTTAGCTTTGAGCTTTCTGGCAGCCAAGGCAAGATAGGAAATACGACGAGATATGTGTATCATTTTCATCTGGTAAAAAGAAGAATACCAGTGTGAGATGCTGGGATTGCCAAAATTCAGAAAGATGTTCAGGAGAACAGACTTCCATGTCATCAAATAATCCTACTAAATGTATTCAGGTCAAAAACACCCCTGTTTGTGTCTCCTTTCAGATAGTTTTATATTTAGTTTCTTGGGGTCCTCATTTCTGAAGGCTTTCATGTTACATAAAATATATTAAATAAATTTGTATGTTTTTCTCTTGTTATTAATGTCTTCTGTTATAAGGGCTTCAGCCACGAACCTTGCGATGGGTAAGAAAAAGAGTACTTTTCCTCCCCTACACTATAAAGGATATTGGTCAATTGAGAAAAAGATTGTATCAATGTTAACTTTAATAAAATTGATAATATACTATGGATATGTAAGAGAGTACTCTTATTCTTATTCTTAGTAAATACATACCGATGGTTTTAGGGGTTAAAGGGCCATGAAATATGTACAGTTGACCCTTGATGGCACAGATTTGAACTGCATTGGACCACTCGTGCATGGATTTTAGTTATACCAAGTGTGCCCAACTCTCCCACCTCCCCTTCCACCTCCTCCATCTCTGCCACCCCTGAGACAGCAAGACTGATTCCTCCTCTTCCTCCTCCTCCTCGGCCTACTCAGTGTGAACATGACAAGGATGAAGATTTTCTGATGATCCACTTCCACTTAATAAATAGTAAATATATTTTCTTTTTGTTATGATTTTCTCAATAACATTTTCTTTTCTCTAGCTTACTCCAGCTTATGTGTTAATTGATCATTTATGTTATTGGTAAAGCTTGTGGTCAACAGTAGGCTATGAGTAGTTAAGTTTCCGGGGAGTCAAAAGTTACATGAGAATTTTTGACTGCATAGGGGGTTGATGCTTCTAACTTCTGCATTATTCAAGGGTCAACTATACTTACTCTCAAATGGTTCAGAGAAACATTTGACATATATGTGCATGGGTAGGTAAAATTATATATTTGTATGTATTTATATGTGTGTGTATCGAGAGAGAAGAGAGAAAACGAGAAAGCAAATGATGAAACAAATGGGCAAAATATGAATCCAGGTAAAAAGTAGATGGGTTTTCTTTTTTTTTTCTTTTTTTTGAGATGGAGTCTCACTCTGTTGCCCAGGCTGGAGTGCAGTGGCACGATCTTGGCTCACTGCAATCTCTGCTTCCCGGGTTCAAGCGATTCTTCTGCCTCAGCCTCCCGAGTAGCTGGGATTACAAGCATGCACCACAACACCCGGCTAATTTTTTATATTTTTGGTAGAGATGGGGTTTCACCATGTTGGCCAGGCTGGTCTCGAACTCCTGACCTCAAGTGATCCACCCACCTCAGCCTCCCAAAGTGCTGGGATTACAGGCGTGAGCCACCATGCCTGGTGGATGGGTTTTCTATGTATGATTTATAATCTTGCAACTTTTCTGCATGCTTGAAATTATTTTTGAATAAAAAGTTTTAAAAATGTATGCTCTTAGATGAATAACTCTTTGGAACATGTTGTTACATAAACTTAAGACTTCTCTTCTTTTGTTCTTCAACAAACACTTCCTGAAAGAGAGATCAGCACTCTACCTCATTTCCCTGCCTTCAGCTCATGACTCGACCCAAGCAAAACTGTATTCCGTTTGCAGCTTTCTGCTGCAGCCACACTTACTAAGGCCAACCCCACCTCAGTGTTCTCCACTTGGCAGCCTCCCAGTGGGCCACATCCTTCATGACGTTCTATAGCATCTGATATTGTTGACCATGCCCTTCTACTTGGGACTTCTTCCAGATCTTGGCCCCACTGCACTGTGATGATGTCATCTCAATCATTTCTGGACTCATCCTTCTAAATGGAGGCTGTCCCAAGGTTTGGTCTTGGATTCTCTTCTTTTTTCTCTTTCTCCCTCTCCTTTTCAGCACCTGAACCCGAGGTGTGAAGATAACGATGAGGTTGACTTCCAGAATTGTATCTTTAATCTGATCCTTCTCCAAGACTCCAGAACTCCGTGTACAGTTGCTTTCATCTCAGCCTCCACGTATCCTGACTCACACTCTTCCACTTACCCTCAATCCTGTTCTGAGGTCACTTAGTAGATTATTCAGACTCATGACTCTGGCACCTTCTCTTCCTCAGCTTGCCCTATATCCAATCCTGTTGGTTATTCTCCTCTGTAATACATTTCCAATCTTTTTCCTCTTCACCATGGCTATTTCTCTGACCTAGTCAGGCCATCACCATCCTTGCTTTCATTGATGGAACAGCCTTTAACTGTTCTACCCATCTTTAATCTCTACCCCTTTGTCCTGTCAAGAACCTATATTTCTAAAACACTAATCTGATCACATTGCCCCTCTTCTGACATTTCTTCATGGCTCCCCAGTACAAATAGAATAAAATTTAAATATCCTAGGCATTCAAGGTCCTCCATTATTTAAAGATACCCTATCATTCTAACTTTGTCTTCAAAACACCAAGTACCCCACTCATGCTGGGCCAGTCACCATGCCCTGAATCCTCCTGCACTCCCTTCACTCGGAATCTCTGCCTCTCTCTCCGTTTATAACACCCCATCCTTCCTGTCACTTCAGACAGAACCCTCATGCTGCCTGCACCAGGAAGTCCTCCTAGGGCTCTCACAAGCTGAGTTGGCCTCTTGCTCCTGTGGGTTCCCTGGTGCCTTGCTGTACCTCTGGTGCTTTATATTCTTCATGCATCTGCACCACCTGATCCCATCCCTAAAGAACTGTCTGCTCCAAAGACAGGCGCTCCTTACCTGTGGCATCTTCGTCATTGTGGAGGCACTCAGCCAATGTCTGTGCTGACTCTGCAAACTCACAGTCTCACCTGTAAGAGGTAAAAATGCTTTTGCCAGCCTGTGACATTTTCCCTCTTGTTGACTAGAACCCAACTTTTAGCAACCTGTTTGGTTTTCCACTAGTCTGGGATTCAGGAGAAGACATGGTAGGCACTGGTTGGCAGAGCTGCAGGCCACACTGTCTGCTCCCTGGGACACGGACAGGAGTAGGCAGGGAGAGGATGCCTGTTGGAGAATCTGAATAGGGCTGGGAAGAAATAGGAAAGAAACAGCCCTTTGGTTTTGGGACATATCCTCACTAGAAGGCTGTGTCTTCTGGTATAAGGGAAGAAAAGCTTGCTTTCCTCAAACATTGCTAAGTTCATGGCAGAGGCCCCTATAATAAAAGAAAGATACCAAAAGAAAAGTATAGAAACTTATTTAAGTTTTACATGACACAAGAGTCTTCATGAGGAAATGAAGACCCAAAGAAACAGGCAAATGTGTATTTTTACGCTCAGCGTGATGAAGAGATGGGTAGTCATGGAGAAGTATGATTAGACAAGGGGGCATGATCTAATGGCAATAAACTAGGGAGGGTGAACTTAGCAAGGCCTGTTCATATTTTTCTCTGTGTCCCTGTGTTTTCAGACATAAGGATGTTCCTCTCCTCCAGGTACAGGGGGGCCCCCTCTCTGAGTGTCTTTTGACCCACTTCAGGGGAGAAGGGTGGAAGAAAGGTAAGAGGGACCTTCCTAGGTTTTATGACCTGCTGCTGCTGTTTCTGCGAATGCCAAGATGCCACGTACTGGGGGAGTGTGTCCAAAGCCCATTGCTGGGAAGCAGATGCTGAGACAGAGTCAAGAGTGCAGCAAGAGGTTTGTTGAGGGATAATGCCTGTGAAAGATGAAAGGGCAAGGAAGCCGAATTGGGTAGGGAGAGTCTGAGAATGCAATGCACATCTGACGATGTCTCTCTCAGCCAACTCACTGGGAATGCCATGCTGGTAGAGACTCCAAGCCCCACCCTCCACCATGCTCAGTCATTAGCTAGGGCTGACCAAGAAGAGGTAACCTCAGAGCCGGGGTGAGTCCCAAAGGCTCTACCAACTGGAGGCTGTCAGCCCACCGCACTCCTTGCAGTGGAGTGGCAAGTCATCTCTTGAGGGGAGATCCAAGCAGCACACCCCTGAAGCTGTCACAAAGGCAGTAGGGAAGCAGCTGGATCGGCGGGTCCAGCTGTGGAGATGTGGAGACATTAGTATCTCCCTCTCCGTCTGAGCCCCCCAACCCCCTATTCTCTAGGCCCACAAGTTTCTGAACCTGGTGCTCTAGGCATGTTAGTGACAAAGTATGGAGGGGACCAAGGGTCTCCCTAATCACCAGGCTAGGGTATGAGTAGAGAGGAACGAGGTTTCCAAATGGTGTGAGCTCTCTATGAAGCACAGCACAGGCTCCTGCCTCTATCAGTGTCTCCTCCTCCCTATTAGAGATGTGATCCTGAGTCTAAGTCTCCAGCCTGTTTGGAAATGTTTCATTCAACTGAAAAGGGCTGGTCGCTTTGTCATCTAAGCCTAGGCCTTCCACTTGCCTGCTGCCCCAGGGATACAGCAGAGACAGGCCACCCTTCCTCAACTTTCTTGTGCTGGAAATCACTGAATCCCTGATGCTACTGTCCCCTTAAGAAAGAAAGAAATGAGAGTCTTGCGTCCCTACAAATAGGACCCTCCCGTCACCACTCACCCTCCCCTCACCCTTCCCTTTCTTTCCCCCAAACCCAGACTGGTGAGAAACTGCCGAGAAACAACATCCACAATTAAGTACGAGGTCACATTTAGTTCAGCACCATTGGCTGCTTAATTGGCTGATTCTATTGCTGCTCTCCTCATCTGCCAACACAGCCTCTAACAAGCCGCTTGCAGAGCAATTAATCCTCAGGTTCCTGAGCCCCGGCCGATGGAAGGGTTTGCTCCCCTTCTGGGCATCATGGTTTCTGTGAACCTGCTGGTGTTGGGGAGTCGCTTCTCACCTAGAGGTCCTGGGTGAAACTTTCAGGGCTTAGAGAACCACATCATCCTAAGGAGGAGGAGGTTCCAAGATCCAGGAAGGAAGCTTGGCCTTTCTCCAGGGCCTTGAAAAGGCAGGCCTGACTGCCCTTCTAGGGTCTTCCGGGGAAAGGGAGTGGAGAGGCAGTAAAACTTAACGGTTGGATGATGCACAGAGTCGGGCAGGTCCTGGTCGAAATCTGGCTGTGTCCTTATTAGTGATATGACCTTGGGAAAACTACAGGTACTAATCTTTTCTAGGCTTCAGTTTTTTCCCATGTAAAACTGGGATCATAAGAATAACAGCAACAACTAGTATTCTATTATCACCTGCAAATAAGGATTATAGAATGTTTCTGAGTCCAGCATGCATTTTGCTGCTGTGAGAACAGTCATCACAAACATTGCCAAGGGGATGGGCTGCTTATGCCCCTTCTAAACATAGCTGGGAGAGGTTGTCAATGCTTACCGTAACTCTCTGTGCGAACATGCAGGGCCACCTAGGCCAAGCTGTGTTGCCAGTAAAAGGAAATGCCAGCCCCCTACTTTCTACCAAGACTTACAGGCTGAATGTGGGGCCGGTGGCTTGGTTTTGAAAACACTTCCATTCGTTCATTACCAAACCTAAAGCTTCTGGGCTGCTGTCATATGATGGCGTGCAGGAGCTGGAGCTCTCTAATAACTGCCCGACTGCTCTCATCTCGTGGCCGAGATGGCGGTCTCTGTTCCACCAGCTGTGGTCAGGAGAAAGGCAAATCCCAGAGAAAAATCACTTTTTTTTTTTTTTGTTATAGATGTTGGGGAAAAAATTGACCTTTAAAAAGTAGAAAAGATATCTTTTTCCTTTTGTTCAAATTCTGCCAAGGAGACTGAAAACCTAGGAAATCATTACCAATTCCTGTCTAGCCTACACCAGAGTTAGGGTGAATCCAGTTCAGTGTGGGTGGAAATAGTGATCAATGCTCGGGGAAGGTGATGTAAGTACTTCGACATGCTGGAAGGGATGCCTGGTCCCCCCAGCCTGCCTCCACACCCTTCACTTTGTTTACCTGATTTAGCAAGGGCTTTTGTGCTTCTCTGACTCATTTGCTAGGAAACTGAGAGGTGGGATCTGAGTTCTCAACTTGGGGAGTGGGGTTGGGCCATTATCCTTTCAACAGGTCTCAAAAACAATTGGCTTGATTTAAAAATAAAAAGTTACTTGAGATACCTAGGAAATGAGAGAATAAGAATGGAACCATTGAAATGTCTGGGTGTCTAAGGAATGTGCCTTTTCTGGATTTAGCTGTTTTCAATATCTCTAAGGAGGCTGGGACTTGGGGTGGGGGTGGACAGGACATGGGAAGGAGTCAGTAAAGTAATCATGTATGCTGGAAATTCAAGATAATCTCAAGCAATCATTCCTTTCAAAGTCTTCCTCAAAAATTTTACCAGGGTTAGTAAGGAGCTGAACTGCTGATTTGGAGTTGTACTTCCTTTTTTTTTTTTTTTTAAACCCCATCCTTTTAGACAGTCTTCTTAATGAGCAGGGGGTGGCTAAAAGGCAGGCAGGTTCTTAATGAGCAGGGGGTGGCTAAAAGGCAGGCAGGATGTGAGAACAGAAAGAAGGATAATCCACATAGATAATTGGGCTGTGATTAATCAAGGGCAATATTGCAGCCCTGGTTCTTTTAGGGGAAGCGCAGACAGAAAACACAGGGAAGAGCTTGGCATTTCAAACTCCTGAAGCCCTAATGAAGAAGAAATGTGTTCATGGGAGTGTTAAGGAGAGTGTCATATCATAAGTACCCAATTAAGGAAGCCCTTGCAAGATTATTCACTCCCAGGAAGTATTAAGAAGGGCAGGGAATTTGTTCGTTTAAAATCAAAACAACAACAACAACAAAACCTATAAGTTTTATAGACATTTATTGATTGGCTCCCCAATATCTATCCATTCTCCCCTTCCCCTTCTTAACAATACCCCCAACTTCCTCCGGGAAGTCATCCTCCCTCCCATTTTCAGCTGTGTGCCACAGGTGCTCCACCCCCAGTGTTAGGGAGGGAGCGCGTGATCTACTCTAAACCAATCAGTGCATCACTCTCCTCCTGGCCTTCTTGATTGGCTCCCAGTTGGGACCATCACCTTCATCTGCCCATCAGGGCCAACAAGACTCTGTTTGGGGTACTGCTGGCAGCCATCTTGCCCAAAGAAAGAGAGCCTCATGTGGGCAAAGGCTGATGAGGAAAGGAAGCTGGGAAATGCAGAGGAAAAAAAAACCCCAGCCTGTTCACATTGTTTGCGCCACTAGAACAGCTCTTCCTAGAAGTCAGCCCTACTCTAGACCTTTAGATTAAACGAAGCCGATAAAATACCTTGCTTATGTGAGCAGTTTGGATTGAATTTTTCATTATTTGCAACTGAAAGCATTCGATTGGAAGAAACCAACAGTAGAAGACCAAATGGGACGCAAAGTCAGCATCGTTGCTGGGAGAGGACATAAAGAGAGGAACACCCAGTTGAAACTCCACAATGCCTTCCTGTTATGCCCCAGATATGGAGCAGCTGATGTAGTCACAAGCCTTAGGCCTTGTTCTTGCCCCTACAGAGCCTGAAGTTACGGAAGCAAAGTCCAAGCTAAACCCTGGATCAAGATTAGCAGCAGTACTGTACAGGCCACAGCCTGTACCTGTAAACTGGCCAATCATTAACCCCTGCTTACTCTTGATGTGCAGGGAGTAGCGTGAGAGAGCATTGGGGCCTGATGCAATTTATGCACACCTTCAGGAAAACTAGTGGCATCACCTCCTCATGAAGGATGCCAGTCCCTCTTCCCTCTGTTCTGACAAGTTACCAACAAGGCCAAATGTTAGCTTCTCCTTGATAAAATAAAAGAATTCTCATTGTGGACTGTGCATGACCCTCTGTGCCAACGTCCTTGTCCGAGGTGGGTGGTGGACTTTTAGAGGGAAATGCCGGCATAATTTGTTTTGTAAAGTCTGTTCCTGGTTTGTAAGTGATCTGAGACAGGATGAGCCCTGATTCCCATAGCATAGGACCTAACATATGGGAAGTACTGGCTAAATATTTAGTGAATGAATGAATAGGACAATGAATAAATGAACTCCTTGGAACTGGAGCTATAAGAACTGCCTCACCCAATCTCTCACTTTGGGGGATCCATAAGGAAGGGATATATAGAGCAGGGATGAAGGGAAGCCCCAAGTAAACTTTCCTAGAGGAACAGCTGCTGACCAACTGTGCGACCTTGGGCAGGTGATCAGGAGTCTCTGAGCTCACCATCTTCATCAGAAAACAGAGTACTAGCATCTGCCTTATAAGGTTGCTGCAAGGGTTAAATTAGAATTATGAACATGATATATCAGCACATAGCAGATGCTCAGTAAATGTCTATTGCTTTCCCTCCTCATCCCAGCCCTTGCCACTCCTAGCATTGGCCAGAGATGCACAATCTGTGGGAATAACTGCCTAGAGGTGCACTGGTGCTCCCTTTTGTCTCTCAGGAGTCTCTCTGCCATAAACGGCAGCCCTGCAACTAGGGCATCTCCTGCACTTGGGAACCATCTGAGTTTTCTGTGGCTGCTATAACAAATGACCACAAATTTAGTGACTTGCAGGAATACAAATTTATACTGTCACACTTCTGGAGACAGGAAATCTGAAATTAGTTTCAGTGTGCTAAAGTCAAGGCGTCAGCAGGGCTAGTTCCTTCTGGAGGTGCTAGGGGAGAAGCCGTTTCCTTGCCTTTTTCAGTTTCCAGTGGTTGCCTTTATTCCTTGGCTTGTGGCCTCTTCCTCCATTTTTAAAGCGCATGACTCCAAGCTCTGCTTCAGGCCTCCTATCGCCATCACTTCTGTAGCCACATCTCCCTCTGTTTTCCTCTTATAAGGACACTTGTGATTACATACAAGGCTCACTCAGACAAGTTCAGGATAATCTCCCCATTTCGAGATCCTTAACTTAATCATCTCTATTAAGTCCCTTTTGCGAGATGAGATAATGTTACAGTAGGTAGGCAGGCAGGGATGAGCAGGAAAAGATAGGGCCCCCACCCCAACCAGGAATGTCAGGTAACCATTAGGTGATGGTCAGGCAGTTGTTAAACTGTCTCTCTAAAATAATAATTAGTCACAGCCAGCACTAAGAAAAGGCAATTTTCCATTAGAAAGAAAACACCTGAAGTGGGTGATCAGCAGGAAGATCTCAGGAGTTGGGTGAGTGGACTTGAGCATGTGCACTAAGAGGCAAAATGGCGGAGTTTAACTGGTATGTGACCTTCCTCTACACCTGACTGGTAAGGGAAGAATGCCTCAAGTGAGCATGCATACAACTTCAGTGAACACACTGTGCATGCAGCCCTTCCCAAGTGCTGGCCAGCCACTGTACATGCGGACAGCCCACCCCAAGGGAAGAATCAGGGGAGAAGGAGTGCAGACCCCGGAAGCATGCTGATATGGTTTGGCCGTGTCCCCACCCAAATCGCATCTTGAATTGTAGCTCCCATAATTCCCACGTGTTGTGGGAGGGACTTGTGGGAGATAATTGAATCGTGGGGGGCAGTTTCCCCCATAATGTTCTCATGGTAGTGAATAAGTCTCATAAGAGCTGATGGTTTTATAAGGGGTTTCCCCTTTCACTTGGCTCTCATTCTCTCTTGCCTGCCACCCTGTAAGACGTGTCTTTCACCTTCTGCCATGAATGTGAGGTCTCCCCAGCCACACAGAACTGTGAGTCCATTAAACCTCTTTTTCTTTATAAAGTATCCAGTCTCAGGTATGTCTTTATCAGCAGTGTGAAAACGGACTAATACATGTGCCAACGTATAAAGCCGCAAGTCACAGATCAAACAGTGCAGTTGAATCGCTCGAGTTGCCTACTTGGCCCTCTTCCAAGTGTACTTTACTTCATTTCATTCCTACTCTAAAACTTTTTAATAAACTTTCACTCCTGCTCAAAAACTTGCTTCTGTCTTTTACTTTCCCTTACGCCCCCTCGTTGAATTTTTTCCTCCGAGAAGGCAAGAATTGAGGTTGATGAGAGAACCTGAACAGAACAGAACAGAGACCTGTTCCGATTTGCTGCTGCCAACAGTAACACTCACACGTTCCAGGGATTAGGATCTGGGTATCTTTGGGGGCCTTTATTCAGCCTACCACAGGAATCAAGTCATAGGGAAGCTTGGTTGGGCCACGCCACACTCAGGGGCCTGCTTCTCTCTGCCTTGGACAATGGCTGTGCCACCAGGGGAGACAAAATGTACCTCTCCTCAAAGGGCTCCAGGGCTGCCCTGTGAGTTGCATTTTGTTTTTCCTGGTGAACTCTTTCTCCTAACCGTTGTCATTTGTCAAAGGCGGCAGGCAATCAAAGTCCTGGCCACATTCATCTTGCCCTCCCTCTCTTCCTCCAGGATGCAGGCCCATGACAGCTATTGCTGCCAGCCCTGGGCCCCCCACAGCCTGACATATGAAGGCTGTGAGGATGCCCAGTTGTTGGACCTGGCTCTGCTCCAGGCTGTCAGCCCTTCCATTAGTAGGAAGCAGGTCAGAGCTCTCTCTAAAGCTTCAAAAACATCGCCCCAGCCGTTGGACAGACCGGCAGTCACTTGAGCCTGTGGTAGGTATCCAAACCTCAGGAAAGTCTGTCTCACACAGGCCTGAGCTGGGCTTCACAGAGGAAGGGCATTATGTCAGTGAAAACAAAATGAAACCGCAGGGTCCTGCTTGGTGGGGCTTTGTTCTGCCAAATCCTTCAGGCTACCCGGCTCTGCCCGAGCCTCCTCCTCACTGTGCCAGGACATTCTTCAGTGACTTTGCAAGAGCAGGACAGCTGGCTTCCGGGGAGTGTGAGAAATGGCTTCAGAGGAGCATCCTCTCTGGAGGGTGGGGGAGAAAGAAAAGGGGAGAGAATTCTCATACCGGGAAGGTGGGAGGTAGTTCTTGTCAGGATCAGGATGAAATTGAGATGTTGCTCTGGCTGTTATTCATGAGTGACTATTTGGGCTAAAGTATTAATTTTTAATAACATGAAGGATGAACATGTTATAACTACCTCTAAGTAAAATCGAGATAGGAAAGAATAACCGCAGATGCTGGGAAATGGCTTTTTAAAACATGCATTTTCTATGGATAAATATAAGTCTGTATGCATTTATCCAATGCCCTCATGTGTGCAGAAATGTGAACATACTTTACTAATTCAGGTTAATTGGGTGAGATGCCTAAGTGAAATGTCTGAATTCATATTTTAATAAAGAAATGCAGTTTTATTATTTTCAAGAGCTTTGAGTAATGGGGCTAACAAGATGTTACCTAGGAGACATATTTATGGATTTATTCTTTAGGTAGAAAAGACTCCAATTTAGAATGCAGCAATTGGAGGGCAACGCTGGCAAATTGAAGGTGTGTTCTGAGTGCAGGTGGGGATGTGTTGGAGGGTTTTGATTCATAGAAAACATTAACTTGTATTAATCATTCTGGACATCAGTGCTGCGGTTTTAGGCACCAGACATAGCCATCCCCGCATGCCTCCCTACACACACACGCACACACACACACACAGGCATGCATGCACTCCATAGCATGTAATTCTGTACCAACCATGACACATCAAAGCAGAAAAAGACCTTTTCAGTCATCTGGTCAACCACTGAACCCATGAGGAGCTGGAGGGGCAGAGAGGTGAGGTGACTTGCCCAGCAGCCCACTAGAGAGTGAAAGAACTAGAATTGGGATGTGCATTCCCACTCCCAGATCAACTCTCTTTCCTCTTTTACTATTGCTTCTGAGGCATCCACAGCCACATTAGGGAAGGGGAGAAAGAAAGAGGGTGAGAGAAGAGAACAGAAGAGGCACAGATTTGGGGAAAGCAATGAATCATCTGACTACGACTTCTAATTGGATTTGGAGTGTTATTCCGTTTGTGCCTGCGCTTCCCTGCTGGGAAGCCAGCCCTGGGTCTCTGGAGCTGATACAGCAGTAACAGCAGCAGTTGCCATTTACTCAGTGTTTGTTCTGTGCCAGACACTCTTCTAAGCACTTGACATGGATTAACTCACTTAATCCTCAGAACAGGCCCTTGAAGTAGGTCCTGTTACTAAGCCCATTACATCTGTGAAGAAACTGAGGCAAGGAGAGATTAAGGGTCTCATCCAAGGTCATAAGTGACAGAGCCAGGACTCAAATCCAAGCCCTCTATCTTCAGAGCCCTCTCTCACCTGGCACTACTCTGCCCTAACCATTTTGCTCTACACTAGACCTCCCAATAAATGGCACAAAATATTAGCCCTTCAGCCACTGGCTGCCCAGGCAAGGACTGGAGTGGCTGGAGCCACTTGGTTAGTTGCAAACAACTTCATTTGTTTGCCCTGGGGTGTCTTATGTTGTATTATTATTTTCTCCGTGTGCCATGGCGTGAGGAATGTTGGAAAGTGCTGCCCTATTCTGTAATGTAGTCACGATGGATGATTCAGTTAGTTTCGTGCTTTCTGGCTAGCTCAGAATAAATTAGCCACAGGTTTAGCCCTGCCGGCTGATGATTTAGCCTCCCAGACTCCGCTCAGTCCTCTGGGAGGCATCTCATAAACACAAGGGAGAGAGGGCAGGAGTGTGTCTGAATCTGCATCAACACCTCACCTGCTAGAAAGGCTGTGGCACATGTGCCCTCTGGGAACAAGTCGGCAGCCTCATCTGCATCTATGGACAGGACTTTCCAATGCAAGGAGAAAGCATCAGGAGCCGGAGTCGCACAGCAGCCTTGATTCCTCTAACCCTGGGTGGCAGTTCCTTTTCAAAACAATGTTGACTTCTCACCCTGACATACAGGGGTGCCTGCATTTTGTATTGGCATTGCAATGTTGTGTTCTTTTGGAGAACTACGTGTTCTGGAGATGTCAGGGTTAGAGGAGTCAGCAATTATGAGCTTATGAGATAATGACACGTGTGTTTAGTGTGATGGCAAATTATACCATAGAAAAAAATTTTGAAGATTCAGAGTGAACTATTTTCCTATATAAACTTACTGCCTCAGGAAAACTGTGGTTAAAATGATAAATTACCAGGAAACTTCAAGTTTCCCCTAGAGAGTCAAAATAAAAATACAAGAAGAGGCATTGTTGAAATAATCCCAAATTGGAAACAGTGATTATTCAATTAAAAATAAGTGTGGTTACACTTTCTATTTATATAGTATCATCTGGCAGTTTTTAGCCTTGAGACTCAAAGAGAAATCTAGTAATCCTAGACTTCAATATCCTCTTCTCCATGAGTTTTGCTATCCTACTCAACATCTAACCTTTTTCCTATAAATCTCCAAAGAAGTAGCTTCATCTCCTCTCCTGTAAATCTACTTCAGCTTTTTTGGGCTTTGTGACCAGAAAGCTCCTTCTAATGTCTATTCTGAATCTTGTTGCTATGATTTAAACCCATAATCTGTTGCCTTGTCCTAGGGAAAAATGGCAGCCACAGTTAATCCTTCACATTCTTAGAGAATATAACAAGGTCAACCCCTGACCTCCTCTTCTCCCTACTTAGCTCCATTTTGGGAGAGGTTTGTCTCTGGGCCCTCTCCAAACCCACATCATAGTGGAGTTCCAGAGTCTGAACCTAAATGCAATGTGGTGGTGAACAGGGTGGTCTCTGTGGGTTCTACCAGTCTCCCTGATTCACTGTTCCATCTGTAGAGACAAGGCTTGGCCAGCCTCCTGGGAGGATAAACTTGTGGTTTCCTCATTTACTACCCAGGAAGTGCAGGGTGTGCAGGAAGGAGTAGAAGAGGCACCACTTGGAAAAGGTGAGATTGGTCTGGACACCACTGCATGCTGGCCTGGGATCTTGGGCACCTCAGTTAAGCCTTCATAACCCCCTCCTTGATGTAAGGGAAAATTGTACCTACTGCACACAACCTCATAGGATGTTCTTAAGATCGAAGGAGATGAAATGTCATTGAAAAGCTCACTCTTCCCTCAGCTCAGCCCAGAAGGTTAAACTGGTTCCCCTTTGGCCCAGAGCCCAGTGGCCGAGTCCAGCTGGTTGAGACAAGGGGGTTAAGTCTAGGAGGCAATGGTCCAGTGGCTGGGCTACACCCTACTGAGTTAAAGATTGCTGACCACTTTACAATTTTGTGATGTCTCCCCTTTATTTCCTGTGGCCATAGCCTCAATGTGTGTGACAAATTTTATACATAGAAGGAAAAAGACAGTCACCCACTGGGTTAATGTAATTTCCTACACAAGACTCGAAAATGCCCATTACAGTGAATCCTTTGGATCAAGGCCTAGCAAATAGAAGACTGACATCAAAATACAAATATTTTACCTGCGATGGGTGAACCTCTGACAGCTGTCTCTACATTCTCACCGATAAGTGAGTTAATTCCCTAGCAAATAGCCAGGCCCTTGGGGGATGGTACGTGTCATTTTTGGGGAATGCTGGATCAACAGGCAGTTTGGAGTGGAAGAAAGGATATCAAGCTTTGGCCCCAGATTTGCCATTTGTGAATTATGTGACTCCAAATACCTTGCTTAACCTCTTAGCTTTCTCTTCTGAAAAAAAAAATTTAAGGATACACAATACACCCCACAAGGTGGGTCTGTATTAAATAGCAGAGTGTGGGTGTTGAATGTGCTTTATAAAACAGGAAGGGAAATGCACAGTGTTGGTCATTGTCATCGCTATGGGTTTCCTAGGACCCAGTGCCAGTGGAGAGAGGTGTAAATCATAAGCTAGTTATTTTGCTAAGGACATGGGTGTGTCTGTGTGTGGTGTGTGTGTGTGGAGTAGGGGAGTCTATGAAGGGTGTCAGACACCAAGATCAACAAAACCATAATAACAGCTTGCATCCTGGAGCCCCTGCTGGGTGCCAGGCGCTGTGCTAACTGCCTGTCTCTGTTACCTTCAGCTCTCATGACAACCCCAATAGTATTAGTGATATTAGTAGTATATTCATTTCTTTGAGGAAAGGAGCTCAGAGAGGGCAAGTAATGGTCCAAGGTCACATAGCTAGTGAGGGCTGAAGCTAGGACTCAGGCTGGGTGACTCTAGGACTCATGTCCCTTGCATTTACTTCCCTATAGGTCTCCTTCCAGGTTCAGTACTCCAAAACCATCATCAGGGAAGCCCTGGTTTAAACAGCAGTCAAGTGGTTCCTGGCGCTGCTCCCACTCAGTCAACAGACAGCAATAAACTGGGGTTCCCTGGCTCTTCACTGGGAGGCTTGGGAGATCCCAAATGAGAAATGACAATCCTGTATTTGTTGTTAACCCAAAGTGCCTGTTCCTCATTTAAGGCATTAGTGGTTGTAACAGAAATAGTAATATTTCAACAACAGTGGTGATTAGTTACAGAAGGAGCCAAGTGGCACTCATCTCCATGTCAAAAGCCCTCCCTCCAGGCCCTTCCAGGCACCCTGGCCTGTGGTGCCATGTTAATTGAGACAAGATTGGGTGCATTCAGGGTGGCATGGCTGTAGACAGTGCCATGTTAATTCCAAGTATATTTTCTGCCTGGCACCAGCCGGCAAGGCCGAGCTTGTGTGCAACAAGCCCTTTGAAACTCAAAGAACTTTTCATCAGCCTGCAAGAGAGAAGAAAGTAGAAGAAAAGTAACAGGAACAAGAGCAAGTGGGGTGGTAGGATTCACCCTTTCTGCACAAGGGGATGGTACTGGCCCCCTCCCTTCACTGGAGAAAGGGATAGGGCTGGAAGGAGACGAACAAGCATCCTGGAAGTCCACAAGCCTCTCTTTAAGCTCCGGAGTCTCAGCCCGGCCTTGATTTGATGTCTCATGCTCATTTAACTCTCAGCCACTGGGCATGTGTGACTTGGGAAGAAGAATGAGGGGTGATTTGTTTCAATCACATAATCCTTCATCCACAGGAAATGCAGGGACCATTGGTTTCCTCCTGAGGCCTCCCAAACCAGAAGGCCAACTTTGTAGGTGTGCAGTTTCACACCCCGGGCGTCTACCATACGGGGACTAATGGGGCAGACGGGAAGGAAAACATCCCAAGACCCAACTGGGGTCACCTCCTGCTCCATGGAAGGGTTGGGGACCAGCCAGGGTGCAGGCTGGGCCAGGGGAGGGAGGGATGTTCCCGTGTGGCAGGAACCGAGAACAAATGTGGGTGAAGTAGACGAGGTTTAATTTAGCAAAGGTAATGTCATAATTGTCTCCTCAGCAACCACAAGGTACAAACTCTGGGAAGGAAGGCTGTCTGCATACCCATATTTAAAGATCCATATATACCTATGAGTATTAACAACGCAAAAAGCTCTCTCTCTCCCTTTTTTTTTTTTTTTTTTTTTTGGCTTCAGTGCTAAGATTCTTGGTCTACAAATCACTGTTCATGTTAAAAACTTTTCTGAAGCTACCCAGTTAAACAAAAGATAAAAACAAAAACAAAAACAACCAGGCTGGGCATGGTGGCTCACACCTGTAATCTCAGCACTTTGGGGAGATGGAGGCGGTCAGATCACTTGAGCCCAGGAGTTTGAGACAAGCCTGGGCAACATAGTGAAACCTTGTCTCTGCAAAAATATAAAAAATTAGATGGGCATGGTGGTGCACACCTGTAGTCCCAGCTACTTGGGAAGCTGAGGCTGGAGAATCGCTTGAACCCAGGAGGTGGAGGTTGCAGTGAGCCAAGATCGTGCCACCGCACTCCAGTGTGGGTGACAGAGTGAGACTCTGTCTCAAAAAAAAAAAAAAGAAAAAAAAAAGGAAACAATCAACCATATTCTGCCGTTATTTTCCCAACTTCTAACCCCCCTTTTTCTTCTCCTAAGTCTTGGATCATGCCCATGACGTAGTTTCTGTACATTTGCCCCTGTGGAGAAAGATCTTAGTCAACCAACAGTCTTTATTGATCTAATAGACACTACCATGTCTATTGCATGTCAAAGCAGAGGAGTGCCTGTGTTAAAACTAGGCAGTCCCTGTTCCCAAAGTGAAAAGAGAAAAAGTACAAATGGTAAATGCTAAGTTGAGGAAGGCACCGTTTTAACCAGAAGTCTGGGACCATCTGAGCTTCCTTCCCTCACCTAGGGTACTTACTCTTTGCCATTCTTAGTGACTTCCCACATTTAACCTCATTTAATGTTCTTTCTTAAAAAAAAATGAAATGCTTCATGAATTTGCATGTCATCCTCACACTGGGGCCATGTGAATCTTCTCTGTACCATTCCAATTGTTTTAAGCACATGTGCTGCTGATGCAAGTACTCCTTATTCTTATATTTTATATTGCTAATACTAATTCCTACAGTTATTGGGTGTTTACCATGTGCCAGGTACTGTGCTAAGCTGATTACTTACATTTTCTCTTTACTTCTTCATGTAGGCTGGTATTCCTCTCCTGTTTTTCAGATGAGGAACAGAGGCTCGGAGGCATTGTCTGAATTTCATTGGCTTGAAATCACAGGGTGATGGTTAGGCTCATGCTTAAGGCTCCGTGGTGCCTTGACTCCAAATCCTAGGCACTTTTTATTGCACAAATACGGCTCTGACAGCAAGCCTGTGAAACAGGTATCATTCACCCTAAGTCAATGGGGAAACTCAGGATGAAAGAGTTCAAGGGATTGATTGCTCAGTTCCCTCATTAGGAAATGGCAAAGCCTACTGGAACTTGGGTCTTTTGACAAGTTCAGTGTTCTTCCTGTGACCCATGCAGTGATCCTCGTCAATGGGAAATCAGATTAGTTCAGCCTTCTTTCCTTAGTCTGTCATTACCCAAGCCCTAAACTCAGGTGCTTGGACCTTCTTAGTCCCTGGGCTAAGAAAGCTAAGTCTCATGATCCTCCAAGGCAACTATCATCAAAAAACACTTTCCAGTGCATTTCAAGCACAGTCATCCTTACCTTGGTTTGACTACGTTATTGATTCCTCAGGCTCCCTCTTGGGTTCTTTTCCTTTGAAGTCCCACCTCTCTAGAGGTCTTCCTTATCTCTTTGGCTCATTACCCTTCTTGAAAACTTCAAGCTGACTTTCTCCCTTCAGTTCTGTGCCCTGGGTCACACACGAGAGTCCATGCTCCAGCCCAGCTGTGGTCTTCCTTGAACCTGAAAATTCCCAGCTGCCCCTTGAAGGACCCACACATCTCTGGTGCGGGGATAACCCAAGGGGCGCTCTCTCTGCACATTCTCTGGGCCCATCCCCCCTCCTGTTGCTCCCACCTTGGGCTTCCCATCCTCCTGGAAAAGGTTTGAGGCGTGATAGAGTTAACGCAATCCAACTCTTGCCTGTGAGGGAGAGCTTGGCACTACTTACAAACCTCCTCGTTGCCAGGGGGGCCCTGTTCTCCATCATCTTCTGCTCCCTCTCTCCAATAAAAGGACCCATTTAAACCATATTTTTCTTATTAACAAGCTTCCTACTAAATGGCTTCAGCTGTGCTTGTTGATTTATAGGGCTTAGAAAGCACTGCTGAGCCTTGGCCCTCCCTGTGGGTCCAAGGGCCTGAGTGAATCATGCTGCTGTGGTGACATTGTAAGAGGGCAGAAGCCACCCTCCAAGGGGCAGCTCCAGAGGGGGCTTCTTTTTTTTCTTTTCAATATTTTAATTATGGAAATGGCCCAATACACAAAATTAGAGAAAACAATACAATGAAACCTCTTGAACCATCCCTTTGCCAAACTTGTTTCATCTGCTTCTCCCTGCTTCCAAACCACCCCCACTAGCTAGATTATTTTAAATTAAACCCAAAATATTGTGTTCTTTTATCCACGACTATTTCAGTATATTTTCTAAGAGATAAAGAGCATCTGGTCTTTTAACATAACCACAATACCATTGTCACATCTAAAAATATTAACAATAATTCTTTCCTTTTTGATGTTTTACTTTTATTTATTTAATTCTTTTATAGAGACGGAGTTTCATCACGTTGGCCAGGTTGGTCTCAAACTCCGTGACCTCAAGTGATCCACCCGCGTTGGCCTCCCATAGTGCTGGAATTACAGGCGTGAGCCACCATGCCTGGCCAACAATAATTTTTTAACATGATCTGATATCTACTCAATGTCCAGATTTTCTTGATTGTCTCATAAATATCTTTTTATATTTGATTTATTTAAATCAAGATCCAATCAGTGTTCCCAATTGCATTTGACTAATATGACTCTTATGTGTCTTTTTGTTTTAATCCATAACAGTTTCCCCTTTCTTTTTATTTCCCAGGGGCATCTTAATGTAGACAGTTTCCTCAAACTTATGTACACTGTGCCGTCACCGACAAAGAAATACTGAAAGCACCCGTGTCAGCAGAGACCTTCCTTGTACCATGGATTCAGTGATTCCCTTGAGGGTGGCCCTAACCCACAGGCCTCCATCCACTGTCCCTCAGAACGCCTTCAGAAGGCTAAATCATCTTGCTCCAATGCCAGTTGCAATGATGGGATCCTAAAGTGTTGAGCAGTTACTAATCCACTCACTCCGAAAATGACTCACATTTATTAAGTATTTACCACAACCCAATAGGATAATTTTTTTTACTATCCTCATTATATAAATGAGGAAATGGAGGGATAGAGGAACCTGTTTTACTTATCCCAATTGGTGGATCTGGGCTTTGAAATGGAATTGTCTGATGGACACCCCCACTTGCTCAATCACTGAGAGACCCTGTCTCTGCATGCAAGATCTCATTTCATGCCAAGAGGTTTGCTGAGCTTCCAGGCCCCTCTCAAGCAGGACCAGCAGAGAAGAAGGAGAAATCTTGATCAGTAGGATGTCGTAGTTCTGAGGAAAGGTGAGAGCAACAGGGAGCTGGGGATCTCCTGCAAATTCCCTTTGTCCACGCTGGGCTGGTGCCCATTTCTATGCATTGCCCGAGGCGGGCAATGAACAGGCTTCCCACCCCCTCTTTCACAAGTCCCCATGAACCATTATTACCACATGCTTTCGGGCCCACATAAATATCACATGCACATGCCCTCAGATCCATACCATGCACTCTACCCAGCCACTTGGCTGACGGGCCAGCCCCCATATGGCTCATTCCTACAAAGGCGTGCTTGCAACATGCACACCTTCCTGTACTGAGTAAACACAGACATTGGAGGCCATGGGGGAGGAGAGGGGAGCTGGTATTTTCCCAGTGGCAGCCAGAAGGAAAGGTTACCTGACTTCAGATAGAAAGGTGGTCTGTCTGTCTGTTTATCTATCTATCCATCCATCCATCTATCTTTCATAGATCTTCTTAAGTCCTGGAAAAGACAAAGGCTTTGCAGCTCCTGGTAGACCCAGGGAGTCTAGATGGGGCTGGAGGGCTTATGAACCAGGGTGGAGAAGATGGAGTGGGGTGAGGAGCCTGCTGGTTGAATACAGCTAAATCTAATTCCCCCCATCTGAAAGTGGGGAGCTCTCATCTGTGGTTCTAAGTGATAGAAAAACCCCAACTGCTAGCAAGATAATCCAATTTCCTTTCTCCCTTGTGCTGAAGGGAACGGCCCTGACCCTCCTGCTCCAACTTCATGCTGGGTCTCAGTCTGGCTAGAACTCTTTCTGCCTACAGCAGAATTCATATCAAAGCCTAAGCCCCCCAGGGTTCATTAGGAGGCATTTATTTCTGCATATTCTTGGAGGGCAGGAGGGAGGATAACTTGATTCGCAATGCAAATTGCTTGGCTGTAATTTCAACTCTCCCTCCCTTCTCACAGGGAGATTTTGCTGGTTATTAAAAATATATGATTGCCTCTAAAATAGCAGTGACAGCCGCTCTGCTGGGCAGAGCCAGGTGCTGCTGTTTGAAGGCTACTGAATGATGTGGAATGAATGCCCGGGCAAACGCAAATGGAGCCAGTCCCCTGCTCCTGTGCCAGTATCCAGGCTGCAGATCGTAGGACTGCTGGCCGGGGTCTGAGGTGGACCCGGGGACTTGGCCTATGTGGTCTGCAGCTCAGGCTCAGATTTACCTTCTGCTGCTGTGGGGCACACAGCAAGGGTTTCTGAGCTCTTGGCTTCCTGCTCTCTAAAGGTGGGGGTAAATAAGGAGCTGGACACAGAGCAGCTGGTACACAGTAGGTGGGCAATTTGCTGGGCAGGCCAGGCTCTCCCCCTCCACACCCCTGCTGCCTGGCTCAAAGACATCCTTCCTCATCCCACTGCCTTCCCCAGTCTGGACTACTGAGATCTGATCCGTCACAAAAGTATTGCCTAGGTCTTCTGGTCATGATGAACGTCTCACTTGGTCTTTTCTTCTCTGTATTGCTGTGGGAGCTCAGCACCCCCAGAACTATCTAGGCCTTTACCCTTCACGACCCTGTAGACATTGGTCAATGCATAAGGGGAAGAGGGTGGGCAGGACCTACGCGATGTGAGCATTGAGCAAAGCCAAGATTTTAGGCCAGACAGGAAGGAAATTTCCTCCATGAGTCTGAGATACTAACCTGGGATTCTCCTGGGAGGCTGGATGGCGGCACCTGCAGGCTTAGGCCAGCCAGAGCCCAGGAACTATGATGCCCTCGTCATATAATAAACACATAATCACAGAGGAGCACAGACCGCTGTGTACAACTGTGTAAACCAAAAAGGATCTGAGAGAGGTCTCAATCCATTTAGAAAATTTATTTTGCCGAGGTTAAGGACACACCATGACACAGCCTGAGGAGGTCCTGACAACATGTGCCCAAGGTGGTCGGGGTACAGCTTGCTTTGATGCATTTTAGGGAGACATAATACATCAGTCAATACATGTAAGGTGGGCGCTTCCAGGTCACAGTGGATTTAAACATATTCTGATTGGCAATTGGTTGAAAGAGTTATTATCAGTAGAAAGGAATGTCTGGGTTATGATAAGTGGTTATGGAGTCCTAGGTTTTATCATGCAGATGAAGCCACCAAGTAGCAGGCTTTAAAGAGAAAAGTAAATGTTCTTATCAAATTTAAGGTCTCTGTTGACATTAATGCTGAAGGGGTCTAATGAGGCATGTCCAATCCCTACTTCTGGTCATGGCCTGAACAAGTCCTTCAGATTAGATTTTAGAGTGCCCTAGCTGAGGGGGAACTTCATTCCGGTGGTTGTGGAGGGGAGTGGGGGGCTTCAAATTTTATTTTTGCTTTACAACTGTTAGAAGGAAGCCATATATTTTGAAATTTTAAAATTATCTTTTAATTCAGATTTTAAAAGTATAAAAAAAGTGTTTGGCAGTTCTTCATAATGTCAAATGTAGAGTTACCATTCGAGCCAGCAATTCCACTCCTCCATCTGTAACCAAGATAAATGAAGACATAGGGTCCCAGAAAAACTTGTACACAAACGTTCGTAGCAGCACTACTCATAATAACCAGAAAGTGAGCACAACACAAATATCCATCAAACAATAAATAGAAAAACAAAATGTGGTACAGCCACACAGTGGAATATTATTTAGCCATGAAAAGGAAGGAAATACTGATCAATGCTGCAACATAGATGAATCTTGAAAATAATGTTAAGTGAAAGAAGCCAACCACAAAATCCCATATAAAATAATCATATTATATTATAATCATATTATATATAATCATATGATACATATATGATATATTGAATATATAAATATATATTATGATATTAATATATATAATATAATATTATATGATTCCATTTATAAGAAATGTTCAAAACAGGCAAAACTATAGAGACAGAAAGTAGATTAGTGGTTGCCTAGGGTCAGGGGTCAGGGAGCGGGGGAGACTAAGGAGTTACTGCTAATGGATACATGATTCTTTTTTGGGTGATGAAAACATTCTAAAATAGAATCAATTTAGAATATTTCATCACCCAAAAAAGAAACCATGGTTGGTTTCAAGATGGTTGTACAACTCTGTGAACATACTGAAAACCACTGAATTATATACTCTTACATGGTAAATTTTATGGTACGTGAATTGTATCTCAAAACAAAACACAAACACACACAGAAAGGAGAGACGTGGATAACATTAGAAACCCATGCTGAACACTCATGACGTTCAGTGACTCAAAGACATTTCCTTGCTCCAGCCTGCTCAGGCTGGGCACTTGTTTCATTGGTGGCTTCCCTAGTCCTGCTCACCAGAGCCAGAGGACACTCACTGAACTGAGAGGGAAGTGGGTTTAGGACAGGCAGAGGGGACAGTGATGGGGCATAGTTGAGGGGAAATTTATACATCCCATTGTCATCCAAGAGATGGTGCAGTCTGAAAAATATAATGATGACATTCACAAAAGGTTTAAACAAATCTCTAGCTGACAGAGGCAGTCCTCACCTTTGAGGTTGATGTCATGAGCTTGTCAAATGAAATAAACGATATCTTATGCAACAGGAGATCTAAAAGAACAGTTAGACATGAATTCAAATTTTTAACAAATGTATTCATCACCAACTCCTGTAGCTCTGTCTCAGGCGCGCATGCATGCGTGCATACACACGCACATGCATACCCTGGCCTGCATTCCTGGTTTAGTTTTGAAAAAAACAGGAGCCTTCTTCACAGGAGGGGTCTGGTGCCAGGCTCCCTCCAGGGGTCTGGGAAGAGAGATCCCTACGGTTCTCCAATGTCCCTCCTCCACATCTACCTAATACTGTAGATCTTCAACTTTTTGCAGTTTTGGAACCTTCCATGCCTCTGTGGATGCTGACCCTGGAATGCTTTTCTCCTAATTCTCTGCCCAGTAACTTGACTTTATAGAGCCATCCCTGACCTTTCCTTTCCCCGGAGGCAGTTGGTTTCTGCCTCCTACTCCAGGCTGTGGTACAGCTTGAGGCTGTCCCCTGGGTAGGGAACAGGCACAGGCCCTATTGGATTGTGAGTCCTCAGGGGCAGGGACTGTGGCTCACTCACGGGAACTGTAGCATAATGCGGGGAATACAGTAGGTGCTCAAGTGATAATGGGAAGGAAGAAACAAGAAGAAGATAGAGGGACAGAAGGAAAAGGGAGATCATTTGTAATTTTTATTTATTTATTTTTTTGAGACAGAGTTTTGATCTTTCTCCCAGGCTGTAGTTAAGTGGCATGATTTCAGCTCACTGCAACCTCCAACCCTGGCTTCAAGCGATTCTCCTGCCTCAGCCTCCCGAGTAGCTGGGATTATAGGCAACTGCCACCATGCCCAGCTAATTTTTGTATTTTTAGTAGAGATGAGGTTTCACCATTTTGGCCAGGTTGGTTATAAACTCCTGACCTCAGGTGATCCGCCCACCTCGGCCTCCCAAAGTGCTGGGATTATAGGCGTAAGCCACCACGCCCCACCTCATTTTTTATATTTAAACAAAATTTTGGGTACGCTAGCTCATGCCTGTAATCCCAGCACTTGGGGAGGCCAAGGGAGGCAGATCACCTGGGGCCAAGAGCTCCAGACCAGCCTGGCCAACATGGCGAAACCTCGTCTCTACTAAAAATGCAAACATTAGCCAGGTGTAGGGGTGGGCGCCTGTAATCCCAGCTGCTGGGGAGGCTGAGGCAGGAGAATCGCTTGAGCCCAGAAGGCAGAGGTTGCAGTGAGCCAAGATTGCGCCATGGCACTCCAGCCTGGGAGACAGAGTGAGACTCCATCTCAAAGCATCAACAACAACAACATAATAATAAAATTTTTATACAATAATATTTAAAAAGAGAAAAGGAATTTGTTACAAGAGGTCTCTGAGTTTTATGTAAACTTTTTATTGGTATGCAGTTTCATTCATTAATAACGTGGAAAAGGAGAAACTCAGGCATATTTTACATCTTAATGAAATTCAAATAGATTTAAGGATTTCAAAAATTGTTATTTTCCCCCAATTTCTTAATTGTGATAAAATACACCTGACATGAAATTTACCATTTTAACCACCTTTAAGTGTACAGCGGTATTAAATATATTCATAATGTGGGGCAACCATCAAAACATGGCTATCTTTCATAGTCAATATTCATTTCTCCCCTGGAGAAAGGAAAAATCATTTCCCCTCCTCCAGAATGACGTTGGTCTTTTCTACTTCTGGAAAAATGGGGTTTGATTGATCTAAGGGCAGAATATGGAACTCCTTTTCTCTTTGTTCAAGTGGAGAATTCACACGCAGGATCATTCCCTTTCAAATCAGAAGGGGCTTCACTTTTTTTCCTTGGTCCAAACCCATCCCCCTCACGCCTCCCTGTGTACAAACGCATCAGGTTTGTGGACTTCAAAGGGCGTTCCACATGAATGCTGGAGATATAGGGGTTCGGCAGGTGGGAACGGTCCCTCTTTATTAGCATTTACCAAGCTTTTATAATCATTAACTAGTTACCCTGATGGACTAAGTCCCATAGGCACTGATGAGAACAGTCTGAACACAGAAGGATAGAAACGGAACTTCTGACTGGGTTACCCTATTCCTGTCCCCAGTCAGCTCCCTTTAGGAGGCAGTTTTCAGAGCTGAGGGCCGTATGGTGCAGAGGAAAAAACACCGTACTGATTCTTGTTCCAACTCTGTCATTAGCCAGCTCTGCGGCCATGGATACTTCCTTACCTGTTTCCCAGGGAGTACTACGGGTGGCCTCAATCAGAGAGAGAAAATAGGTAGCATATGGGCTACGACTGATGTCTTCCTGCCACCATGGCAGACACTGTTAACCAATCATTGTCCTTTTCCTGAGCCTGGGTAGAGCTCCATACTCCCAAGTACCTACAACCCATCAGATGTCCTTGCAAGCTGCTGCTTATTTACCACGCCTGGACTAGAAGGTCTCTTCACTATCACTTCCAGGGTTAATGTTCAACAATTTTAAGTATTACAGCTATACATTTTGTTTTGGCAACCACCACCAACAGACCTCATAAAATTGGGCTATTCTGTTCCAAGGATCTCAGAGTATTTCTGTCCTTAAAATACTCATAGGAAACAGGAAAATAAGCCTGCATTCCAATGTCCCAGATGTCGAGGCTGCCTGAAACAAAGGGGATGGCCTAGATACTCTGAAACAAGTTCTAAGCAAGGCCAAAAGCAAAAGCCGGCACTATGTCCACGTCCCAGTTCTTCCCTCAGGAGTAAGGGGCAAGAGCCAGCCTGTCTATCCAAAGGGGAATTCCCCTACGAATTAATGTGAATTTGACATTAAAATGAGGTTCTTCTCATACCCTGCAGGTGGGAATGTAAAGCAGTGCCCCTGTTTTGGAAAAACATCTGGCAGTTCCCTAAAATGTTAACCATGTGTATACATAAGATCCAGCAGTTCCACTCTAGGTATATACCCAAGAGAAATAAATCATATATCCACACAAAAACCTGTACATGAATGTTCACAGCGGGCAAAAGTAGAACAACCCAAATGACCATCAACTGATGAATGGATAAATAAAAATGGTATATCCTAAAATGGAATATTATTCAGCCATAAAAAGGAATGGAGTACTTACTGATAGATGCTACAACATGGATGACCCTTGAAAACATTATGCTAAATGACAGAGGCCAGACACAAGTGACAACAAATTGTAGGATTTTATTTATATAAAATGTCCAGAATAGGCAAATCTATAAAGACAAAAAGTAGATTCATGATGGCCTAGAAATGAATAGGATGGAGATTTAAGGGGTGATGGTTAAGGGCTATGATGTTTCCTTTTGGAATGATGACTATGTTCTAAGATTGGGTGTAGTGGTGTGTCCCTATAGTCCCGGCTACCCAGGAGGCTGAGGCAGGAAGATTGCTTGAGCCCAGGAGTTCAAGACCAGCTGGACAAGAAAGGGAGACCCTGAGGTCGGGTGCGGTGGCTCTTGCCTGTAATCCTAGCACTCTGGTGGGCCGAGGCAGGTGAATCACCTGAGGTCAGGAGTTTGAGACCAGCCTGGCCAACATGGGGAACCCCATCTCTACTAAAAATACAAAAATTAGCTGGGCATGGTGGCATGGGCCTGTAATCCCAGCTACTTGGGAGACTGAGGCGGGATAGTCGCCTGAACCCAGGAGGTGGAGGTTGCAGTGAGCCCAGATCGCGCCACTGCACTCCAGCCTGGGCAACAAGAGTGAAACTCCATCTCAAAAAAAAAAAAAGAGAGAAAGGGAGACCTTGTATCAAAAAAAAAACGGAAAGAAAATGTTCTAAAATGGATTGTGGTGCTGGTTGCACAATCAACCTATATGCTAAAAGCCATTGAATTGTACACTTTAAATGAATGACTTGTGTGGTATGTGAATTATACCTTAAGAAGGTTGTTTTAAGAAGCTGTTTTTTTTTTTAAATTTTTTAAATAAAATGAATAGACTCCATTTCTGTAGAAATCTTAATGTGGCAAGTTAAAGGTAGTTTTGTGTGTGTGTGTGTGTGTGTGTGTGTGTGTGTGTGTGTGTGTGTGCCCAGTAGTGATAATAGAATAACATCTCACAAAGTGTTCTATGACTTGGTAATTAACAGGACTAAACACTGATCTGATCTTTTAAGGTCTGACAAATGTGACCCCCAATATCTTCACCCCTACAAATACCACGTCCTGTAGCCACTAATGTCTGCACTCTCCCTGTTAGATGTCATGAGAAGTGGCTTGCAATAATCTTCTTTTTTTTTTTTTTTTTTTGAGATGGAGTCTCACTTTGTTTCTCAGGCTGGAGTGCAGCGGCGTGATCTTGGCTCACTGCAACCTCCGCCTCCTGGGTTGGAGCAATTCTCCTGCCTCAGCCTCCTGAGTAGCTGCGATTACAGGTGTGTGCCGCCAAGCCCAGTTAATTTTTGTATTTTTAGTAGAGATGGGATTTCGCCATGTTGGCCAGGCTGGTCTTGAACTCCTGACCTCAGGTGATCCACCCACCGCGGCCTCCCAGAGTGCTGGGATTACAGGCGTGAGCCACCAGCCTGGCCGGCTTGCAATAATCTTAAAGGAGAAGCTCAGCCCAGGTCAATTCTGTTTCTTGGCCCTGATGATGAGAAGAAGCTCCTGAAACTGAGTAGCTGCTGGCCTTGAAAGCTCACCTGAAAGGGTTTTCTGTTCTGGTGACTTCCACAGACACCTGGATGAGGGCTTTTGCAAGAATTCTTCTTTCAATTCTCACATACAGCCAACTCCTCCTTGCCTGTAGGTCTCCTAGGGCAGAATTTGTTCTTTCACCAGTCTCTGACCACTGAGATCTATCCCTCTTCTCTTCCCCTTGGCAGCAGGGCTACCTTTCCAATACACAAAGGGTTTCCTCTGCCTCTGTATGCCCCTTTCCATAGGCCCCTTGCCCTCCTTCTAGCTGTTCAATGCAAGCTATCTTCAGTTGTTCCAGGGCATTTGGGCCTTTTCAAAGGGAGGCTTCTATGTTGCCTCTTATCCCTTGTTTCTTAGGGAGGACAAAATAACCCCTGGGTTACACACATAGGGAAACTACCTTCATAAATCCAATATGGTTTTCTGATACCTTTCTTGCTGATGATAAAAGGGGAAAATATCTGTTTAATCCACAGTGGGGTAGCCTACCACATGGTCATGCCTATCTCCTCCTTACAAGCCTTCCATCCCTCTCCTTTGTGTATAGGATAAAGTCAGAACATATATGACTCTTTACAAGCTTCCCTACCTAACTTACTAGGTCACATCCTGACACTTCCCCTAACACCATGTATTCTCTTGCCCTGTGGAATCATGCACCCCTGCTGTCATCCTGTCTCTTCCATACCTCCGAACCTTCATAGATGAGGATCCCCCTCTCCGCAATGCCCTGCTCCCATCCACTCTGTGTTTCCTTACCTGGCAAATTCAACTCACTTTTTTGGAAGGGAGTGCCTCTGGGAAGCCTTGCCTGGTCTCCCAGGCAGGCTACTTGTGCCCATAACTCTATATGTAATTCACTGCTTGACATACACTTTGTGATTCTTTGTTGCTATGGTTTGAATGTCCCCTCCAAAACTCATGTTGAAACTTAATACCCAATGTAGCAGTACTGAGGGGTGGAGCCTTTAAGAGGTGATTGGATCATGAGAGCTTGGCCCCCACAAATGGGTTCATCCATTCATGGATTAATAGATTAATGGGTTATCATGAGAGGGAACTGGTAGCTTTATAAAAAGAGGAAGAGAGACCTGAGCTAGCACGCTCAGCCCTGCTTGCTGTGTAATACCCTGTGCCACCTCTATGCTCTGCAGAGTCTTTACCAGCGAGAAGGTCCTCACCAGATGCAGCTGCTCAACCTTGGACTTCTCAGCCTCCGTAATGGTAAGAATAAATTCCTTATCTTTATAAATTACCCAGTTTCAGGTATTCTGTTATAAGCAACAGAAAATGAGCTAAGACATTTGTTGACTTGCCCATCTCCTTCACTCCATGTGAGTACCTCAAGGGCAGAGATGATGTCATGGAGATTCATTAATTCCCAGGGCCTAGCAACATGTCTGACACATAGTGGGCCCCCAAAACATAAGTCAAATACTCAGTAGCCCTGAATTTGTGACAGTAAAACATTATTTTAGTGAGATAAATACACACACACACACACACACACACACACATATATATACACACAAATATATGTATATATATATATATATATACACATCTTATTAAAGAAAAAATGTGTATATTTTCTTTTGGAATGGAGGAGAGGAAACTAAGTTTGTGTATAAACAGAACCTTCAAGAATTTGGTTTCATTCCAGTGATAGGTTTTTCTTCAAAAATCTAATTGTTGTGTGGATTATGGGTACACCACCCACCTAATTAGGGGAGTCTCCTCCCTAATCCCTGAGGTAAAAATCCCTCCTCAGCATCACCCTCTTCATGGTTGAGGAAGATTCTCGAGTATCTCAGTTTGTAGAAGGCGGAGAAAACAATGAAAGGAACAGTTTCTCGGGGTCTAGATCTGACCAATGAGGAGAAAGTGGTTGGAGAGGTGATGGAAATCTTGTAAGAAAACCACCATATGGCGTTGGTTCACCACTCCAAACTACAGTGTTAGTCTGGGCTATGTCGTTCACTGGTCCTGGTGGCTCACCCCAATATATGTATAGTTTTTACTTATAAATTGTGTTTATGCTGCTGTACCAATCGTATACAATTAAATAATGCAAGCCTTTTATATACATATACACACACATCTACAAGTGCATACATAGTCATCCCTTGGTATATGTGGGGACTGGTCCCAGGACCCCCACCCCACTTCCCGTATATCCAAATCCATGCATACTCAAGCCCTCCAGTTGGTCCTGCAGAACCTGTGCATATGAAAAGTTGGCCCTTGCTATAGATAGGTTTTGCAACCCGTGAATACTTTATTTTCCATCTGTGTTTGACTGAAAAAAAATCCAAGTGTAAGTAGACCCTTCAAGTTCAAACCTGTTGTTCAAGGGTCAGCTGTATAATATATAATCTGTGCATGATTTTACATGTCCATATTTAACAAAAATTGTATTTATTACTATGCCTATATTATAAAGTTATGTAAATACAATATGTATATATATTCTATTTTTTTCCTAGCAGCTTAAGGGATCTTAACGCTGTACTACCACTTCCTTCCTACTCTGTCCCCTAATTTGGGGATGACCATCTAATTTAGCACAAATTCCAGGAAACAGAGCTCATTCTCCCATGTTTAAGAAGGAGAAAAGTGGCCAGCTGTGGTGGCTCACACCTGTAATCTCAGTACTTTGGGAGGCTGAGGCAGGTGGATCGCTTGAGGTCAGGAGTTCAAGACCAGCCTGGCCAACATGGTGGAACCCCATCTGTACTAAAAATACAAAAATTAGCCTGGCGTAGTGGTGCGTGCCTGTAATTCCAGCTACTTGGGAGGCTGAGGCAGGAGAATTGCTTGAATCCGGGAGGCGGAGGTTGCAGTGAGCCGAGATCGTGCCATTGCACTCCAGCCTGGGTGACAGAGTGAGACTCCATCTCAAAAAAATCAAACAAAAAAAAAAGAGAGAAAAATAAGACTCAAAGAGTTAAAGGAATAGCCCCAAGTCCCACAGCTAGTGGATGACAGTCATGTTCATTCCCCCAGCCTCAGCTGCAGGGGAGCTTATAAGCTCAGTGCAGAGAGGAGCTTATAAGAAATCTGAAGGGCAGCCACAAGTTGTATAGAGCCCCAATTGTCGTGTAAATCATTTAGGAACAAATAGAAACCGACTCTCATCCCCTTTTGCAAATATTAGAACATGCAAGAATAAGTGTTTTAGTGAAGCATCTCAGCTTCATGCAGTTCCTGGGCCTGAAACCTTATACACAGTGAGCTGCAGGTTGATAGCAAACCAGCCCTCTGTGTATACACAGAATAAGTGATGGCTCCATAAAACATGGATTTCTTTAATCTACTGAGGGAGCACCACTGACAAGACACCACGAGGGCACAGCTGTGTTTACTCCAGGGTCACCTAGCATTATTTATAATAAATGCTTTCTCTTTTGCACTGTGAATATGAAGTATGTTACCACAGGACCAGACGCTGTTAATGGTCCTACATGGCTGTGAGCACACCAGCCAGTCTGAGGTTTTATAGCATCCATCACGGGACACCAGGATCCTTATTAAAGAGGCAGCTTTTACAGTGTTTTCCGAGCACCATATTTTCTGGACCCAACCTGCAGGGAGAGTAGCACTTCAGTGAATGATATTGCTCAGCAGGCCTTTACACAGGGTCTGGGGCTATGAATGCGCGGGAAGAAAATCATCAAATGGTATTTATGATGTGCTCTCCTGTGTTGATGTGGTGCTAGGGGCCATATGAGGAAACTTAGAACCTCTTGGCCCTTTTCCCCCAGGAGCTTCCACTGGGAAAGAGAACACCGAGGAACAAGTAAAAATGATGACAAAATCCACCACATACAACCTGGAGTAAAAATGTAATTAACTTTGATTTACAGTGTGTAGTTCAAACTTTGATCAACTCAACCCTTCTGGGCCACCAGAAGTTTTTTTTTTTTTTCTTCATTTTCAGCCTTGTTTAATATCTTATCAATCTGTCTCAGGCTCCTTTTCCTATTTAGGAATCAGAGTTTACCAAATACAATCTTATCTTTCTTTGAGGACCAAGAATTTTTGTGGTGCCAGGTTGATGTCTGTGAATGCTGACTCTCTTTCTAGGGGTGTGGTCCGTGTGCTCTGTGGAAGACTGAGGATAAAATGGGCTGGCTTTGATGTCAAAACCTGGCTCTGCCACTTCACTAGCTGGGTGGCCTGGGACAAAGCACTCCGCCTGTCTAAGCTTCTGAGCCTTAGTGTCCTCATCTGCAGAGTGGAACTAATTATAGTTACTTTGCTAGGTTAGGAGGAGGCTAGGACTAGAGACAGTGAGTGTAAAGTCCTTCAAATAGTCTCTGTTATGTAGGAAGCACTAAATTAATAATAGCTCTTCTTATGTCATAGCAAGACAAGATGGAATAGGTATTGATCTCAGGACACGCCCATAGAAACATAGATTGCTTGTAGGGAATATCCTAGCGCCTGCCCAGATCCTCTCCTCAGCGCCAACCCATCCGTCCCCCAGCAGCAGTAGGTAGAAATATCAAAGGTGGATGGCTCACAGTATCTTATTGCCTGGGCGTTGCTCCAAGCCACCAGGAACCGCCTCACCCAAGGCTGTTCTGTCTCTCAAACCAGATGATGTGGATACAGAGCTTCAGCCCCTTTGCCTCAGTTTGGGGCTATTTTGAAGGGCCATCCCAGTTCCAGAGCTGCCTGTAGGATTGTAGGATTGCCTAAGGCCTCAGATGCAGTTGCATTGCAGGCCAGTGTCTCAGCCAGATCTAGCTTTTTGCACCAGAGAGAGCTCCCCAATAAACCTGTGGCCCCCAATCCTGTCAGGGTCTGTTTGAAGAGAATTCAATCTAGGATCTTGCTTAAAAGTAAACTGTTGATTTAAGTTTCTCTTGAGATTTGAATATTTCTCTCAAAAGTGATACGCAGAAAATGTGAAGTGAATGTGTCTTCTGGTTATTTAGGCTTCAGCTGATTGTGTTGGATTCCTATTGTTGCGATAACATGTTATCATAAATTCAGTGGCTTAAAATAGCACAAATTTCTTACGATTCTCTAGTTCATAAATCTAAAATGGTACTCACTGGGCTAAAAACAAAGATTTCGGCAGGGCTGTGCTCCATTTTGAAGGCTGTAGGGGCAGTCTGTTTCCTGGTCCCTTCCAGCTTTTTGAGGCTGTCTGCATTCCTTGGCTGATGGCCTTCTTCTCCCATGTTCAAAGCCAGCAACAGCAGGCCCGGTTCTCCATCACATCACTCTTTCTCTTCCGCCTCACTCTTACACTTGTAAACCAAAAATAAAATTCAAAGGCCCTGCCCACAACCATGTGAATGGACTCCCTTCTCAGTCAGGGCACCCTAAAAATCTAACCTGAAGGACCAGTTCAGGCCATGAAGGGAAGCAGGGGTTGGACATACCTCATTAGACCCCTCCAGCATTAACATCAACACAGACCTTAAGTCTGATAAGAAATTTACTTTGCTCTCTAAAGCCTGCTACTTGGAGGCTTTATCTGCATGATAAAACCTAGGTCTCTGCAACCCCTATGGTAACTCAGACATTCTTTTCTACAGATAACAGATCTTTCAACCAATTGCCAGTGAGAATCTGTTTAAATCTACCTGTTACCTGGAAGCCCTCCCCACCTTTGTGTTGTCCTGCCCTTCCAGATGGAGCTAATGTAGATCTCACATGTATTGATTGATGTATTATGTCTCCCTAAAATGTATAAAAGCAAGCTGTACTCCAACCACCTTGAGCACACGTCGTCAGGACCTCCTGAAGTTGTGTCGCAGGTGTATCCTTAACCTTGGCAAAATAAACTCTCTCTTTTTTTTTGAGACAAAGTCTCGCTCCGTTGCCAGGCTGGAGTGCAGTGGCGCAATCTCGGCTCACTGCGACCTCCACCTCCCAGGTTCAAGTGATTCTCCTGCCTCAGCCTCCTGAGTATCTAGGACTACAGGCACATGCCACCACGCCCAGCTAATTTTTGTATTTTTAGTAGAGACGGGGTTTCTCCATGTTGGCCAAGATGGTCTCGATCTCTTGACCTCGTGATCCGCCCGCCTCAGCCTCCCAAAGCACTGGGATTACAGGCGTGAGCCACCGTGCCCGGCTGGCAAAATAAACTTTCTAAATTGATTGAGGCTTGTCTCAGATACTTTTTGGTTTACACACTTTCAGGACCCTGTGATAACATTGGGCCCACCTAGATAATCCAGGATATGTTCTCTATTCTCAGGTCAGCTAATCAGTTACCTAAATTCCATTTGCAACTTTAATTCCCCCTTGCCATGTAACATAGCATGGGTATAGGTTCCTGGGATTAGGATGTGGGGATCTTTGGTTGGGGGGTGGGCAGTGTTCTGCCTACCACACTAATCAAAGTTTTGCTATTTAACTGATAAGACAAATGGGAACCAGACCAAAGTAAGCAAAGATGGACTTACTTGGATAATTACAACATGTATATATTTTGTCATGTGGGATATTTCAGGACTGTGAACATCTGGAGAGCACAGCATGATGGGGGCGGGGGGTGCTTTGGGAGGAAGTGGGAGGCAGCGTAGGCAAAACTGAAAGTGACAAGAACTTTAACCAAAGTTATGTTACTGCAAAAAGTAGAAGAGCTGTGCTGTAAGTAAATCAGCAAGGAAGGGTTTAAGTAGGGTCTAATGTAGTGATGAAGCCCAGCTACAGTGTCTTTGGGCTGGGTTAACTACCCTGACTCATCAAGTGTTGGCGACTGAAAAAGGTTGTGGAAGGATGATCTCGTGTGTATTGATTACCCAATGGCTGGCCACATAAAAATGGACAACTTTTGTTAAAAGGCTGTCTGGGCTCAGATACAGCTGCAGGTTTTTAGCAACTGGAAGGCATTTAAGTTAAGCTCAGGGTAGTTGCAAGAATGGAAGTTGCTGACTTCCTATCAAAAAAGCTGCCTATTCTGATTTGTCTCTTCAGAGCCCCAAATAGTCTCTCTAGCCCTAAGCCAGCAATGGCTTAAGGCTCCACATTGCAGAATGGAGAGGTGGGTTGAGGTGCATGTGTGTGAGCGTCTCTGTTTAGGCAGGGTCCTTTCCCGCAGTGAAACCTTTTGCTCATGTTTACAATTCACTGAATAAAAGTTTAAGAGTCTAGGAACATACAATTCAAAAGGACTTGATGACCTCATCAATTTCTCCTGCCTTAGTAGAGCTGAGTGTCTGGGGCTTCCAGGCAAGTTACTTGTGAATATGTGTAAGGAAATTTAAGGTATGTTTTAAATAAACATACCAGAGCTTATGCATCCCACATGAGGCTCTCCTTCAAAGCAATCTCCCTGGAAGATGAATTACTTATTCCAAAGATGCTGTTAAAAACACTCTGGATCGTTTCTTTTTCGACACTGAAGTGAATGGAGTATCTTGATGAGGACAAATATTTATCCTTTAAAGGTGGATTTGATTTTTAACAGCTAAAATTCATTTAGATCAAAGTCCGGGGAATAAGGTGCATGATCAAGTTAAGTAATACCATTTTAGATTAAAAGATGAGGATGATAAAATTGAGACTCATTTTCTCGTGAGGATTGTGTATGGTTCTGAAGGCCAAAGAGCCTGAACAATGGCAGTATTGATGGGGTAAGCTGGCACTTTTCAAAGAGATTTCTTTAAAAGACAACACGTTTGAAAGCAGCAATTTTTGGAATCTATTTTTTTAAGCCTATTGCCTCAGAGAGACACTGTAGAATAGTGATTAGAAGCATAGGCTCTCAAAGCAGTTCTGGAATCTAAGCTCAGCATCACCATATATAATATCAACTGTGTGACTCCAAGCAAGTCACTTAACTTGTGTAAGCTTCATTTTCTTTTTTCTTTTATTTTCTTTTATTTTTTTTTTTTGAGATGGAATCTCACTCTGTCACCCAGGCTGGAGTGCAGTGGCACTGTCACAGCTCACTGCAACCTCCACCTACCAGGTTCAAGTGATTCTCCTGCCTCAACTTCCAGAGTAGCTAGGACTACAAGCATGTGCCACCATGCCCAGCTAATTTTTGTATTTTTAGTAGAGATGGGGTTTCAACATATTGGCCAGGATGGTCTTGAACTCCTGACCTCAAGTGATCTGCCTGCCTCGGCCTCCCAAACTGCTGGGATTACAGGCGTGAGCCACTGTGCCTGGCGAGCTTCATTTTCTTCATCTGAAAGGGAGGATTATAATATTAACTACTGGCTGGGCATGGTGGCTCACGCCTGTAATCCCAACACTTTGGGATGCTGAGGTGGGCGGATCACCTGAGGTCAGGAGTTCAAGAACAGCCTGGCCAACGTGGTGAAACCCTGTCTCTACTAAAAATACCAAAAAATTAGCTGGGTGTGGTGGCGCACGCCTGTAGTCCCAGCTACTAGGGAGGCTGAGGCATGAGAATCACTTGAACCCGAGAGGCGGAGGTTGTGGTGTGCCGAGATCGCACCACTGCACTGCAGCCTGGGAAACAGAGCAAGACTGTCTCAAAAAAATATATAATAATAATAAAAATAATATTAACTACTTCACAGATGGCTATGAGGAATAAATCAGGTCATATATATGAAAAGCATGAGGTTATGTGTGCAGAACCCCTATTCTACTACCTGACATATAATAAGTGCCCGATAAATTGTGGCTATTGTGTTTCTTCTTTGTCACATTGTGTACACATAAACACACGACTATTCATGCCTAGATGGGAGTAAATCCATAATGTTGATTGTATTTGTGATGTGTATGACAATACTAGTAACTATCATTTATTATACAGTTGTCATGAGTCAAACCCTTTCAAGCCTCATGATAACCCCCTTACAGGCAGGTACTATTGCTGGACCCATTCTTACAGATGAGGAAGTTGAGGCTTAATGAGGTTAAGTAACCTGCCGAAAGGCATTCAGCTACAAAGCTGTGGAGTCAGGATCTGAACCCAGGCACTCTGACACTTTTAACCCTTTCCCACGCAGCAGCTTCTGAAGCCCTGTCAGTCCTCTTCACAGTGACATGAAGACATCACGAGTAGACGTTCAAGTATGGACATTGAAACCTCAGGGGCTGGATTTGAGTTTGAAGCCCAGCTTACTCACTCACCGGTCATGTGGCCCAGGGGACTAATGAAGACATGATTCCAGGACAGCATCTAGTACAGTCTAGTCCTCAGGAAACAGGGACTGAAATTCAACATGGATGAAACCTGAATCAACTGAGTGTTCCATGCTCAGAATGGTTTTGGTCCCCCACCCCCTACCCTTGAGACATATAAGCTCCCCTGGGCGATAGTAGTACAAGTGTTCTGAAAGGCTTTGGTGATAGCCGAAGTATGAAAAAGCAGCCTTACTGATAGTGGAAAATTCTCCTGAAAGTGGGCAAAGTGTTTCTATCAGATTATGGCCAAATTCCAGCTGGGGTGAAGGAGGTGACAGACAAAACCACTTAGTGTTCCTACTCAGTCCACAAGCTGACACTCTGATCAAGCACTTTTCCTAGCACGTGTTCTTGGAGAGCAGCTTGTTATCTGAGGCTGGGGGCCGGGGCTGCCTGCCAATCCCCGGCCTGCAACAGTGCTTTCTCATAGAGTCACATTAAGTCTGAATGGTCACAGGGAAACCTAACGTTGCTTGCAGTTTAGTCTCTGGCTGGTCTGGATCATTCATTCATTCATTCATTCATTCATTCCTCTTTCTTCTGCATCTGGGAGACTCCACACCAGGTTCCCGGGAGTGATTCTGATCTTGGGGACATGTGGTGATTCATTTTTAAAAAGAGGCTTATTTACACGACTACATCTGCTACATGCTTTTTTATCTGTTCTTTGTTGTTGCCTGGAACGACACCTGTTAAATGACCTACATTTTGCCTTCTACCTGCCCTTTAAAAGGACAGAGCAACATAAATTTACATGCACGTTGGGTAGAAGGTGCTTTATTTTCCACCAGATAAAGTATATAATATGGAATTGACAATACTCAAAAGTGCCTCTGATGATTTTTGTTAAAATTCTTCTCAACTGCCCAGTTTCTCACCATGAAAAACCAAGCACTGTCCTAGTTAAGTATCACCCACCCAAGAACTTTTACAAATGTGAACTTGCTTTCCTACTTGGTCAGCATCCACTCCCAACCTAGAAATGTTATCCTCAATATTGAAATTAAAATGGCTTTCCTGGTTAGTTATCTCCCTTTTCTCACCTGTAAATGAGAACCTTTAAAAATGATTTCTGAGACACCTTCCAGTGGCCAAACTTGTGATTCTCTGTTTTGTAAGACAGACAAATGTGTGAGTCTCTCTGTGCCCCAAACAGCAAGCCATCATTCTAACCCAAATATTATTCATTTCATTCATTAGCTTAATAAATGCTTGGTGAATGAGCGACCGAATTAATTAATGAATGCCTACTGTGTTCCCCGCCCCAGGGAACACACGGATAAATAAGACAGCTTTTGCCTTTCAGCAGCTCACACTGAAGAGAGAAACAGATGTATAAACAGAAGTGCTGCTCAGTTTAACTTTCTTTTCAGTGAGTTTTATTTACTTATTATTATAATAAACATTTTAATTTATTTAGTGCCTAGTCTGTGTCAGGCATGCTGCTGGGTGTTATACAATGAATCTTCACACTCACTCTACAAAATAGGCATTATTGACCTTATTTTAAAGATTAGAAAACCAAGGTCAGCAAGTGACAGACTTGATCTGGTTGGCTCCTAATCACGTGTTTGTGGTATGTGATTACTAAGTCATATGTGTATGATATGAGATATATGATCTTTACTGATTCTGGAAAGAAAAGCAAAATGGCACCATGATTTGATCTCAGTGGAAGGCAGCAAGTGGTGGTGTTTCCAATTCATTCGCTTAACCAACATTGATTGAACATCTTCTCAATGTCCAACTTACACTAGACACTGGGGATAAAATTAAAAAGCTAAGCATTCTTCTAATCTCCTAACGCTGTCAGTTTTTAAAAAGGATAAAGAAGGCTGGATGTGGTGGCTCATGCCTGTAATCCCAGCACTTTGGGAGGCCGGGGCGGGCGGATCACCTGAGGTTGGGAGTTCAAGACCAGCCTGACCAACATGGAGAAACCCTGTCTCTACTAAAAATACAAAATTAGCCTGGCATGGAGGCACATGCCTGTAATCTCAGCTACTCGGGAGGCTGAGGCAGGGGAATCACTTGAACCCGGGAGGCAGAGGTTGCAGTGAGCTGAGATCATGCCATTGCACTCCAGCCTGGGCAACAAGAGTGAAACTCCATCTCAAAAAAAAAAAAAAAAGAAGAAGAAGAAGAAGAAAGAAGTGTCAACTAATAATTGCAATGAAATGGGACCAATACTATGATGTACATAGCAACAGAGTGCTCTGGGATCCCAGAGAAGAGAGCAACTCACCCTGGGCTGGAGGACCTTTCAGCTGAGCATTGAGGGATAAGAGTTCACCAGGCAGAGAGGATGGAAGAGGGCATTCTAAGCAGAGGGGACAGAAAGTGCAAAAAGCTAGGGATGTGAACAGAATACTGCATTCAGGGAATACTGAGAAATTCCACGTGGCTGAGTGTAGAGGAAGCGAGTGAGCCTGGAGGCTGATGGAGCCAGCTGGAGTACTCAGTTGGGGCCATGCTGAAGAGCTGGTTCAGAATTTATCCTATGACTGATAGAGATTTTTTTAGGGGGGATAGTGACATCATCTGATTTGTTTTTTAGCAAGAGAACACTGGCTTCCGGGTGGAGCAGTGATTATCAGCCCTGGCTACACATTAGAATAATATGGGGAGCTTAAAAAAGTCCTGTGCCTATGTTGCAGACCAGAGCAATTAAACAGGGACCCAGGCATCAGTATTTTCAAGATTATTCCAATGTGCAGCCAAGGTTGAGAACTACTGGTATGGGGAATACTCCAGAGAAAAAATTGGTGGCTGGAAGGCCAGTTAGGAGACTACAGGGCAAGACCTGCAGAATACAGCCAGGACAGTGTTCTCACTTTAGTGAATGCAGATTTACCAGGCTCCACCCCACTCAGTTCCAGATTCAGTAGGTCTGAGGTAAGCCCCGAGAATTTGCATTTCTAACCACTTCCCAGGGGATGCTGATGTTGCTGGTACAGGGACCTCACTTTGAGAACCACATAGCCTGGCACTGGCTATAGAAGAAAATGTACTGAAAGGTATTTAGGAGGCAGGGAGAGGGGAATCAGGCAATTGGGAGGATGGTGATGCTGTTAACCAAAACGAGAATGGAGAAGACCTTTTTTGCTTTGTTTTTGATGTAGGGAGAAGTTTGGACATGCAGAATTTGACATATTTGTTAGAAACATCTAGGTGAAAGCACCTCGTCAAGCAGCTGGAATTACTTTTCTAACCATCAGGAAAAAGTGAGGCGAATTCCGGGACAAATTAGGACCTTAAACTTACCCTAATTGAAGATAGATATGGACCTTTATATAGCTTGAGAATATATATTACTTATAATTAGAAACCTTTGACTGTGTGTGGTGGCTCATGCCTGTAATCCCACTACTTTGGGAGGCTGAGGCGGGCAGATTGCTTGAGCCCAGAAGTTCGAGACCAGCCTGGGCAACGTGGTGAAACCGCATCTCTATTTAAAAAAAAAAAATTAGCTGAGTATGGTGGCTTGAGCCTGTAGTCCCAGCTACTAGGGAGGTTGAGGCTGCAGTAAGCCATTATTGTGCCTCTGCACTCCAGCCTGGGTGACAGAGGAGACCATCTCAAAAAAACAAAAAACAAAAAAAAAGAAAAAGAAAAACACTTTTTTTTTCTGATGACATGTTTAATTAACAAAAGACTAATGGTGTTCTTTTAGCCACTGGAAAAAAAAAGATTGTATATATATATATATATATATATATATATATATATATATATATATATATATATATATATATACAGTTAACCCTTGAACAACATGGGTTTGAACTACATAGGTCCACTTATAAGTGGATTTTCTTCTGCCCCTTCCACCCTGAGACAGCAAGACCAACCCTTCCTCTTCCTTCTCAGCCCTTTGAATATGAAGACAGAAAGTTGAAGAACTTCATGATGATCCACTTCCATTTAATGAACAGTAAATATATTTTCTCTTCCTTATGATTTTCTTAATAACATTTTCTTTTCTCTAGCTTACTTTATTGTAAGAATACAGTATAAAACACATACATAAAATGTGTGTTAATTGGTTGTTTATCTTATTGGTAAGTCTTCTAGTCAACAGTAGATGATTATTAGGTAAGTTTTTTTTGAAGAGTCAAAAGTTACATGTGGGCCGGGTGTGGTGGCTGACTCCTGAAATCCTAGCACTTTGGGAGACCGAGGCGGGAGGCTCACTTGAGACCAGGAATTCAAGACCAGCCTGGACAACACAGCAAGATTCTGTCTCTGCAAAAAATTTAAAAAATTAGCCAGGTGTAGTTGCATGTGCTTGTAGTCCTAACTGTTTGGGAGGCTGAGGTGGGAGGATGGCTTAAGCCCAGGAGGTTAAGGCTGCAATGAGCTATGATTGTGCCACTGCACTCCAGCCTGTGTGACAGAGCTAGATCCTGTCTCAAAAGAAAAAAAAAAAAGTTACATGTGGATTTTCTACTGCACACAGGGTGGGGAGTGGGGGTAGGGGGTGGGGGGCTTGGCACCTCTAATCCCTGTGTTGTTCAAGGTCAACTGTATATATCTATATGTGCCATTAAACCTTGTTAAGTATACTTAGGTCAAAATGTTTAAACTGCTTCCACCAGCTTTTTGCATTCATCTTCATACATAAAAGAAAATAAAACTTTTATTTGTCATATTGATAGTTGTCATGCTTTCTTTTTATTTTATTTTACTTTTATTTTTTATTTTATTTTATTATTTTTTTTTTGAGAGGGAGTCTCGTTCTGTTGCCCAGGTTGGAGTGCAGTGATGCGATCTCAGCTCACTGCCAGCTCCGCCTCCAGGGTTCATGCCATTCTCCTGCCTCAGCCTCCCGAGTAGCTGGGACTACAGGCACCTGCCACCATGCCCGGCTAATTTTTTTGTATTTTTAATAGAGACAGGGTTTCACCGTGTTAGCCAGGATGGTCTCAATCTCCTGACCTCGTGATCCGCCTGCCTCAGACTCCCAAAGTGCTGGGATTACAGGCGTGAGCCACCACCGCGCCCGGCTGCTTTCCTCTTATTAATGAGAAGAGTCCAAGGTTCCCCCAGTGGTAAAACACAGGGGTTGGGTTTTGTGCCTGCTGAGGACCCATCCACTTCCAGCATTCCATGAATTTGCCTTTGATTCTCTGTCAGTTTTGCCGGAAAGATCTCCGAGAGTTGGTAACACTGGAAAAGTTTTTTTGCCCATTTTAACTTTTTTAGAGTTCATTTCTATCAAAAACTAGTAAGGCCCTATTGTCAGAGCTATGTCTTAAAGGTATTTCCAAACTTGTTTCTTATTCTTCACTTGACAAGTGCTGTCACAGGGCTCCATCACTCCTAGAGTAACAGCTACCAATAAACAGAAAATTATTTCCAACCAGCTAACATGCTGTTTACTTTCCAGAAAAATTGCACTTTCCAATCTGACAGTTGATCAAGGGGTATCCCGCTGCTGTCAGCAGGAAGAAATGTTTAAACACAGAGATGGGAGTTTAAACATTTTCTCATTATCACAGAATAAGGGGAAAAAACACAAATAAATAAATAAGTAAAAATGGCATCCAGACTCTGTAACCCCCTGCTGGGAGCGTAATGAAGCTGGGTCATGTGACCTGAAGGAGTGGGCTTTTATCTCTGGCCCCAGTATCGTTACTCAAGTGACACCTGTCACATGACCCAACTTCGGTCTTTTATCTGCCTTCCCCAGGCACTCTTTTGGGGAACTGTCTTTTCCAGAGATGCGTGGCCCATTGCAGCCATTGTAGTGGGCGCTGTTCGTGTGATTAGCCTGGCCTTTTGTGTTTCCTGCCTCGAATCCGCTAGATCTTTCTCTAAACATTGAAACATAAAAAAATTACAAAATACCTACAAAACTGAAACAAAAACCAAAAAGATCTCAAAGCGGAAAAAATCAGTGCCATTATTTTATTCATACAAGTTTTCAGGAATTGGAATTGGTCTGCAGAGAAAAATATCTATATTTTAAAATTCTGATCCTCATTTTTTAATCTGTTCTTCAGAGTAGGAGGTTAGTGAAACCCAGGGTTCCTGCAGCTCTAGCCAGGCTTACCAAATGGAGCCACAGTCACAAACAGAACCAGAATCAGGTGTTGTCGACTTTCCCTCCCAACGTCATCCCCAAACCCAAACTCACTGTTAAATCTAAGTTGGTTCCATATTGTCCTCCTGCCTTCCCTTCCAGGTCAAACCCCATGGGTATTAGCATATTTAATTCCCCTGTTCCTTTTTTTTCATTTACTATCACCACCACCACCTAATTTTTATAGTGCTTACTATATGCCAGGCACTGTTTAAAATATTTTATTACTTATTATTTTTTGAGATGGAGTCTTGCTCTGTCACCCAGGCTGGAGTGCAATGGTGTGATGTTGGCTCACTGCAACCTCCACTTCCTGGGTTCAAGCGATTTTTGTGCCTTAGCCTCCCGAGTAGCTGGGATTACAGGTGTGTGCCACCACACCTGGCTAATTTTTGTATTTTTAGTAGAGACCAAGTTTCACCATGTTGGCCAGGCTGGTCTCGAACTCCCGACCTCAGGAGATCCTCCTGCCTCGACTTCCCAAAGTGCTGGCTTACAGGCGTGAGCCACAGCGCCCGGCCCAATTTATTTATTTTTTTTTGAGACAGGGTCTTGCTCTATCACATAGGCTAGAGTCCAGTGGCACCACCACAGCTCACAGCAATCTCTGAACTCCTGGGCTCAAGCGATCCTCCCACCTTAGCCTGCCAAGCAGCTGGGATTACAAGCGTGTGCCACCATGCCCAGCTAATTTTTTAATTTCTTGTAGAGATGAGGTCTCACTATGTTGTCCAGGCTAGTCTCAAACTCTTGGCCTCAAGTGATCCTCCCACTTTGGCTTCTCAAGGTGCTGGGATTACAGGCATGAGCCACCGTGCCCAGCTTCTTTAAGATATTTTAAATGTATTAATTCGTTTAATCCTCACCACCAACTCTATGAGTCAGATACTATTATCATTCCTATCTTACAAAGGAGGAAGTGAAAGCAGAGAAGGGAGGTAACTTGCCCCCAAATCACACAGTTAGTAAGTGGCAGAGACAGATTTGAACAAATGCCTGATTGTGTACCACCTGGCTCCTGATTCTGTACACCTGCTCAATGGTTTGATTATGTTTTATCTGTGTACTTTACCTCTTCTCCAGTCTCAGAGGACATGCATCTCTTACCCTCTCCCAGGCAAACATAGACTCTCAATCTCCTTTCCTTCAATCTCTGAATCTTCACTGATTCATTTATTCCACAAGTGTTTCCTAAGCACTGACTATGTGTCATGCACAATTCTAGGTGCTTGGGATATATCAGTAACAGAACATATCAAAATCATTTTTCCTGTGGGGCTTGATTTCTACTGTGGGAGATAGAAAACATAACAAATGTAATACACTGGTACATCATATATGAAAAAACAAAGCCAAAACAGAACAGGACAAGGGAGAAAAAGTGTGCTGGGTTGCAGTTGAAACATGGTAGAGTTCATTCATTCAAAAGACATTTACTGAGACTCTGCTACATGCAAGACAGTGTTCAAGGTGCTTGAGATACGCTAGTGGATAAAACAGATTCCTAGGCCGGAGGTGGTGGCTCACCCAAAGGCAGGTGGATCACCTGAGGTCAGGAGTTCAAGACCAGCCTGGCCAACATGATGAAACCCCATCTCTACTAAAAATACAAAAATTAGCCGGGCATGGTGGCATCCATCTGTAATCCCACCTACTTAGGAGGCTGAGGCAGGAGAATTACTTGAACCTGGGAGGCGGAGGTTGCAGTGAGCTGAGATCACACCATTGCACTCCAGCCTGTGTGAGAAGAGCAAAACTACATCTCAAAAAAGTATAAATAAAATAAAATAAAACATATTCTTATCTTCATGGAACTTACATTCCAGCTGGGGGGAGAGAGAAACAATAAATATCATAAATTGGTAAATCTATTATGGAGCACGACATCAAGTGATAAGATGCTTTAGAAAAATAGGGCAGGTTAAGGGGGATTGGTGTACAGGAGGCTTCCAAATTAGTGGCCCATTAAATAGGGTGGCCAGGATAGGCTTCACCAACCGGTGACATTTGGACAAAGGCTTGAAGTAGGCAAGGGAGTTGGCTGTGTGGATATTTGGAAGAGGGGTTCTAGGCAGAGGCACGAGCCAGGCAAAAACTCGAGAAGGGATCATGCCTGGTATTTTTGGATTATCTACTGATTCTTCAACTTCTTTCTCTCTTTTTTCTTCAGCTCATAAAAATGTATAATCTCTCCTATGCCAAACAAAACACGAAACCTGTCAGTCCTTCCGTGCTCTAGTGAGTCCTCCATCTTTCCTATCCTTTTATGCAACAATTTCTGAAAGATATTCCCTCATTCTGCTTTCTTACCTGTCACTGTCTCTTTAATCCATCGTGCTCTTCTATGACCACCATGCCATGGAAGCTGCTCCCTTGTAGGTTACCAAGGACAGGTAGCCTCCCAAATCCACGGCCTTTCTTTGTTCACACCTTCCTGGTGGTTTTCTCTGCAGGCTACTCAATCTTGGAACGCTCTTGTTAACTTCTGTCACACAGAATGGTTCTAGTCCCTCCCCTCTCCGCACAACACCTCCCCTTTCCACCAATTTCTAACCACTAATGCTTTGTCTCCTTTGTTGATTCTTCCATCTCCAAGCTCTAAATACTGCTTAAATAAAGCTAATATTGAGCTTTCCCAAGGTACAATTCTTGTGCTTCCTCTCTTCAGATATGTTCTCTTGGGCAGTCACATCCTGGGGACTTCAAGGACCATCAGTGTGTAGATGACACTCACTCACAGCCATCTCCACGTCCTGTTCCCAGGCCGGCGGTTCTAATCATCTTATGCACACCAGTACCTCAAACTCAAGATGTCTAGAAGTGAGCTCATAACCGTCTCTCTCAAAGGAAGTACCCAACTGTGAATGATGTAACAAGCCATCCAGGCCCCCAGATTGGAAACCTTATGCCCATTCTTCACCTCCCACTGCCCCCAACACCACACGGCCCAATGATCAATTAGTTGCTGTGGCAGATTCTATTGGTTGTCTGCCCAACAGTCTGTCCCGACTTCTTCCTCAGTCATCTCCTCTGTGATAGGGCAGACTGATAGGTGGTCATGACTATTTAGGAATTTGCCCCTCAGGAGAGGTGGTCCTGCTTCAGATCAGGAGGAAATCCTGAACATTCTAAAGCAGCTATCGAATTCCCCTTGCTAGCATTTCAGAAGCAGGTATGTGACAGTCTTATCAGAAGATATAAAGAGAACTGTGCTTTCTTGCTTTCTTTCCTTTTTTTTCTTTCTTTCTTTTTTTTTTTTTTTTTGTTAAGACAGTCTCACTCTGTCACCCAGGCTGGAGTGCAGTGGCATGATCTCAGTTCACTGCAACCTCTGCCATCCAGGTTCAAGCAATTCTCCTGCCTCAGCCTCCTGAGTAGCTGGGATTACAGGCACCTGCCAACACGCCCAGCTAATTTTTGTAATTTTAGTAGAGATGGGATTTTACTACCTTGGCCAGGCTGGTCTTGAACTCCTCACCTCGTGATCCACCCGTCTCAGCCTCCCAAAGTGCTGGGATTACAGGCGTGAGCCACTGCGCCCAGCCTGTGCTTTCTTTTAAAATGAAGCATACAGGAAGAGATGGTCTCTTCTTCAACTGGATGTAGACATATCTGCATATGATGCTGGGAATTGTGGCAGGATCTTGTGACCATGATAGGAACCAGCCTGAGGACTAAGGCAATGAAGGACACTGAAGATGCAGTGAAGAAAGATAGAAAGACCCTACGTCCCTGTGATGTCATTGACCCATCAGATGAATCAATCTTGGAGCCACCTACTTCTAGGCTTCTTATGTAAAATAATACCCTTGTGGGTTAAGCCATTGAATTGGGGTTTTCAGTTCATTACAACCCAAAACACCCTGTTCTTTCTTTTTTATTAGTTTTATTATTATTTTTTTTAGCGATGGAGTCTTGCTCTATTGCCCAGGCAGCCTCAAACTCCTAGGCTCAAGGGATCCTCCTACCTCAGTCTCCTGAGTAGCTGGCAATACAGGTGCATGTCACCTCTCCCAGCTCCTGTCCTTTCTATAATACTGTCACATTGGGGATCTTTTGTTGTTGTTGTTGTTGTTTTTGAGAAGGAGTCTCACTCTGTCGCCCAGGCTGGAGTGCAATGGTGTGATCTCGGTTCACTGCAAGCTCCAAGTAGGTGGGACCACAGGCGCCCGCCACCAAGCCTGGCTAATTTTTTTTTGCATTTTTAGAAGAGACGGGGTTTCACCGTGTTAGCCAGAACGGTCTCAATCTCCTGACCTCGTGATCTGCCCACCTTGGCCTCCCAAAGTGCTGGGATTACAGGCGTGAGCCACCGCGCCCTGCCCGGGGATCTTCTTATCCCTTCAATTGCCTGCCTGGCACACTCTCCCTTCATGACAAAGCCTATGTCATCTCCTCTGTGATAGGGCAGATTGACATGTTGTCATTGGATCTTATATTTATTTACAGCTAACTCTCCATTAGACTATATGATCCTTGGGGAAACTGTTAATTTTTGTATTTCTATTGCCTGGATGTTTGTTGAATAATTAATGAGAAGGATTATTTTACATCTTGGTTCCATTTTGGTCTACTTACAAGATTTTCTTGTAATATCCAATGATATTAATAGTTCTTACAATAGAAACAATTGTGTATAAGGATGATAATAAACTTGGATGATTTCATTACTATGCACATGAGATCTTATATCAGGTGCACATCAACCCACTTAGGGATAGAGAAGAGTTAGAAGTAGAAAATGTGCAGAAAATCAGGGAGGATGGACTAAAATAAAACTGCCCTCGGAATTTATTAATGAAAGGTGTCAAAACTAATCAAAAGGTGTTCATCTTCTCTGTCAATGTAACCGTCAGGAAAAGACCTTCTGAGTTGTTTGGTTCTAAGAAGTGTAACTTTTCAGAGTGATTTATTTTCTTCCAGCATCCACTGGAGGCTCTCAGAGATTTTATTTTTAAAAGGCAAAATCTTTAGAGACTAACTTCAAGGTGGTATTAAATGCACACTTAAAATATCAAGAAATGTTAGAAGACATCACTATCAACTCTCGTATAAATCCTGACACTCTATGTCAGCACCGTTCAACAGAACTTTCTGCAATAATAGAAATGTTCTGTATCTGCATCATGCAATATGGCAGCCACCAGCCTCTGAGCTATTGACATTTGAAATATGGTCAGTGTGAATGAGAAACTGATTTTTACATTTAATAATTAATTCAAATGTAAATATAAAGTCACATGTAGCTAGTAGCTACCACGTTGGATAGTGCAGGTGTGTGTTTTATGTGTCCTGGTAGCAGTCAGGATAGACTAGGTTATACTATAGTAACAAATAACCTCAAAATATTAGTGGCTTAAAACAATAAAGTTTTACTTCTCTCTTCCACTACACCTTCATCATATGTCATCCAGGAACTCTGTTCTACATCTCCTCATTCTGGGATCATCTTAAACACTGCTGGTCACTGGAACCGAGGGAAAGTAAAGTGAAATTTGAGTCAGATGTGGTGGTGCACACCTGTAGTCCTGACTACTTGGGAGGCTGAGGTAGGAGGATTGCTTGAGCCCAGGAGTTTGAGTCTGTAGTGTGTGATGATCACAACCTGTGAATAGTCACTGCATGCCAGCCTAGGCCACATAGTGAGACCCCGTCTCAAAAAACAGAACAAAAAAAAAAAAAAAAAAAGGAAAGAAATTTGGAGGGTCTTATACTGGCAATCAAATGAATGCTTGGCCCAGAAGTGACAGAGATCACGTCCACTCACAATTCATTAGCCAGAACTAACCACGTGGCCATATCCACCCATCAGAGAGCCAAGAAGTGCGACCCCATTATGGATGCCTGGAAGACAGAAATATTAGGAGAATAGCACTAGTGGCTAAGTAAGCATCACTAAAATAACTAGTGCCTCAAACTGAACAAAAATAAATTATGTTTTTTAAAGTCTGGTGTTGGTCTATACGGAAGAAACAACCAAAACACGGGATGAAAAAATATGCACAAATTCCAGGAATGTTTATTTGATAAAATTGAGAAATGAAAGATTTAAATGTTTTAGAGTCTTATAACATTTATTAAGCTTTTGAATAGGTAAATCCATTAAAGAAGGAAGCACAAGCATAATCATATGCATAAGGTATATGCATATGCATAAGCATAATGTTCCTCCATTATAAAGAGGATAATTCTGTCAACTTCCACTTAATAAAATCAATTTTTTAATAACAAAATTTGTCTATTCATTCCTGCAGCAATAGTATCTAAGCATAATTCCAAGTATAATCTGTACACAGCTGTTCCAAAGTCATTATTGGAGAATCTTGGAATTAGACGGGACATTGGAGGTCAGCTCTTCTAACCTCCAACATGGGAATCCCTCCTATAGCTCTCATATCTTCAGAGAGGCAGAGGAATCCCACTACTGTTGTGGGAACTCTTTGTATTGATGGACAGGTAAAACTGCTCAAGAACTCTTGCTGATGCGTCAACAGTAGCATCCCTGAGCTTTCGATTGGTACTAGCATTATCTCTGGGGGACAGCGAAATTATACTATTAATTCATATTGTACTTAAAAGTGCCAATTTCCACTAAGTCATAGCCTTTTTTAAGTTGTAGCCCAAAGTGTAAGAATTTAAGTCAGATGAAATTTGATGCAAGTAAGTGTTGTTTTGGCCTGCTGTTCATTGGCTTCTAGCAAGGTGTCTTTTGAATCATGATCCAATACTAAATAGCAGCTGCCTCTGCAAGAGTTGTGTATTCTCTAAATTCGATAGGTGTCAGGAACATTGGAGAACCAGGTCTGAGGTTTGCATCTTCACTCTGGCATGCTACTATGAAGGAGTTACCTAACTTCACTGAGCCTCAGTCTCCTCTTTTGTGAAATGGAAGTCATAAATTAATAATAATAGTACTTACTTCAAGGAGTTGTATAAAGTTGTCCATGTACTCTGATTTATTCGAGTAATTAATAAAAATATTTGACCAGAATAGGACTCAAGACTGAACCTTGTAGCACACCACGGCTGGCCTTTCTCTGGGTTAAATAAACACCATGATTTGAGTACATATATCTGCTCCATCACCCAGCCTACACTGTTTCATCTTTCAGGTATAGCTGGACAGTCTTTGTCAAATGCCTTACTAAAATCAGATACTTACTCAGGCAGGTTGATTTGGGCTACCCATGTGTCTTTTTCCTTTTTCCATCTCAGACATTGGGGGATAGTTACTATTTTTTAATTATCTCTTAATTAGTTCCTCCTTGCTCTTCCAAAGGATATACAGAGGTCTCTGGTTTCTAGGCTGCTACATTTCCTGAGATGATCCCTGGACAGAAGCGATTTGAGTTTCCCTGGCTGCTTTTAGAAGGAGTCATTGTATAAAACGGCACACGTGTTAGCTAAGACAGATCTCTCATTTTACTTGAGGGGTGTGTGTGTGTGTGTGTGTGTGTGTGTGTGTGTGTGTGTGGTGGTGCAACAGGGCTTAAATTACATCTTTGGAACTCTGCTCCCAACTACTTATTCAATATCTCCACCATCAAACCAGCGCTTAGATTCCCCATCACTGTTGCCATCATCACAGACAATTAAGATTCAGTAGGAGGAGATAGCCTGAAATTCATTTCTAATCAGCAGCCAAATCCAAACTTCTAAAATATGGGTTGGGTGGTAATACGTTCTGATAATCCAGTTTAGTGAAGGAGGAAGTGCCCCCTACAAAATAATAATAAATAGTCCTCAGGAAGTCCTTTTGTTAACAATGTTATCCAAGAAACCATCTTTTTCTAAACTTTAGGCTAGTTTTCTCCTTGCCACAGAAATCCTTTTGTTGGGAGAAATTGTAAGTGAACACAGGAGTGGCAGGTCTCTGTAAGCACCAGCTCTGTCTCCAGATTCTTTTAAATTGTCAGTCTCTTATCTGTCTTTTTGGGAAATCAACCTTCTAGCCCAGGAATCTCTTAACAAATGCCAAAATGAATGAAGTTATTCAGAAGCCCTCTTCTTAGACTTAGTTTATGTCCAGTTTTTTTAAATCAATCACTTAAATTCTATGCAAATGACAATAGCAATAACCTTCCACTGAATTTTCTTCCACTATTATGTACTATTGCCTTGAACACCATATTTAAACTATTCCAGGTCATAGGTGAGGACATAAAGCCCCTTGTTCAGTATGGAGTTAGATTTGAAGCTTCTTAGTAAGCTGAAGCAAATGAAAACCGAAACTGCAGAAATACAGCCCTGGAAGTGAATGAAAAATAAACACAATCAAAATAATGAACAACAGAGTATTGATGAAGGAAAATCAGTTAAACATTGCAAAGTTATTGATGGCATTATATATATTGATAGAAAAGGTAATGATAAAACATAAGGGAGGCAGCATCTTAACCCTGGTTATAAGAACTAAGAAAGCTTTGCAAATAATCAAAATCTATCTCCAGATGGCTTCTATAAGCTATCATTGTAACTCACCACCACCAACTGCTCAAAACATGCCAAGCTTTGAAAGAATATGTGTAAAGCCCTTACTGTAGTGCCTGGTGTGTGGTATCTATCCAGTAAATTTTAGTTCCCCTCTATTTCTCTGTTGTAGACATCAGTACACATTTTTTCCCTGCCTGAAACCGACATTTTGAAGCTCTTTCAAGAATCTTAATTTTGAGGCATTGCTGCCAGTTACGAAGTCCTAATACGCCAATTTACATTTTGACTCTCCTGAAAAGTGAATATTTTAACATAAATTCAATTCACTGGAAAAGATTTACAGGCCCCAAGTGTCCATGTGATTACTGCTTTTAGTCTCTCTAACTCTAGCACTCTAGATTTTGCTGATCCCAAGCCATTTATTAAACAGTTTAATTGCTCTAGCTTTTCCCTCTTGTGGCTCATCTCAGTTTTATCTCCTTACATTCGTACCAAGGCCTAGGGACATCATGAGCTTACTCCAGCAGAGGCAAAATCTGCCTTCTCCCTTCTTCAATTGCTGGCGCAGGCCACAAGCTTGACATGCTGCATTTAATTGATTTTCTATTGTGACCAATTTATGTCTACAGGTAGCAATTTTTTGTGGAAGGTCACTGTAGATCAGAAAGGCAAGGTTATCTCCCTACCTTCCAGCTGCTTAAGAAAATAAAATAACAACAATAGAAATAATAATAATGTTAATGGAGCACCACCATCTGAGCCCATTTCCATTAGTATCTTTGATAATTTTATGAAGGGTAAGGCCCTCCACTTCACAGAATGCAGCTAAAGTTCATTCTGTCCTTATAACTAGCAGGTTTAAAATAATTATACAGTAAAAGCTCTGCTCTAGAGAATATTTTGCTTGGGAAATACCATATTATATCACCAATTGTAATTCTAAATGTATATTGTCAAAATACAAACTTAGGTATTTCATAAAATGCTCTGAGGATCAGCTATAATTTTAAACTTCCCTGCTCTTTGAAGACAAGACAATGATCTTAGAAGAGCCAGGAAGCCGATATCTTTAATGTGTATATGCCTTTAAATCGTGACAGCCAAAGATAGAGATCAAAAGAAAGAATGAAGAGTGAATCCAGCCATGTGAGTGATATTGTTGGGGGGTGTGTAGGGAGATACCGGTGGTTACCATCTAGGCCCCTGGGAAGCACGGCCAAGCTGTGGTTGTCAAATGGGTGGCCAAATCATAGGATAATGCTTGTGGTTTGGAATATAGCCAGGGTCACCTAAAGGGCGGGCAGGCTGGCTGGCAGGCTGTGCATGTGGGCTCTACCTTGATTCCTCTATCTTGTTTGCTGTCCCATCTACCACCATGGAAGCCCCAGTATGGGAAGTGCTCTTGAGACATCTATAGGGTTGTCTATACTACGGTGACTTTTGGAGTTGTCCCACCTGGCTTCCTGTGCCTGCTAGCAGTACTCATTTAAGGGTATGGTGGGTTTGGGAAAATCCTTCACAGCACCCCTTCCTCCTCAAGATTACCCTGGAAGGTAATTTGTGCCACAAAGGTGACCAACCATCCTGGTTTACCCAGGACTGCACCAATTCTAGTACTGAGCATCCTACATCCCGGAAACCCCTTTGTTTTGGGGAAAACTTTGTTTGTTACCCTTACCAGGACAAAATTTTGCCCTGTCAGTTGACAGTGAGAATTCCCTAGTTAACGGAAAACAGTTGTTTTCAATTTGCAAAAGTTGCACCTTAGAGTCTATACAAATAGATTTCCAGCTGGGCACTGTGCCTCACGCCTATAATCCCAGCACTTGGGAGGCTGACGCACCAGGAGTGCAGTGGTGCGATCTTGGCTCACTGCAACCTCTGCCTCCCTTCGTCCCACCTGTGTCAGCTGAAGATCTCACACCGATGAGGAAGCATAGAAGTTCTGTCTTAGGAGCTTTATCCCTGCTCCGGGAGTGGAAGAGAAAGGCAATGCATGTAATTATTCTCTTTGCCCAGCCCAGGCAATGGAGGCCTGAAGAGGCAAGGCCACCTGTCCTAGAGCTGGCGAAGAAGAACTAGAAACAGCACAGAGGTGCTCTGAATCCCTGAGCAATGTCCTCTCCACCCGGCACCAATTGCTTTTCAATTTGTTCCATAAGGAACCTCACTGTTGCAACCACTTACCTGGAAGAACCTTGGTGATCTCGCCCTTTCTTTTCACCAGCATTTGCTAAACTGGGCTGGGTGGTGACCTTTCTGGTAGGAGGCCAAAAGGTCACACATTTCTGGCTTTAGCCTCACTCCTGAAACTGTAAACAAAGACTCCTCTGTAGGAATGAAAAGAGAGAAGCACCAATATGTTATTTCCTGGGATCTTCTGTGGTATATTTTTGTCTGTTGTAATATTTGCCACCTGAAGAAATGTCAAAACATGAGCCAGACTTATTTACTAATAATTCATACTGACTCATAGATGACTCACTTTACTGAATCCAATAGTTGGCAAGTGCCTTCTATTTAATTCAATTTAATGCATATTTACCAAGTGAACACTTGTGCAAGGCAGTATGCTACTTGTTGAAGATGATAAAAATAGGAATACACACACATACACATACAAAGAAGGACCAAAAGTGAGGCACAAACAAAGGATTATGATAACCTCTCCCTCCAAGTCTATGGAGCACAAACAGAGCATAGACAAGGTGCCCTTTGAGACTTGAAGGATTACTATGCCCTCAATAGTGAAGGACTGCCAAGGAGGATATTCCCGGTTGAGGGATCAGCATGAGCAAAGATATGAAGGAAGAAAAGTGTTTGAGGGAACTGCAAGTCATCTTGCATGGTTAGAACAAGACAGACTGGGAGATAAAGTTGGAAAAATAGTTGGAACCAGATGGTGAAGGGAACTAATATCATGTCAAGGAGTCCGGACGTTAGTTAGAGGGTGATGTTCGAGAGTGATAGGCAATGAGCATCACGTTGGGCTAGATATGTTTTAGGAAGTTTCCAATTTTGTTAGATACATTAGGCAATCTTTTTTTTTTTTTTTTTTCTTTTTTTGAGACTGAGTCTCACTCTGTGGCCCAGGCTGGAGTGCAGTGGGGTGATCTCGGCTCACTGCAGCCTCCACTTCCTGGGTTCAAGTGATTCTCCTGCCTCAGCCTCGCAGTAGCTGGGACTACAGGCAAGCATCACCACATCTGGCTAATTTTTGTATTTTTAATGGAGACAAGGTTTCACCACGTTGGCCAGGCTGGTCTTGAACTCCTGACCTCAGGTGATCCACCTGCCTCAGCCTCCCAAAGTGCTGGGATCATAGGCATGAGCCTCGGGGCCTGGCTGGCAATCTATTTATATAGACTCTAAGGTGCAACTTTTGCAAATTGAGAAAAAAAAAACTATTTGAAAATATATATACTACCTTTGATGTCCAAATCAGGTATTTGGTTAGCTCAGAATACTGGCAGTTCGCATTTTCCCAAGTGCCTGTGTTTGTTAAGTGCTTGCTACTCCTGAATGCTCACTACACTAAAGCTACAAGCCAGTTCCTCCAAAAGTTGACATTGCAAGGGGCTTATCTGAAAAGTACGGAAAATAAAACTTCCTGGCAGATTGCTGTAAGTTTAAAGAAGATAATATATGCAAAACACCTTGTGTTAGTTTATGATACACAATATGTTTTTAATAAATGGTAGCCATTGTTACAAGTATTAGCACAGATATCTGAGAAAAATAGCAAGAGGCAGCAGCCACATTGTCACCAAAGCACATCCGCAAAATTTACTCAGGGCCCCTTTCCACTTGGGCATTGCTTTTCCCAGGTTCACAATTTGCATAAATCTGGGGTGCTCAAAATATCTCACAATTTAACAAAAAGAGAGCCTTCTGTTATTACTGCACCAAAAGCATAAAATGCCTTAAATAATACTGTTTGCTGGAAGCTGCTCACACCCAAAGGGAAGAAATAAACTTGCCAGCTCTGCCTCGCCTGGCCTAAACTTCTGCCCTTAAATGCTGTGGGTAATCTGGGGTCTCGTTGTCTTGTATTTGGAATCGCATATTCCAAATAGGCTGGAAAGGGGAGCCATCATACCATTTGTTGATATGCATAAGACATTTTCACACGGATATTATAATATGCAATTTTGTATTCTACTTTCTATTAGATCTTGTCATAGCATAGACAGTTAAATGGCTAAAATAAACAGTGCGTATACTTTACCAATTATTCTCAAATCAACTCAAATCCAAACCATTTGGGGAACTTCTCTCGGGGAGAAGTATCCTCTTGCCTTGGGGACAGTGGCATGAAAAGCTGGGATTTCCCTCCGGCTTCCTTGCCCCTCAAAAGCAGCAGCTCCTCAAAAGCAGGGAGGGAGGGAGAGAGAGAGAGACACTATCTGGCAGAACATGCTGGGAAGGCAACCGGTTAATCAAAAGGATTCCAATTTGGCTGTGGACTGCCAGACTCTCCTTCCCAACTCATAGAAAAAGAAAAAGGAGGAAGAAAGAAAGAAAGGGAAATAAAAAACGAAAAAAGCTGCAGCGCGGCTCTCCTTCAGCAATCTCACAAATGCAAAACCTTCCACTCTGGTGACTCCTCATTAGCTTCCCGAGGCTGACAGCATAATTATCGCAGCTGCTTCACTCTTAGAATAAATAAATATGAAAGCGGGTGTTTAAAAATTTTTTGAGAAGGGAAATTCAGTCATCTAGACAGTCGGCAGGACAAGTTTATTTAAAACTTTTAGATTCTTATGTATTTAGATCATTTCGGAACGAGATAATGAGATAGTTGTCTTTTTAGTCTAATTGAGTTCCTAAGCTCATGGCTGTTGGCTGTCACCCCTTTCAAACTTTGCTTTAACTTTCCTTCCTTTAGAAATCTGATCCTGGTGTCTCCATTTACTCTTCCTGGGCTGATAACCTGAAGGCTCAGTGCACTGGAGTGCAGAAAGTGACTTAATGGGATTGAGGGGCTAAATAACCTTTCACAGGAAACAAGATAATCAAATCTCTTTTACTTGCCCATAATCGCTAAAAGAGAAAGCACAAGCAAAAAAAAAAAAAAAAAAGGTTGAAAATTAAGCTATCATTTCAAAATGTCTTGTAATCTTCCGTGTCACGTGGGTTTTGCACTACTCTCCCACATCATCAATCCATCAGCTGGAGATGTTTAGTGCATTCAATTATTCAAAGTGCACACATCCTCGTGATTATGCGGTAATTTTAGCTCATGTGTATGTATAGAGAATTCATATCTTCAAAGCCCAGAGGATCACACAGCACTTTAAATTGAAGTTGCTAACTAACACGAAGTGCACTTAAAACTCTGACTAGGGGCACAATACACATACATTTCCGATTAAAGCAGATGATCTTTCCTTTTAAAATTAATTATGCCTATTTATTTTTTCCTTTCCCTCCTGCCCTTCATTCTCCCAGGACCAAATTTATATGAACCCTTGCATTCGGTGAGTTAGAAGCATTATAAAAATAAATATTCTGTCAACCTGGGGTAAAGAAAACTAGTGTTAACCCATCATGCAGATGGAGAAACTGAGGTTTATTACAGCCAAAACACATTATGTTGGGAAACAAAAAAGAAGAAAACTCAGGTCCTTTGACTCTCAATCCACAGCTCAGACTGCCTGTGCCATTTTGTTTTAACTTATTCTTTTAAACAACTAAGACAATATAACACCAGTTTAAAGAAAGCTCTGAGAAAGGAAAAGAAATGACCTACAACCCCCCTAAACTAGAATAGCATTTTTATTTTGTACACTACCTTTCAGTTTTGTTCATGTGCATATTAATTTTCAGAGATACTTTATAATATGCAATTTTGTATTCTAGTTTCTTATAGCTCATGTTACAGCATAAGAACTTTCATAATATCACACAATTCTATTAATGATCATTTAAAATGGTTACATAGTACTGTATGTTGAGTCAATATACCAACATTTGTCCAATTGTTTCTCTGGTGTTTAACAGTGACATTGCTTCTTTTTATTTAAAAAATTGTAAAACATTATAGACAACACTGCAATGAACATTTTCATTAATCTAGGTTTTAGGGTTTTCCCCCCTATTCAATTATTTCTTTGGATAATTTCCAGGAACAAAGGTATAGGGTATAAGGGTATGATCATTTTTATGGCTCCCGATATGCATGCTATAACACTTTGCAAAAGTTTCAATACCATCAGCAGAGAATCATTTTACCACAATCTCATCAACACTGGGAGCTATTAGGTTACAGGAAAAAACAACTAATTTAACGGTAATTTGTATTTTTTTAATCCCTAGTAAAGCAGTCAATTTATTCCATGTGTTGCTGTGCTCTTTTTGTTTCCTCTTGCATAAATTGCTATTTTATGCCTTCAACTCATTTTCCACTGGATTCCTTGATGTTTTCTTATAAAACTGAATGAGTCACAGGTGAAACAAAAACATTTATCACCATCGATTAAGAAATCTTGGCCAGACAAGGTGACTCACGCCTGTAATCCCAGCACTTTGGGAGGCCAAGGCAGGTGGATCACCTGAGGTCAGGAGTTTGAGACCAGCCTGGCCAACATGGTGAAACCCTGTCTCACTAAAAATACAAAAATTAGCCAGGCGTGGTGGCACAGGCAGGTAATCCCAGCTACTCGGGAGGCTGAGGCGGGAGAATTTCTTGAACCTGGGACATGGAGATTGCAGTGAGCCAAGATCATGCCATTGCGCTCCAGCCTGGGCGACAAGAGCAAAAGTCCATCTCAAAAAAAAAAAAAAATCTTAAAACCCAAGGCTGATTGCATATATTATTACAAGAAAAGAAAAGAAAAGAAAATAAACTAAAGTAAGATGGCATTGAGGAAGAAGTTGGTCCTGGGGTGTAAATCTCTATTCAACATAAATTGAGCCCTCTTAATTGTGAGATATTAAACACGCTACCTGGAGATGTGTGGAATCTTTCCCAGAAAAGCTTTAAAATAAACACAGTACATGAGAGAGTGGGAGGAGCACAGAACTGGGCATCAAGATCTTGGTTCTAATCTTGATTTTGCAGCTAAGTTCCTATGTGATCTTTAGCAAGAACAATGAATAGTAGGAAAGGAGTAGCTTTTAGGAGTCAGATTTGAAGTAAAATCTTGGCTCTACAACTTTCTAGCTGTGTGACTTCAAGCAATTAGCCTACCTGACTTCCAGCTGTCTAATCTGTAATATGAGGATAACAATTCCAGCCTCACCAATTAGTACATAGATTGATAATTTATATAAAGCATATAGATGTCCAATAAAAGGCAGGTACGATTATTCTTCCCTGGGCATCAGTGACTCAGCTATATAATGAAGGTATGGAATAAGTAATCTTTAAGATCCTTTATAAATAACTCTTTTCTGAATTATTTATCTTTACTTGGAGACTCAGCCATGAACGTAACAAATTTAACCAACTTAAGGGCTTGGTAGGGCTGAGGGACTTGGTTTTCCCAGACTTCTCCCAGCAACACAATGCTATGCAACCCCATAAACCACGTCTCAACCCAGTATCTCCTCTAACATATTGAAATGGATGGAGAACAACTTTGTGCATAGAAGGTGAGGAAGTGTGTTATGGAGGACATCTCCAAATTCGCTTCTTAAGGGCTGATTAATGGAGGATTTAAAAGGTGGACAGATTGGTCTGAGTTACGTTACAAACTCCTAGAAGTAGCACAGAGTCAAGAGGATGGCTGAGAATCTTCCCTCCCTCTTTTCCAACATCCCCAGCCCCTGAAACCTGGCCTCATAGAATGACAAAATATTCTGGTTCAACTTTGAATAGAATACACAAAAAAACCAATAAACAGAATAGGTTTGAAATTACGTGGAAGCATTCAGAGTGAAACTAAGCTTGATTAGTACATGTTAAAGAATGTTTAAATTGTTGCAAAAAGGCATACGATGGTAAGAAAAACTACAATGGTATATGAGTTAAGACTGAGCCACTATGATTAAAAAGAAGACAACTTCAGAATGATCTTAGATGGTATTGAGAGGAACACGACATTCCTTTGCCCGTATGCCCTTCCTCTCCAATCATCCAGACCCATCATCTTTCAAGGCCCACTCACAAAATCATCCTGGATCCCCACAGCTGGAGTTAATCTCACCTCCTTCAAACACTTAGAGCACTTTATTTGTATACTTGATCTGCAGCTGTTTATATACTTGTCTTATTTCCTAAAGGACCGTAAGCTCTTTGAGGACAGGGTCTATGACTAATTCATTTTTGTATCCTTTAATATCACACCTCATGGACACTCAGTAAACCTCCAATGAATGAATGGAACATGATTCTCCCACCATGCAAGAAATTTGAGTCTATGCTGCCTCCATATTCTCAGAGATAAGCAAAATAATTGGAACAGATTCAGAAGAGAACAATAAAACAAAATGACTAAAAAGTGGGAGAAACAGAATTTGTATTTGGAAACAAAGGTTAAAGGAATTCAGCCTAAAGTGGCCTTTGGGAAGTGATATCATAGGGACCTTCCAATATATTAAGGAGATAACACTCAAAGAAGGCCTGAAGTTATTTTATTGAACCAAAACAAAACACGACTCAGATTTTAACAGGGCAATGAGGCATGCTGAAGAACTTTCGGAGTATAGATATCGGGATGGTGTGATCAAAGGTAGAGGTAAATGCCATGCTTTCTTCCATCCCTATGTGTATATAAGTATACTCTAACAATGGGGGCTGTGGTACAGCATTTTTGCAAAATTACTTGTGAAACAATTGCAAGCTTTTTAGATTTTCTCCCCCTAAGATGCTAAAACCTGTTTTAAAGGAGAAGGGGATTTAGTCCAGGAAGGAATGGGAGACTCAAGTATGAGACTTGGCTAGCAAGCAAAATGGGACCAACCCAGAGAGAGAGAGAGAAAGAGAGACAGCCTTTGATGTCCTGACGATCAAGGACCATGGCTTAAAGACCAGACTCTTAAATCACGTGTCATTTACTGCCTCAGATAAAAAATACTTTTCTGGATCAGTGTCTGTAGTTCAAAATGGCTAGGTTCCAAAATCAGTCTTAAATTTCCAAGGGTAACATTTGGAAGGTTTCCTGAAAGAACAGAGCGGAGCCAGTTTTAAGAAGGGGCAGCTTAATGATTTCCTACTACCCCCACCCCCAAATCATTAAACAGTGTTCCTTTCCCAGAGCCCAAGTTCATGCTGAGGGCAAAGAGAATTAAATGAAGAAGCTGAACCTGCAGCTAAGATTAGAGAGTTGCCAAGGGCCTAATTTTAGGTCCTAGCTGCTCCAGCTGACGTCCTGCCCTGCTGGCTCAGCCACGAGGACCACAAGTGTGGCCATAAGCCGGTGTCTGAGTGGGAAGAGCGACTCCCTGGCCATCTGCAAAAGCAATTAGCTTGCTGTTGGCTGTGTTTTGAGAGGGACTACCAATAATTTCTCCTTCAACAAGTGTTTCTTCAGGTGTTCACGAGTCAATAAGGGAAAATGTCAGAACTTGGCAGAAGTTCCCACATGCTTGCCATTCTAATATTCACACTTTTCCACTTCAGGTGCTGTCCAAAAGGAAACTAATCCTGGAATTCCTGGTTTTCATGGCAAATAACCCCCTGATAAATGCCCTTTGGCTCTAAGCGTACTGCCACAACCTAGGGAAAGCATTGTTCGGGACTTCTCAGCGTCATGAAAATAGAGATGGACTGGAACAATTCTTTCATTTTGTGTGGAATTTCTATGCCGCTCCTACACTGGGATTTAGGCTGTCCTTCCACTCTCCACGTATTTCCCAGTCCCAGGCTTTATGCTTTAATTGTCTTCTTTAGAGGGCAGACAATAAGAGCTGGCATCTTCCAGATCAAAGGGGAAACAGAATATATTTTAAAGTGACAACTCTGTTATCCTGCAACCAGAATAAAATCAGAATAATAAAATGATATAAATATAAGCCCCTAAATAATTTTATACTGAAATGCCACCAGAGAGCAAAATTTCTTGCATAATTATGGCAGAGAAACTCTCCTTACAAATCACTCACAAGAGCATGCCGATTTTTGCACAATTCTCATGCCTGGGGCAGCCCTCCTCAGGGATGGAGTTTCTATGTCCCTGCAGATTGGGAACTGTGATTACCCACTGGTGTGCTCTGTCTGCAAAGGAGGCTGTTAATAAAGGCTCATTGCCAGGGGCAATGAAAAAGCAGGCTGGCACTGCCAGGCCAAGGACCGCATCTCTTAGTAGATAATGTGCTGGTGGTGAGAGCCACTGTCACGAAGGTGCACAAACCAGCCCTGGCTGCTTCTGTCTCTTCCTCTATTTTTCTTTCCTGGTAGCTTTGCTTTTTCTATCTACTTGTCCATCTGTCTATATACATATTTCTGCACACCCACCACCCTGTCACACACATACACAAGCACACACACATGCTCGTGCACTCATGTGCACGAGCACACACACACAGAAGCACACACACCCAATCTTGCCCCCGCCTTTCCCTGTCTCTTGGCACCGGCGCTTTCATCTTCTCCCTCGGGGATTCGAGATGTCGCTGCAGGAAATGCTTGTCCGCCGAGGCAGCAGCAGCAGAGCCCTGTGGCTTTGACAAACCTCATTTAATTGGGAGGAAGCCAGGAGAATTTGAAAGAACTGAAACATCCACGAAACTCCTTTTATCAGGCATAATTTAAACTCTGCATGGAAAAACCCCTATATGTATAAAGAAAAGTCAACTTCCCTCCTGCTGTGAGCACTCCTGGTTTCCCCCGCTAGTGCAGGCAGCCTCCTACAAGATTCCATCTTTTCATTTTTCTAAAAGTGTCAAAGTAGATTTGGGCTCTGTGACTGGGCGAACAGGGAAGGAATACAGATTGTTCTCTCTGTCTCTCTCTCACACACACACACACACATACGCACACACACATATACACACATACACACACAACCTTAGATACCCATGCACCACGGCCCCTCTGTTGGTGGCTTTGCTTTTGGGTCAGCCAGGAAAAATCAAAACCCAAGTTTCTAACAACACATCAGTTTGGACAGTGATTGTTTCTTCCTAATCATCTTGCGTCAAGCAAAAGCTGGAGCCTAGAAAACTCTGAAGATCCCCAGCAATTGTCAGCATGTGGAATAACAGATCCTAAAGGAGGGCCAATGGGGAAAGTTTCTTTAAGTGGAGAGAAGGGAGTGTGTGTGTGTGTGCGTGTGTATGTACATCCAAGCGTGTACACTTGCATGAAGTAATAGAGTTATAAGTCCCAAGTCTGACAGGAGAAAGCTGAAAAGGAACAATCTAGGGGCTTGGACTGGGAAGAGGGGATTGGGATGGGAGTGGCCGGGGAGGAATGGGGCTGAAGTGGGGGCAGAGGTACCAGGAAAGGAGTGAGAACTGTGGATCTGCCTGCAATGTCTTTTGTTCCACCCATATGCCTCTCTCCTCCTTCCAAATTCCACTTTAGATTCACCTCCAGTCTAATCCATCTCATTTGAATTCTTGTTCCTCCAAATAATTGCCTTCAACACACACATAGTCTCTGCACATCTGCAGTTGATTATGCACAGATTTTTTGCTGTTTAGATATGATGTGTGCTGATATGTGTGCGAGGGTGCCCCGTTTCCTCTTCCTCACCCTCTTTTCCTCCCACTTCATAAGAACCTGGAGGCCAAGGACAAGTCTCTTGTTTTCCTCAACTTTTTATAGCACTCAATATGTTCTTGACACTTAATGGCAATTTAATAAATACTAATGACTGACTCTTTCTACAGGGTTAAGTAAGACATTAACCCCAGTTGTATGATTATGGTTATTTTTGGAGATCCTAAATGACTCACTTTAGTCATAAAACAGAATGCCTCAGCAAGTCCCAAACTAAGCGCTTTGGACTGCTGCAGGACGATGTCCTAGACACAGAGGAGCTGCGTCTGCAAACTCTGGCAAGGCGGACCAGGCTGTTTCCACACCTCTTGGGCAGTAGCTCCTCACCCTGTCCCCATCCTTATCTCACTGCACCCCATCGCCACTCCCCCACGCCCCTTCCAGTGTCCTCATCGCAGTTCCAGCCCTTAGGCCCTCCCTCCTAAGCTTTCTTTTCTCTGGCTTAGGACTTCTAAAACCAACCCTGGCTGCTTCTCTCTCTTCTGTTTTTCCTTCCTGGTAGCTTTGCTTTTCTTGTCTACTTGTCCCTTGCTCCTAAAACTATTTTTAGTTGAATGGTGGATTTTTTTTCAAAGAAACCTCACCTAAGGATAGTCCCCCATGACCACTGCCCACATCCTCCTGTAGCCCTTCCTGGCCACAGTCCAAGAAACATGACGGGAGTTCCAACCACATGATCCCTCAGCAGATTTCAGGTTTGGAAGATGACTTCAGGCCCAGGCAGCAAAGGCTGATTCCAAGGTAACTTGTGTTTACAGGAGGTGGGCAGCCTCGGAGGAGACCTCCCTTCCCCCAGCACCCCACCCCGGCACTGCCTTCTGCAGCTTGCTATTACCAATCAAGAAAGGCCCAGCTCCCTCTCAGGACATATCCGCTTCACCTATCATCTTACTCTCCGCAGAAAGGGAGAAGAGTCTTGTTAGAAACACTGGTGTGGCTTCCTGGCAGATGGTAGCTAAGGCAAACAACTCAGAGACAACGTCCATCTCATCCAATTTCTGAGTGTAAATGTGTACCTGTGAAATGTCTGGACCATTACAAAGAGGTCCTTGTAACCTCTCCCCACCAGTGCTTCAGAGTTTGAGAGAAGCTCATGCAAAACTCAGACAAGATTAGGTCCTATCTTGCTTCTCCCAGGCAAACTGATCTCTAACTTCACTCCTGGGGGTAAATGCTATGATTCTCCGGTGCTGAGGCAAACTACTTAAGACACCAAGACTTACACACACACGCACTCACGCACATGCACTCACGCACACGCACACACTCCCTCGCTCACCATCAGGAAGCTGGTACAGCTGAGATGGCAGGGCGCTGAAATAATCATGAACAAGTGCTTCCTGGGCGGAGACGCGGTCTCTGGGAAAGCCTTTTAGCATCTGGGAGGCCAGGTCTTCAGCTTCAGGAACCCTGCCCAGCCTGGAAAAGTGGGAGAGAAAAATAGAGTTTCTCCAGCAGCCTCCCTTCTGAAAAACAAAGGGATAAAAACAAAAAGTAAAGAAAAGGAGATGGCTAGACTTAGATTTTAAGTAGAATTTTCCTGGAATTGCTAAAGTTGATGGCAACTGGAAAAGTAACCCCCATACTAAACTCTTACTGACTGTCCTGTTACTAAGTTGAAGGGGAAAAATCTCCTCATTCTATCACTCAGCTCCCTTGCCCTCCACCGTGTGTCTGGGCACCATGTACACATAAAAGACACAGAAATATAATTATAAACAGAAATATATAATCAAGGATTCTTTTTGGAGGAACACTGCAGCCCCAACCAAGTAGAAAGGCCTGATTCAAAATACGATCGAACTCTGAGAGGCTGAGGTAGGCAGATCACTTGAGGCCAGGAGTTTGGGACCAGACTGGCCAACATGGCGAAACCCTGTCTCTACTAAAAACATAAAAATTAGCTGGGCGTGGTGGCATGCACCTGTAATCCCAGCTACTCAGGAGGCTGAGGCATGACAATCACTTGCACCTGGGAGGTAGAGGCTGCAGTGAGCTAATATTGCACCACAGCACTCCAGCCTGGGCAACAGAACAAGACTCTGTCTCAAACAAACAAACAAAAAACATGTTCAAGGCTCTGGACTCCAAGGGTGGCAAGCACAGAAATCTGGAGGGGGAAAAGCACAGAATTCTAAAGAGGTGATTCTGGAGGGTGAAGCTTGGGTAGAAAATACACTTGTTTGCAGCATTTCTGAAGCTCACCCAGTCTTATTAGTTAGGAAGCTCTCTTGGTTCCCTTGAGATGGAGCAGAGGAAGAGAGAGAATTAAGTACTTAAATCACAGTAAGGACAAATCCTCAAGTTGATCTTATGTTGAAATATATATCTGGAGATGAGCAAATACATTTATTGAGCAACTACTATGTGCTAGTAAGTGGTTGGCTTTGGGAGACACAGGACAAGACTGTCTTCTGGCAGCTCAGGTAGAGGAGTCAGATGTTCATCAAATTATCACACAGATGTCTAAGTACAACTGTGAAGAAAAGAATCCTATGGTCTGACTGTTTGTATCTCTCCAAAATTCAAATTTATGTTGAAACCTAATCACCAAAGTGATAGTATTAGAAAATGGGAACTTTGGGAGGTAATTAGGTTATAAAGGAGGCTTGAGAGAGCCCTTTTGCTCTTTCTGCCCTGTGCAGACACAGTGAGAAGGTGCCATCTGTGAAGCAGAGACCCCTTGCCCAACACCTAAGCTGCTGGCACCTTGGTCTTGGTTTTCCCAGGCTCCAGAGCTGTGAGAAATACATTTCTATTAATTGGCAATCACTCAGTTAAGGTATTTTGTTATAGCAGCCCAGGTATAACATTTTGGTTCCCCTGAGATGGAGCAGAGGCAGAGAGATAATTAAGTACCTAAATCACAGTAAGGACAAATCCTCAAGTTGACCTTATTTTAAGGGTTAAGATAGCCTCAATACCTGACCTATAATGGGAAGAGGTGGTCAGGAAAGGATTTCTTGAGGAAGTGGCATTTGAGCTGAGAGTTGAAGAATGGAGGGCAGGAAAGAGGCAGGCCTTGACTGACAGGGATCTGTGGTACCTACACAGACCCTAGAGTGGGAGGGAGAAGCCAGAGTTTTAAGAAGGGAATCAAGGCCAGTTGGCTGGCCCAGGACAAAAATGGGGAGAGAGGCCTGACATGAAGCTGGGGAGGGTGGCTTGTGGGTCTTCATGTTTCCCATTTACTTACAATGCTTGAAAGGCTTTGCTCATCTAATGCCAATCATTTATGTACACCCAACTCCACAACCCACACATAGGTTTATAACTGGAAAGGCACAAGAGGGAAAACTGTGCATATCCCAGCGGGCAGCTGATCATGGGACTGATGTCTGACATTCAGAATTAAGTTGTATGGCCATGAGACACCACAGTAAATCCCCAATTAAGCAGACATAGATGGGCTTACTTAATGTCAAATACACCTACTGACTTAAAGCAAGAAAGATCAGATATTATTTCCCTTCCAGGTGCCATGATGCAGAGATGCTGGAAGTCTTGGCCCAGAATTCTAATTTACCTAATTTTTGCATAAGATTTGCATTAAAAAATTTGAGCTATTTGATTCCCAAGACATGAAACTGTTTCTGCAAACAGATAACTACTTTCAAACTCAGGAATAATTGCTTCATAGGCAAGATAGAGAAGAAATTTGCAAATTTCCAAATCCTTGCAAATTTCCAGGCCAGTTAGGAGAAAAAGGAATTGTGTAGAAGTCTACTCATTTGCTGTGGCCTGAAGAAGGACTGGCAGATATATTCCTCATCCAGGGTATCCTGTCCAGGCAGAGGTTTTTTAGGGCCCATGAAATGGACGTTTGGAAGAGGAATGTTAGTACAAATCACTAGAGCCTAGGATCTCTCTGGAAGGAGACTCAGGGGAAATCTCATGAACAAATTTTAGCTGGTCCACCCACACTATTGGGTAGTGAGGTGAAGTTTGTGCCAAAATTTGGCCCTGAATCCACTTTCTGCAGGCTTCATGCTTTCTGGTTAAATATGAACTTCTGGACATGGGGAGGGCGGGTAGGTGGTGGGGAGCAATGCATCTATCAACTTCCACCTCCACAGTCCCACCCCAATCAGCGATTTGTTCTCTCGAATACTCCCCCAGCATTAACCCACAACAGATGGCTCCTGAACTGCCCTGTAGTGAGGGCTGAGGGGCTGCAGTCTGATTGGACAGGGAAGGCTGGGAGACCTGTTTTAAACTTGTGTTAGCATGGCAGGCATATTGTTTTTATTTAGACTGTGTTTGTGTAGAGTGTCTGGGGAAGCCAAGAAAGGCTAATGGAGTTTACAGGGGTATTAGGGGCACCCCTTTTCTTATAAGAACAGGTTATTTGGCCAGAGCTGTGCCTCATGTCTGTTATCCCAACACTTTCAGAGGCTGAGGTGGGAGGATCACTTGAGCCCAGGAGTTCAAGACCAGCCTGGGCAACATGGTGAAAACCATCTCTACCAGAAAATACAAAAATTAGCCAGGTGTGGTAGCATGCACCTGTAGTCCCAGCTACTCAGGGGGCTGAGGCGGGAGAATCACCTGAGCCCAGGAGGTCGAGGCTGCAGTGAGCCACGATCGTACCACTGCACTCTAGCCTGGGTGACAGAACTAGACCCTGTCTCAAAAAAATAAAATAAGAACAGGTTTTTGTTTTTGTTTTTTTTAAACCAGGTGAATGAATAAAAGAAGGGTAGGTACTAATTAGTGCAAGGACCTCTTTTTTAGGATTTTCCATTTCAACCAACAGAACCTACCCTCACCCTCCCCACAGGGTTGTTTCAGGGCTTCTGGTGGTTTCTGGACTTGTTCCAGTCTCACAGCCTCTGAACTATGACTGCTGCACTTTGCTTCTCCTTCTCCTTCGCCGGTAGAGGTGGTCACCAGGGCAAAGCGGGCAAGTGAAGTCTCTTCCTCCTAGGAGCCAAGTGTGTGTCGGTCTCCCCTGTACAAGCCAACTCCACCCCACATGAACACAAACCTTCACTGGCAGCACTGGTAGCAAGACCATTAGGATCTGGGCCTTTGGCAAGTGCCCCAGTAATCGCCGCCTTGCTATCGCACATTGAGCTCTTTTTGCAAGGCTGAGGAAAGAGTCCCGGGAAAACAAATGTTACTTTTTGGGCACAAATGTTGATTTACTGACATCTTCCGTGTTTGTATCATTATGCTTTTTCCTGTCACCTATGGCCTTGCTTGTTACCAATTGCCTTTACTGTCATAGTTGTACATGTGGCCACCACCTCTAACTCCCGCTGGAACAATTATCCACTGGTTACAACCCCTACTTTAAAAATAAACATTGGCATAAAAAAATGAACATCACAAATGTTAATTTGCCTACCAGCACCTTTCCAAGGTAAATGTGAATTCATACTCTTAGGTTTGTGATGTTAACTACCAAACATGACAGGAGTATCTTGCAGAGGTAGGAAAACCCCCCGCCCAATTAATGAGAATCTGCTATTAAAGGTAAAGAATCCTGTGATAAATCAGTCCTTCTAGTAACATTTCAAGAGGTGAGAAGTGTTCCAATGCCAAAATAATTCATACTTATTTGTAGAGCACTTAGAAAATGCAGAGAAGGAAAATTATGACTAGCCCATCACTCTGAGATAATCCTCTGATACTCAAAGATAATCACCATTGCTTGAGGTCTTTGTTTTCTTCAGTCCTTTGCTTTTAGACAGGTATAGTTTTTGTTTTACAAAAAAATGGGATCATACTATACATGCTCTTATAACCTACTTTTTCCATTGAACTACCTTGATCATCTTCCCATAACTTTGAATCACTTTCTAGGACATTATTTTACTGGCTGTTATCGTTCGATTATGTAGGCATATCATAATTTACAGAGCTAGACTCCTATCTGAGTTGTTTCCTTTATTGTTGGGATGGAGGTAGTACTATTAAAATCACGCTGTAACAAATATTCTCAAAGAGAAATCTTTGTGGGTTTGTGTATATTTCCTTAGGATAAATTCTTAGAATTGATGTTCGGTTGAAGGATATATACAACATGTTAAAGTATTTGATTCATACTATCAGCTAGAAGAGCTGTAGATTCATACTATCAGCTAGAAGAGCTGTACCAATTTCCATTTCTGCCAGCAGCCTAAGAGCGTGCTCATCCCTGTGGGCAAGGATAATAAATTCATTCCAACCCACCTGAATTGCCACAGGCCCCATTGCTTATAAAAGTCATAAAAATAATTAAAATTGTGTATCAATCCTAAAAGATGTGCTGGGGGCCGGGACAGCTACATGTAATCTTAAAAGTCCAGAATAGAAACACAAACAATAAGAAAAAATGAAAATTGAGTTTTGTGACTGCGTAAAACACCATCTACTAACCCATCACTCCATACTACTAAAATCTGGTTGTTCTCAGGGGTCTGGGACAGCAGTTTTGATTTCCTAGCACAGCCTGGCTCTGAGTATAAAAGTCTCCCACCCACAGCACTGCCACTGACCTCTGAGGTGCAGGACAGGCTGGTCAGTATGAGCTCAACTGGGTTCTTTGGTTTTCCCCCTAGACCTACAGGAAGAGGAACAGGGCAGGGATAGAGTAGGCACTTTTTAAATGTTCTCAGTTTGGGATGTAGTAGATGCCCACAGTCAGAAATACATCCAATACTAGGAAGAAACATTGCAGAAGCTGTCCTACAATTTGCCAATCAATCTAAAAAGTGAGTGCGTACCTACTAGGCCCACATTAAGGAGATCACCATCAAACCTCAAGCAAGCCCCGGGGATTCATCTACAGGCCTGTGAATGGTTCCACTGCACCTCTGAAGGGATTGTGTAGAAAAGCCAGTGACACTTCGGCTGCTTGTTACTCGCCACATCTGCAACCTGATTCAACAGCCAAATCCACAGAGACCTGGGTACCGGATGAATCCTGGCTCTACCACTTACTTAGTTGGACTACCTTGGCCAAGTTACTTAACTTCTCTCAGCCTCAGTTTCCTCCTGTTTGACCTGGGAATGATATTTGTAAGGATTAAATATAATAATATATGTAGCACCCTGCTAGGTACATAGTATATATCCCATCCAATGTTAACCCTTTCACAGAGCCCTTCCAAGAGCCAAGAATTTTCCCATGTGATAATCCAGGCTAACGCTGCCAATGGAATTTTCCATGATGATGGAGATATTCTATTTTTGCTCTGTCCAATATCATAGTCACTACTCCAATGTGGCTACTGAATCCTTGGAATGCAGCTAGTGCAACAGAATGGAATTTTAAACTTAATTTAAGTAAATTAAGAAGTTAAATAGCCACATGTGGCTAATGGCTACTGTATTAGACAACATACCTCTAAACACCCCTAAACATTACCTCCCCCCAACTTTTTTTTTTTTTTTTTTTTTTTTTTTTGAGACGGAGTCTCACTCTGTCTCCCAGGCTGGAATGCAGTGGCACGATCTCAGCTCACTGCAACCTCCGCCTCCCGGGTTCAAGCGATTCTCATGCCTCAGCCTCCTGAGAAGCTCGGACTACAGGCACATGCCACCACGCTCGGCTAATTGTTTGTATTTTTAGTAGAGACGGGGTTTTGCCATGTTGGCCAGGCTGGTCTTGAACTCCTGACCTCAGGTGATCTGCCCACCTCGTCCTCCCAAAATGCTGGGATTACAGGCGTAAGCCACCGGGCCCAGCCTAGACATTACTTCCTGTGTTAAAGATCTGAGCAGAGAAGCCAGAAGTCTGAGAAAAGGTGAATACATATTGCTAGGGGACAAGGGAAGGCGCAGAGGCCATGGGTGCTATATCGTCAGAAAAGCCAGAGAGGTATTCAGAGAATTCAAGCCTTGCTCAGCCCTCGAAAGAAAGGCTGGTGGGGTGATAGCAGGAGGCTGGTGAACTATCTTCTGCCATGGGACAGGGGCAGCTGCAGCAGCAGCAGCATGGAGTATTAAGATGGTTCTCAGGTTGAGAGTTGCCATTTACTTTGGAAGCTGATAGTGACATGAAAGAAAGCCACGGGCCATGCTAAAATCCACATATCTCTAGGTAGAGGGGAAGGAGCCTGACTATACTGCACGTCTTGAATGAAGTGATAAACAGTAGTTCCCTAGAACCTGTCTCCAAAAGGTTTCAGGTTATACAGTGCTGTTGAAAATAAGAGTGGAGGGTGCAGATGTCCTGGAGATACCTGTCCCTCCCAGTGAAAGATCTCTGGTAGTCCATAGTTCTATGTTCCTAACCTATTTTACTCTTTGTACCCTGATATTTTATTCTACGTGGAGGCTTTTTAAAGGAAATGAACAGTAAGAGTGAAGAATTCAAACAACTTTTGGTTAAGTTAAATTCTACCATATTTTCAGGGAAAAACAATGTTCGAGTGTTCAGTCAGGATCTTGGCCAGTGAAACTCTTCCACTTCTCCCCACCTGCAAGACTGTGTTTTTCTCTGACATTTGAGCTCGTTTCCCCTGTCTCTGATGTTTTCCTCATTGCCCTTTTTGCCTCCTCACTGAAGCAAAAAGAACAGAGCCTCGGCTAATTACTCTCAGATCAAATAATACTGGTTATTGTAATTGGTCATTGTCCGAAAACACTGAGTTCTTCTTAGCCCGGAGGTTGCCTGGCACAGCTTAGTTAGCTAACTATTCCCGGAATGTCTCTATTATCTGTTTTACTTTGCAAAAGAAACTAGGGATTTGTTGAAAGCTGGTAATAAAAGTCTGCCCTGGTCTGAGCCGAGACTGCGTAGAGAGGGCCTGGGAAAGCATGACCCCCATGAATCAAGTTGCCCCCCCTCCAATAGCCACTCAATGATGTTATTTGGTTTCTCTGTGTCAGAGAATAATAAACCCACTAGGTTTTCTTGCAGACCAACACTCCCTCGTTCTCAGGGCCTGGGGCATGGCTGAGGGACACAAAACAATTTTAACGACCAAACTCACTGAAAGTAAAATGGTTCATAGAAAAAAATTAACAGACTCTCAGGGGTCTGGCGCTTCCAGAGGCATCTTCCTACAGCTTAGAGCCCCCACATGGAAGTGCTCGGGGGCTGCTGTTCAGTGGACTGAGATCCAGGGAAATGTCTCTCCAATCCTGCTTAAAGATCCCTTAAAGATCCCTTCCTGAGGTAGTACTCACCTGTTCCAGACAACATGAAGGCTTCGAGGCGTAGGCAGTGGGAACCATTCTGGGAAGCATACAGAGGGCGTTAAAAAATAAAATCCACCCGAAAACCCTGTTGCCAAATATACTGTTAAAATTCTAAATGCTCTTCTTGGCTTGGTTTAAAAAAATGATTCAAGTATCAGGTAGGCTAATGTGATTTTTAAAGCCTCATCTCCTGCTGAATTTTTATGATTTGGTGAAAGGTCACTATTATGGGTTGAATTATGTGCTCCCAAAATTCACATGTTGAAGTCCTAACCCCAATTACTTTAGAATATGATCTTATATGGAAATAGGGTCATTGTAGATGTAATTAGTTAAGATGAAAGCATTAGGGTGGGCCCTAATGCAATTTGACTCACATCCTCCTAAAAAGGCAAAATGTGGACCCAGAAATAGACGTGCGTCAGAGAAGGTGAGGCGAAGAGACTCAAGGAGAAGACGACCATCAACAAGCCAAGGAGAGGGACCTGGGACAAATTCTCCCTCACATCCCTCCCACGGAACCAACTCTGCCAACACCTCAATTTCAGACTTCCCAGTCTCCAGAACTGTAAGACAATAAATTTCTGTTGCTTAAGCCACCCAGTTTGTGACTTTGTTACAGCAACTCCAGCAAACTAATACAGTCAACATATTCAGTAAAGTCAATAAACATTTGTTTAACATACACTGTGTGCAGAGCATGTACCAAGTGCTGGGAAGAATACAAAACAGATCAAAAGAAACCCCACTACCTCTGCAGAGCTTACAATTCATTTGGGAGAACAAGTATACGCGCGTGAAATGTGATGAATAATGAGGCAGTCTTAAAGACTCAAAAGTGGTTAAAAAAAAAAAAAAGTCAGGGGAGCCAGGCGTGGTGGCTCTTGCCTATAATCCCAGCACTTTGGGAGGCTCAGGCTGGAGGATTAGTTGAGACCAGGAGTTCAAGACCAACTTGGACAACATAGTGAGACCTGTCCCTACAACAACAACTGAGCCTGGTGGCATGTGTTTATAGTCCCAGCTACTTGAAAGGGTGAACTGGGAGGATCACCTGAGCCTAGGAGGTTGAGGCTGCAGTGAGCCGTGATTGTGCCACTGCACTCCAGCCTGGGAGACAGAGCAAGACCCTGTCTCAAAAAAATAAATAAATAAAAATAAAAATAAAAAATAAAGTAAGGGGAGCTAATTTTATATGTCACTTGTGGTAAAAATGGAAGTGAATCCTGGCTTGAATATTCCAAAATAGGTGATAATAAAAATTGGAGCACTCTATAACATTTATATTTGGGTGTATGTGTTTTCATGATTCTTAGTATTGATACCATTTAACCCAAACAAAAACCATCCTAAAAGGGAATGATTTCTCATTCACTCAAGAAATACTAACTGAATGCTTCTTCTATGTAAGGGCTTCTTCTATGTAAGAGGAGCTGCAGGGGAGGCAAGCTGATGGATGCTCTTTATCAAATTTCCTTTATTGTCCACTCCAAATTGAGAAAATAATATTTCAACTCTCATTCAAAATGGTATTTCTGCCTTATATTTTTCTTAGGCCTGAAATGTAATTATTTTGTTTGTTAGTTTGTTTAGAGACAGGATCTCACCCAGGCTGGTGAGTACACTGGCATGATCATGGCTCATTGCAGCCTGGAACTCCTGGCCTCAAGTGATCCTCCCACCTCAGCCTCTGGAGTAGCTGGGATGACAGGCATACACCACCACGTCTGTTTTTTTTGTTTTGTTTTGTTTTTTAATTTATTTAGAGATGGGAGTCTCGCTTTTTTTTTTTTGTCCAGGCTGGTCTCAAACTCCTGGCCTCAAGTGTTCCTCCCACCTTAGCCTCCCAAAGTGCTCGGATTACAGGCATGAGCCAACGTTCCCAACCATTATTTTGGTTTTAAAAATCTCTTCCTCCAGTTCCTATATAAATGGAATAAACCAAGGCTGTTCATCACAACAAAGAATTTAATCATGTTGGGCAAAAATTAATTTGATAATACTCATCTGTTCATGTTGGCATGCACATAGATCTGGAAGACTACTCACTAGATAGTGGTGGTGGTTACAGGGGCTTACCCTTTTTCCTTCTTTGCCCATTTTCTCAAACATTTTTGAAATAAAGCATATACAATATTATTTTGTAATTTCAAAAGGAAGTTCAATGAAAATTTGAATTCATAGTGCTAAGAGTTGTAGAGTGAAAGGAGTGATCAAAGAAAGTGACTTCAGCTGAGTTTTCAAGGTCAGGCGCAATCAAATGTGGACCTCTCTGCTGGCATTTTATAGTCCCAGGTGGGCACTAAGAGAAGCAATTGTCTATACAGGTTATTTACTCTCTGTTCAGTATGATTTTGCCTAAGTTCAAAATAACCAGTAAAGATAAGAATATCTGGCATTTGTTTAGTATGTTTCTCTTCAAACCACTTTCTGCTGCCTATTTACAGCTCTTCCCTGGCCAAACAAAATCAAAATATTTCCTCATTCAGTCATCTCCCAATTTCAATCAACAAAATGAAATCCATTTCCATCCTTTCCCATTTTCTATTTTTCCCTTCTGAGAGGTCTATGTGCTGTGTTTTTGGCCTCCAATATTTTAATACTCTTTCTAACTTGAGTGGGGTTCTTGTGGCACATGGGTTGGGGGTTAGCTGACTTAGGGTTTCAATACAGACTCTGCTGCTTCAGTTTTGCTGAGACCTCATGTAAGATACTTTGACCATCCATGGCAACCCTCAGTTTTCTTTCTTTTTTTTTCTGATTTTTTTAATTTAATTTTTTTCATTATTGTACTTTAAGTTCTAGGGTACAGGTGCACAACCTGCAGGTTTGTTACACAGGTATACATGCGCCATGTTGGTTTGCTGCACCCATTAACTCATCATTTACATTAGCTATTTCTCCTAATGCTATCCCTCCCCCTGCCCCCCACCCCATGACAGGCCCCGGTGTGTGATGTTCCCCGCCCTGTGTTCAAGTGTTCTCATTGTTCAATTCCCCCCTGTGAGTGAGAACATGCGGTGTTTGGTTTTCTGTCCTTGCGATAGTTTGCTCAGAATGATGGTTTCCAGCTGCATCCATGTCCCTGCAAAGGACATGAACTCATCCTTTTCTATGGCTGCATAGTATTCCATGGTGTATATGTACCACATTTTCTTAATCCAGTCTATCATTGATGGACATTTGAGTTGGTTCCAAGTCTTTGCTATTGTGAATAGTGTCACAATAAACATACATGTGCATGTGTCTTTATAGTAGCATGATTTATAATCCTTTGGGTATATGCCCAGTAATGGGATTGCTGGGTCAAATGGTATTTCTAGTTCTAGATCCTTGAGGAATCGCCACACTGTCTTCCACAATGGTTGAACTAGTTTACACTCCCACCAACAGTGTATAAGCATTCCTATTTCTCCACATCCTCTCCAGCATTTGTTGTTTCCTGACTTTTTAATGATTGCCATTCTAACTGGTGGGAGATGGTATCTCATTGTGGTTTTGATTTGCATTTCTCTGATGACCAGTGATGATGAACATTTTTTCATGTGTCTGTTGGCTGCATAAATGTCTTCTTTTGAGAAGTGTCTGTTCATATCCTTTGCCTACTTTTTGATGGTTTTTTTTTTTTGTAAACTTATTTAAGTTCTTTGTAGATTCTGGATATTAGCCCTTTGTCAGATGAGTAGATTGCAAAAATTTTCTCGCATTCTGTAGGGGCAACCCTCAGTTTTCTCAATGCAAATTGAAGGTGGTATTCACCTGAAGCGAACCAATGAAATAATGAGTGCAAAATGCCTGCTCTGGACCATTAAACAAAATAAATCCTATCTGCTTTTCCTTCCTCTTTCCCTTCCTTTGAAAAGTTATGGGCAGTATAAACAATGCGTGGCCAGGCACTTGGACCCAGGACCCGGGTGAACCCACACTATGCCTCTTACCAGCTGTGTGACCGGAAGATATTGCTTAACCTCACTGGGCCTCAGTTTTCCCACCTGCAGAAGAGGGATAGTAATAGTTTCTACTGCATAGGGTTGTGAAAGTAGGATAGTAAATGTAATATAAAAATTTCTTCACTCTGTCTCTTTTTTTCCTGCTTCTCTCCCTTTCTGACATAACATCCCTCTCTCTCCCACTCAGGTGTTTCTGCCTTATTGTTAGTTCTCCTTGGAAACCTCCTCTAAATGTCTTCTACTAAAATTCTAACTTGCTCCAAGCCCCAGTTCCTCTAAGTCTGACTTGATTTCTTCTGAGTCCTCAGTGTGGGTCAGTGGTGTGTTTCTTAGCTTGGTAGTATGGTAACATGAACACAAGCCCAAGCTCAAGTCTCCTTTTTGCCACTTACGAGCTTTGAGACTTTAGGGAAATTGCTTAGCCTCTCTGGTTAAATAATTGAGAAGTTTCCAAATCTGTAAAATGGGAATCATTTTCCAGTTGCTGGGAGAATTACAAAAGATTAAGCACGTGGCCAGTCGTAGGGGCTCAGTAAGTGTTAATCTTATTCCTTTTCTTCTTTTGGTTCTGACCTCTCATTTTGGAGAGGTAGGTTCTCAAAGGGAGCTGCATACTGGCATCGTCTGGAAACCTTTACGAGAAAGGAAGCCCTGAGGTTTGATTCAACTAGCCTGGGAAGGGTCCAGACATTGGTTACTTATTGTACTGTTATTATGAGTTTCTTTTGGTTTTTGAAAGAGGTTCTTATTCTGTTGCCCAGGCTGGAGTGCAATGGCATGAGCATGATCACAGCTCACTGCATCCTTGACCTCCCGGTCTCAAGCCATTCTCCTGCCTCAGCCTCCTGAGTAGCTGGGATCATAAGTGCACACCACCACTTCTGGCTAATTTTTAAAATTTTCTGTAGAGATGGGGTCTCCCTATGTTGCCCAGGATGGTCTCAAACTCCAGTTTCCAGCAATCCTCCAGCCCCAGCCTCCCAAAGTGTTAGGATTACAGGCATGAGCCACCATGCCTGGGCTGTTATTATGTCTTCAATGGTCTCCAGAATTTTCCAGCGAGGAGCTAAGGCAGAGGACCTTTGGTCTAGCAAAGAGGGCAGGGTCTATCACTCACCAGCAACTCAACAAACACTTCTCTGAGGCTCATTTCCTCATCTGTAACAACTCAAATGAGGTTGTTGTAAGAATTTAATTAATCAATGTATATACATGTTGCAGAACACAGTGTCTGACACATACTTAATATGTTTGTTCAGGGATGTGAGAGAGGAAGCATGACAAGGGAAAATTCAGTTCTCGTAAATTCTGCCAGAAAAGGATGACCTGTAATAGTTGCCCCAGGACCCCAGGAATAACAACATTTTGTACTTGAGTCCATGTTTGGGGTAGAAGGATTGTGCTGACGCCCCTCCCACCTCTATTTTGTAGCTACATTAGCTGAGACAGGAATGGATGTGTCCGGGTCAGTCAGGGAGCTGCTATTAAGCAGAAGCAAAGCCCATCGCCTGTTTGTGGCCTGCCCTCCCACTCAGGCAGATAACCTGAGGCTGAATGACCTTGCCTCTCTCCCATTGATTTTTCCCAGTAGGTAAGCTGTGAGTGATCAGTGAGAGAATGATCCACAAACAGATAGGCATTTCACACAGCACCATTTCAAGAGGAGTCTGGTTTCTCTGGCTTCAATAGCCTCTAAAAATAATAGGTCTGGAGGTAGCTTGTTTCCCTTCTCCTTCCAAAGACAAGAGTAAATCATTAGACCTGATTTTTCTCCTTCTCATCCCTCTGCAGTTCTCTCTAAAAAGAGTTCTCATTTGAGTTCAATTGGAATTCGAGGCAGGAAAAGCAAAGTTGCAAAAGGAAAGTAATAAAGCAGAGCATTTAAATTTCCAAACTAAGTGGAGTGAAATCAAAATGAGGGCAGAACTGTTGCTACCATAGTAAAAACCGTCCATTTTTCATAAATATTTAATAAAGCTCATTTCACAACGGAATTCAAATCTGGTAACCTTAGTCAACAGAGATTTGTTGATTGATTTAGTAAAACATCACTGCACCATTCTGAGTCTCAGCTCAAGGTAAAACATTTTCTAGTTACTATAGTCTTGCCACAATCACCCTAAGGTTATCTTATAGTGCTGTCTACTGAACTACACCTCTGGAATTTCCTGAATACAATGCATTCTTGAGATACCGTATATTTAAATAGTTGATAATGTTGTTAGCCTTATTTCGCTATCTGAAGCAGTAACTTGAAAACTGCACTGCCAAAATCTGTAACTCTTTTTCTCCTACGTGCCCTTCACCCTCACCCCAAACACACACACACACACACACACACACACACACACACATTCACTCATGTCCTCAAAACTGTTTGCTTCACTCTTCCTCAGGTAGCTGGCTTGGAAGTTTCTCTAGTATTTGGCTCAAGGCTTCCCAAGCTTTTTTTTTTTTTTTTTTTTTTTTTTTGTTGAGATGGAATCTTGCTCTGTCGCCCAGGCTGGAGTGCAGTGGCACGATCTTGGCTCACTTCAACTTCTGCCTCCCAGGTTCAAGAGATTCTCCTGCCTCAGCCTCCTGAGTAGCTGGGACTATAGGCACACACCACCACACCTGGCTAATTTTTGTATTTTTAGTAGAGATGGGGTTTCATCATGTTGGCCAGGCTGGTCTTGAACTCCTAACCTCAGGTGATCCACCCGCCTCGGCCTCCCAAAATGCTGGGATTAAAGGCGTGAGCCACTGCACCTGGCCCTTCCCGAGCTTTAGAGTCCCCTTTGAGCATCATCAGGATGCTCTAAAAGCCAGTGTCCTCACTGAGGGTGCTCCTTGGCATTGTTCAACCTTGGTCCTCCAACTCATATTTGTAGCGTATCACTTTTCTAATTGTGAATCAAAACTTTCTGTGGATTCTGAGAAAATATCCCATCCGCTAAAGCCTGTTCCTGAGGTCTCTGTAAAGGAAGGAGAGACCAGGCCTTGCTCCTGGTGGATGGAGAAGGTGGAGGGAATGGGCATAGTCAGGACTCTCCCCTCTCTTAGAGGCAGGGCTATGACTGAACTCTGTCTACCCCAACAAATGATTTTTGACCTATGGCTTGATCATGCTTTTCAGTGAGTGTTGTATTTAATGAGGCATCATTTGACATTGACAACTCCTTGTAGTCTCCACAAATATTGAAGGGCCACCACATGCAGCCAATGAGCTCAGCATTGAGAATACACAGGCATGGAACCCAGCCCTCTTCCAGTGAGTGCTGGCCATATGATTTCCATGGTATTGCTAGGATTACCTACTAGTCTCCTTTAGCTCCTCTGGCTGTTCCTTCTCAGCTTCTAAAGACTCCCTTCCCTCTACCCAGTCCTGCAGTACTGGCCCCACAGGGTTCCCTCATTGTCCTTTCTTCTTTCTCTACACTCTCTCCTTTGGGCAACTAAATTCACACCTGAGGCTTTAAATACCGATTTAAGCATGTGACTTCTGTATTTCTAGGCTGGACTTTTGTACTCACAGTTTATATTTCTACTTGCTTTTTAGATATCTCCATTTTGTGGTTCCACAGATACCTTAATCTCAAAATGTTAAAACCTTATACTCATTACCTTCTCTATAAATCTGTTCCTTCCCCCTTCTGTTTCCTTTGAATAAAATAGCAGGGGTGGCCGGGCACAGTGGCTCATGCCTGTAATCCCGGCACTTTGGGAGGCCAAGCTCACATCTCTTTCTTTAAAAACCATCCCTAGGGCAGGCACGGTGGCTTATGCCTGTAATCCCAGCACTTTGGAAGGCCGAGGTGGGTGGATCACTTGAGGTCAGGAGTTAGAGACCAGCCTGACCAACATGGTGAAACCCCCGTCTCTACTAAAAATACAAAAATTAACTGGGCATGGGGCCGCACACCTGTTATCCCAGCTACTTGGGAAGCTGAGGCACGAGAATCACTTGAACCCTGGAGGCGGAGGTTGCAGTGAGCCAAGATCGCGCCACTGTACCCCAGCCTGGGTGACAGAGTGAGACTTCATCTCAAAAAATAAATAAATAAAACTATCCCTAAATTCCCCAAATTAAGAGGGCCATTTCCCTAGTTCCTTCTTTTCTTTTATTTTCCTGTTCTTTCTTGTCATATCACAGCCAAGTCCAAGATTTCCCTAGTTTCTTAAAGATCCCCAGGCAATGCTGCTGTAGTATACTTCCCACATTGTATTATTTATTTATTTTCCCCTCTAGACTATATTCCTGGAAGGCAGGTACCAGTGTCATATTTATTTTTTACTCTCTCAGTCCCTAGTACCTAGCATTCAATACATATTTGCTGAATAAATAAGAAGTAGATGGTTGGATGAAAAATAAAAATGAAATAAATATATTAAACCTTACTTTAAAAACGTTAAAGTAACTCAGGTGAGCCCACTTGTATACCTGCTCTGTTTATGTGTGTTTCTTTTGTTGTTGTTGTTGTTTTTCTGAGATGGAGTCTCACTCTGTTGCCCAGGCTAGAGTGCAGCAGCATGATCTTGGCTCACTGCAGCCTCTGCCTCCTGGGTTCAAGTGATTCTCCTGCCTCAGTCTCCTGAGTAGCTGGGATTACAGGTGCCTGCCACCACACCTGGCTAATTTTTGTATTTTTAGTAGAGACAGGGTTTCACCATGTTGGCCAGGCTGATCTCGAACTCCTGATCTCAAGTGAACCACCCGCCTCGGCCTCCCAAAGTGGTGGGATTACAGAAGTGATCCGCCCGCCTCGGCCTCCCAAAGTGCTGGGATTACAGGAGTGAGCCACCACACCCAGCCCCAGCTCTGTGTTTTACAGAGCTTGATGGTGCAAAGCACTGGCCATAAACATGGAGAAGGAGGCTCTGGTTTGAGCCATTTACATGTTATTTGGCACCTTGAGGCAGGCCTCTTTTATTCTTCAACTTGGAAGGAACTTTTATTTCTTTTTAACATTAAGAACATTTATTTATTATTTTTTAATTAATAAATTAAAATTGTATATATTCTTGGAGTTTTACTTTAGAAAAAATACTTTTTACCTGCTTTCACTCACTTGCAATTTTTCCTAATCTTAATTACTTTAAGATCATCTACTCCTCCCTCAATAAAAACTAATAATTGACACCAAATAAATTAAAGATGAGAAAACTAAAAATAAATGTAGAAACTAGAAGCAACCATTAATGAAGATCAAAGTGGCTGTGTATCTAAATTAATTTCACTGACTGATTTGGGGGACGGGTTAATAAAGATGTTAATAGTAACTCCCCAGGAGCTTTCAGCAGCGCTCCAGAAGTGAGACAGTAATGAGCCCAATCGAGGTTCATAGATTCAGTGAACGCCAGTGGCTTCATTAGCTGTAGCGAGGGAGGCTGCTGGAGTCCCAGGGTAGGAACTCCACTCAGATTACACTCCTGAAATATGTCGCCAGGCTCACAGATTCTAAAATCACGTCTGGGTGGAAAGACATAATCATTTGGAAATGAACCTGCAAAAGTTTATGGCCAGTCCCCAGTCTAGGGCACTGTTTTAATTACCAAATCATTATATCTGCCCTTTGATAATTAAGGTAAAGTGGAATACGGCTACGACCCACTTGGAGTCCAACAGGTGTGGATATTCTAGGTCACCCCCTTCCTGGTTAGGTGACCCTAAGCAAGTCACATACCTCTCTCAAAGCCTCAGCTCTCTCATCAGTAAAGTAGGGTTTACAACATTGTCTCTATCTGATAAGGCTGTTGTGAATCAAAGTAAAGTAAAATATGTAAAGTGTCTAGCTCATAGTTAGTCCTCAATTATTATTACCATTATTAAGGTGAATAATAACTTACATGTTCTTCTTTGCAAAGCAGACAATAAGAATTATTTAGAGTCCAAGAGGGTGCAATTGGAACTAGAACTCAGGTTTTCTAACTCTTAGTCATTGATTTCATTTCACAAATATCTACTGACTACTTATTATGTGCCAGGTAGGGGGCTTGTGTAAAATACTAGAAGCACTAGAAGTGGTCAGGTGTGCTCTGTAGAAAACTTCAGCACTCTTTCCACTATACCATGTTTGGGTGAAATTAACAATGGTAACACTAATGTTGTCTGTGATTTAGTAGCCCTTACTAGATACCCATTATGTAGCATGTAGATGACAAGGATTCTCCCAGGGAAAGGCCCTGTGGGTACAGAGTGGGCAGACATATTACTGCAGTCTAGGTGTGGGGAGCAGAATGGACCCATCACCAAATAAGAACAGCCTTAACGGGCACACAACTGACTTAGGTAGGCATTTGAAAACTCAGAGTCAGCTCTTAGGATGTGCGGATTCAGGCAAGGTTTAGGCCATGCAAGTAAAAACAAAAGTCAGTTCTGGTGCCTGGAGGTATTTCTGACCTCTAGAAGAAAGCCAATATTTCTAAGGGAGCAGAGATAGCATCAGTTCTCACACACCTGTCACTGGGTCTGAACCATGGCAAGTCACTGAGCAGCTGAACTTCCACACTGTGTAAAAAACCAAATGGAGGCAGTGGCTCACACCTGTAATCCCAGCACTTTGGGAGGCTGAGGCAGGTAGATCACTTGAGGTCAGGAGTTCGAGACCAGCCTAGCCAACATGGTGAAACCCTGTCTCTACTAAAAATACAAAAATTAGCTGGGTTCAGTGGCGTGCGCCTGTATTCCCACCTACTCGGGAGGCTGAAGCAGGAGAACCGCTTGTACCCAGGAGGCGGAGGCTGCGGTGAGCCGAGATCATGCCACTGCACTCCAGCCTGGGTGACAAGTGAGACTTCATCTAAAAAAAAAAAAAAAGAAAAAAAAAAAAACAAACCAACAAAAAAAACTGAATGGGAACTTTTATTGAGTACCTACTAAAAGTTAGGCACTATAGCAGATGCAATTCAATATAATTTATTTTTCAGACTCATCCTGCAAAATGAGACAGAGGGATACAACATGATTAATGAAAGGAGAACAAGGTTTGGATGCAGATTTCAGCCATTTCCAATAAGTATACACCTCTCTGTGAGCCTAGGAGAAAGCCTCTGTTTCCTCATCTGTAGAATCGGGCTACTCCACCCAGCATCGATCTTGGCAGGCAGTAATAGGATTAGCAATTGTGTATGTTCTGTGTCTGGCACATAGGAAACACTTTTACAATGATAGGATTTCTCCCATTTTGCAGATTACAGAACTAGGAAATAAGTAACTTCCTCAAGTTACCCCAGATAGTAAAAGGGGGAGCTTGGACTTACAGTTCCATATGAATTGATGCCTGCAGTTAAAGCCTCTTTTATCAATATCTTTCCCCTTAGTTCAACCCACTGAATAACTCCCTTGGCTAATAGCTCATACAACCAAGCTGATGCCGACCCAGATGCAGACCTTAGCTTGTGCTCACAGCAAACACAGAGACTTGCTCAGAACTCATTGAGCCCAAAGCAGAATAGCTCTTTATCATCCCAGTGGGGACAAGGATCATTTTAATCATCTTCTGTCTCATAGTGGTTTCAGACGCAGTGAAGCTCTCACACTGGATTTAAGGTCAAAATGAGACATTCCTAGAACAAGGCTGCATTGCTGCAGTACGATGCTGTCCGATGTCAGTATGCCATCCATGCTGTTTCTTGCTTCCACCTGGTGGTCAGAAGTTGATAAAGCAAGCATACTGAAAAACAACTGGGCATCCCTTGGCCTGTCGCTTATGGTACATCTGATTCTGGTCCCTGCAGGGCTTTTAGTACCGCTTTCCTGCCTTTTGATTTTCATTACGTTCTTCTAGTGGAAAAACTTCCCACGTGCAGTGTTCTTTCCTAGGACTAAAATAACCAGGATAATCCCGGATGCTTCCCTGCGGCTGAGCTCATGTCACAAATCAGGCATGATTTTCAGCAGATATTTCTTTAAAAGTTTGAAGGCCTCTGTGGACCCTATTCCCTTCTTTATGGGAACAAGCATCAAAGAGACAGGAATAAAATGCTTTGCACGCACATCAGGAACTAATTGCCAATTTGGCAAATGCATTGACTAATGTCATGCACTGTTATTTCTAAATCCTCTCCTGTCCTTGACCCCCAGTATCTAGATGTAAACTTGGAACCATTAGTGGAGAAGGATAAAGTCTTCTGGTGCCTCAAATGGAATTGAGAGGGATTTAAACTCAGCGCTTTTGAGTTTGGTGAAATGAACCCAGCAGTACATTAATGCTAGGATTTGAGCTCACACAGCGTGAGCGCTTTCAAAAACCGTGTTTAAGGAAGCAAACAGAGCTATGACAGACCCTTTCAGTGGAGCAAAAGGAGTTGGATGAAACAATCAATGACACATTAAAAACCACAACTGGGCTGCAATCATGTAGGCAAGAAAAAAAGTTTCTCTTTATCGCAGGATCTTTGCATCTAATGAGATGGTGACTGGACAACCTCCAGAGGAGTAAGGCCTCCGTTTACTTTAGTTGAGAAATGTCTAAATATTTAGTTGATTCTCTTAAAAGCTCTACATGATTCTGTAGCAAACTGATTTCTAAGGTATGATCTTATCAGCTCTGTATTGCCATTGGAACATCTATTTAAAGGGAATTTGAGAAAGAAAAATCAGAAAATATTATTAAAAATACAAATGTTAACTTTTTCTCTCCCAAAATTAACTATTTTTAATACCCTTCAGATGCTTAGTTTAGGACCAATACCTTTCCAGCTAATACTTTCTCTTAATTTGTTCTAAATTGAGAGAACTCTCGACTGGGCTCCCCGCTGGGCTCCCTCAAATTGTACTGGCTGAATTCAAAGTTTGGGGGTGCTTATGACTACTTCGAATGAAATGGAAAGGAATGGAAATCTCATCCAGAATGGTATTCTCTGCTTCTTGTATATTCCTCCTTTCTATTGGTTCTGATGGTGAAACCTACACTGTATGGTTTGGCATAGCCACTGCCCAGGGCTTCAGTCTTCAAAGCGGAGTGGCTCCTGAGTGCATTTTCGTGGGAGTGGTAGGGAGAGCTAAGAAGGCTAAAGGAACTTTGTAAAAATGTCTCTAGAGGTTCGCCATTTGAATGCACAATACTGTCTTCTACTAGCAGATTTTAGCCAAGACCAACATTCAATTTGCTCTAAGTTTCTGGGATCTTCAGCGCCACAACTCCTGTCCATTCTAGCTACGGCATCCATTGGGGCTTTAAACTCTTCCAACTTTCTGATAGCAGAATCCTCTCCAGCTTGCGGTTCTTTATTGCTTCCTGTGGAGTATTATTAAGACTCACCAAACTCTCTCCCCTCCCCCACTGCAGGAGGCCCGCGCAGCCCCGGCCCGCCAGCTTGATTAATGTGTCTTGGCTAATTGTGTGAAAGACGGCAGCCCTTTAGCAAGTGTGACCAGTTTATTGTTCAGCCAATCACGGGCGCCTCAGTTAGCATGTGAAAAGGGGGTGTGCTGCCGGAGGAGGGTGAGTGTTCTGGCGGCTGAGTCAAAGGAGGAGCGTTTTGGGGGGTCACAGAGCAACACCCACTTCTTTGAGGGGATGTTACTATGCTCTACTAAACCTGTAAACCTCTTACTCAAAACACTTTTTTCTCCTCCCTCTTTTTTCAAGATTTATTTTTTTTCCCTTGGTGAAAGCAGGCAAGACACTGGGTACTCTGCAGATGGAGTTCACGTTCCAGGGTTTTTAATATTTCACTTTTATATTTCTGTTAGAGAATGATCCTGCTGAGAGTCTGGGAATCCGTGCTCGTCAGAACCCCCTCACTGACATTTGGATATATTGCTCTGAAAGCTATCCCAAGAGAAAAGATTAAACAAAAAAAGCGCCTACTTTTCAAAGCCTACTTTTCAATCTGCCCACATCAAAATAAGACAACTGGCCCTTTGAAGTGGAGGACACAGAGTTCTCAGCCAGCTTGCTTAAAACGGGGAGTGGGGGAGACAGAAAGGAAGGGAGGGAGGGAGTGAAAGAGAGAAGGAAGGAAAGAAGGGAGGGAAAGAGAGAGAGAGAAGGAAGGGAGGGAGGGAGAAAGGGAAGGAAGGAAGGGAGGGAGGGAGGGAAGGAAAAGCAAGTTTCCAAAATTATACAACCCTCTTACCTTGCCCAGGTTTAATCAGGCACTAGAATCTGAATTGATGGCTAGAAAACTTACAACCCTGCTCATCAAAGCTCCAAGAAAACAGTTAACTGTCAGAGAAATCCGACTGGGTCAGCATCAGGTGACTTTTTAAAAGCTGTACAAATGGAAACTTTGCTGTCCTCCTAGAGGTGTCCAGATAAGGCCTAGAAATGGAGGCATGGGTGTAGATGGACACTGGATGGTTCTCCCAAGTTCCGGACAACTGGACTCCCTCAAAATTGTACTGGCTGATTCAAAGTTTGGGGGCTCCTAGGACTACTTAGAATGAAAAGGAAAGGAATGGGAAGCTCATCCAGAATGCTGCTGACACGGTGCTCATCTGTGACACTTTCCTGGCTCCCAGCTTGTCTTCTGCTCCCCTTAATCACTGACATTCAAGTGTTTAGAAGCCACAGCAGCTCAGGGATGGGGATGGGTAGGGGGTGGCTCAAAAGGAACTTATTGACTCACGTAAGAGGATGTTCCTGAAATGCAGATGTTGGAGACCCTTTTAAAACACAGTCCTTGGGATTGAGTTATCAATAATACTGACCCCATGGCCCAAGATAGGCTGGACTTTTAAGATTTCCAAATCCAGGTTTAGACATCATGTCTATGGCTAAGGTTCCAACTCCCTTTGCTCCATAAGCTCAGCCTGGCCCACAGCCACAAACTCTCCAAGCCATGGAAGCAGGGCTCACAAATGAGCACCCCAGTAACAAAGAGAACTGGTGAAAGAGTGTGGGTGAATGAATCCAAACCCAAACACTAGAGATCCAAGAATGCACCCTCTCCATCTGTGTAGCCCCAGCGCACGGCACAGCACCTGGCAGATAGTAGGTACCTGAAAATTTTTGACTTATTTGGATTAAATTGAAAACTTAAAAGAAAAACAATGGATGATGAGCCCTATGGATGTTGGGCCTGGAGACTTTTCTTCTTATATAGAAAAACTGCACATTGTTTTGAAACAACAGAAAATTTTTTAAAATGTAACATATTTTCTCTGTTTTATTGGAACCCAGTTATCTTTTTTTTTTTTTTTTGAGACGGAGTCTCGCTCTGTCGCCCAGGTCGGACTGCGGACTGCAGTGGCGCAATCTCGGCTCACTGCAAGCTCCGCTTCCCGGGTTCACGCCATTCTCCTGCCTCAGCCTCCCGAGTAGCTGGGACTACAGGCGCCCGCCACCGCGCCCGGCTAATTTTTTTTTGTATTTTTAGTAGAGACGGGGTTTCACCTTGTTAGCCAGGATGGTCTCGATCTCCTGACCTCATGATCCACCCGCCTCGGCCTCCCAAAGTGCTGGGATTACAGGCGTGAGCCACCGCGCCCGGCCGGAACCCAGTTATCTTATTAAGCACACAATCTGGCAGGGAAGCACTTTGGCCAAGTTTCTTGATTATTGCTCTCACCAAGACATTTTGTATTAAGGATCACTGTTGATTGCCTGGACCAACCTGAAACCCAAATGTCTGAAGTTTGGGGGAGCAGCATATGCCCACCACAGTAGCTTTGTATTGGCATCATCCAAATTGTTTCCTACAATCCATCTGTGACTCTAAACTTCTGCTGGCATTCTCAGTTAGGAAGCTGAGGGAAAATAGAGAACAGAGTGGACAGGGAGAAGTACAGGCAGGGCAGGAAAAGATGAGAGCCACGTTCTCCTGGAAACCATGGCAACTGGAGATAGGAGCAATTTGCAGACTGGACCACGGCTCCACAAGAAACTTGTTCTTTTTTCTCTATCTCAGACCAATGGAAATAGGCACTATTCTAAGTCCTGTGACCAGAGAGTAGCATTTTTCTCACGTGTTAAACTCTAGAAAAATAGTTAGAAATCATAAACTATTTGCAAATGATATTAAGGCCTTTTAGCAATAGATATAACCATTCACAAAGCAGCTGAAAGGACTTTACAGTTAGTCTTTAGCTTGCTGTAGGGCTTCCATAATCCTGGTGGTTCAAGATGCCAGATCCCTATGGATAGCTGTAAGCAAAAGTATTGGATGCTAAAGAAAATAAGAAAAAGAGTCCCCAGCTCCCTATGTATTTTATTCTCTTCTTTAATCACATTTTAACTCTACCTACAATTTCTTGCTCTCAGGAAACCCTTCCAGGATAATCTCATACCAAAGTTAGTAAGGACAACAGGCCAGGCGCGCTGGCTCATGCCTGTAATCCCAGCATTTTGGGAAGCTGAAGCAAGTGGATCACCTGAGGTCAGGAGTTCGAGACCAGCCTGGCCAACATGGTGAAACCTCATCTCTACTAAAAATACAAAAAATTAGCTGGGCATGGTGGCGGGTGCCTGTAGTCCCAGCTACTTGGGGAGGCTGAGGCAGGAGAATTGCTTGAACCCAGGAGGTGGAGGTTGCAGTGAGCCGAGATCGTGCCACTGCACTCCAGCCTGGGCGATAAGAGCAAAACTCCATCTCAAAAAAAAAAAAAAAAAAGTAAGGACAACAATTTGGGAAGATTTCATTTTTAGTAATGGAACAATGTAAGACCATAAAGACTAGAAAAATCTGGCTTGGAGCATATCCACCCTAATCTTGTCGTTATCTGTACCTTTCTACCTCCCCTTCAACCCTGCCAGTGAGAGCTCAGCTTTGGCATGGGCTTTATTTGCTTCTTCAGCTTCTAATATGATCCTTCATCCTGTAGTTCAGTGCCTGTCTCCTCCCCTCTGTCTCAACATCCTTGAAGTGACTACTGCTTAATCTGATCCCTCTGATGTGGCCCTGCGACAGCTTCTCAAAGAATTCCCCCATGGATAACACTTCCAGCACTTCTAAATCGATCCCAGAAGCCAGTCTTGAAAGATGAAATGTGTGAGAGACAATGACCAAGTGTCAGGTTTACAGGCAATGAATGAACTCTTAGTAAGTATAACCTACAGACAGCTTACTTGGCATGTCCTAGGCCTAGCGAGCCTCTACCTCTGTTCTGTTGCATTAGCTTTCTTTTTATACATATGCAATTCAATACTAATCAATACACTTATGACAGTCAGGGGGCCCAAAAGTGAGCCCATCTTTTGAGTTGTTCTTTTGAGCCATTGGGTATTTGACAATGGATGTGGAATCCACAGTAATAGTCATTTCAAATTCTATTCAGCTTGCTACTTGTGTTTTACAGAGCTGGGGAACTGGTCTAACCTCAGCTACTCTTTCAGTGTCTTCCTCATACAAAGATTAGTCAGGGAATATATGAATGTAGAAATTCCTCTACACCCATCTTTGCCGCTGAGTTCACAATACAAGAACGCCCTGTTAGCGTGGCCAATGCTCTCCTTACATTACTAATTCTCAGAGTATTCAGAAGCTCAGATCAATATTACCTGGATTGTAGTTAGGTAGCTTGGAGACTCCCGGCCAAGTATCCTCTGTAGGGACTCCCAGCACCTATATAAAGCCAAACAAAGAAAAAGAAAGGTGAGGTGGGGAGATGAGGTGGATGGAAGAGGTATGGAGACATGCAGGACAAATCAGGGAAGAACAGGGAAGCGTCAGATGTATGTCCCATTGCATGACACCAGCTGATGTATACGAGAAAGAAACTTGAGTGTTTCCAACGTTTGTGGTTTCTTGGGCAAAACTGTAATACATTCCTATGGTCCGGGGCCTGCATTCTTACTGACTCACTTGTTCTGAGGCAGATCATACAGCCTTGCTCAAAGTCATGTTCTCATCACTGAACATTTACTGCATGATTATCATGCATTAGGACACCATGTTGGGAGCTAGGGATATAAAGAAGCAGGAGTGACTGTCTCTTTGCCTTGCATCAGATGACCACATGTATATTGACAGGAGACACTTGACAGCTTAAATTATGCCTCAGCATGGGTATTCAGCTGTTCCCTGATGTGCTCAAATTAAAAAGGATTCAGATTACTGAGCTTCAGGCAATGGAATGTTGGCTAAAGATGACCCCAAAACTAACTCTAGTCTTTTCTATTACATTCATCTCATCTGCTTGTTTTCTCTGTGACTAGCAGCTTGGAATATGGTATTTGGTTTTTCACTGATGGATTGTCATGGGAACAACATCACTTGAAAAAGGGCTGGTCTATGCTTTGAATTACCGATGTTTTTTTTTTTTGAGACGGAGTCTCGCTCTGTCGCCCAGGCTGGAGTGCAGTGATGCGATCTCGGCTCACTGCAAGCTCTGCCTCCCAGGTTCACACCATTCTCCTGCCTCAGCCTCCTGAGTAGCTGGGATTACAGATGCAAGCCACCACGCCTGGCTATTTTTGTTGTTGTTGTTGTTGTATTTTTAGTAGAGACGGGGTTTCACCGTGTTGGCCAGGATGGTCTCAATCTCCTGACCTCGTGATCTGCCCACCTCGGCCTCCCAAAGTGCTGGGATTTCAGGCATGAGCAACCGCGCCTGGCCTTGAATGACCAATTTAAAGCCCCAGTTTTTAGTTAAGATGTATGAAAATAAAGTCTTTCGGAGTATAAAGCCAAAACAGCTCAGACTTTGGATGAAGCCAGCACCATGAGTTCCCCGGTAGGCATTACCTTAGTATTTTTTTTTTTTTAAAGAATAATCATAAAAGCCCATAGACAGTTATATATGGGAGACAGAGTAACATTGTTCTTGTGAAATACTAATAAAACACTAGTAGCTTTCATTACACTACTACAGTATAACTTTTCTTAGAAGCATATCTCACTATAACTCTTTTTAGAAACATCTCTTACAGAAAGAGTCTAGCGAATCCATCTGTAAAATGCTGGTTATAGATACTGGCCCAATTATTATGGCAGGGAGTCAATTGCCCAACAATGACTGAATATAATCAATGAAGAATCCAGAATCTTAGTGTCTATCAGCTTGTTGACTAGGAATCTGGCTGAGAGATGTACTTTTTAGCATCTGTTAAGCTTGTCTTTAAACAAAAGACAGTGAAGTGCTATTTTCCCTCATATAATAAAAAAATCATGCCACCCAGTAAAATCTTCCTTCTTTGATCCATTCCCTAAACAAACTGAAAAGTGACTGAGAGGATTATAGGCTTTTCCTATCAACCACCCTGAGCCCGAGGGAACACTAAGAATCCTGGAATCCATTTTGAAAAACCAACTGGACTAATTCTTCTTTTGTGGGAGAAGGCCAGGGGACAAGAAACTAATTCTTCTTTTTTTAACCTACCATCTTATGTATTTGCACAGATGCATGTGTAAACAAGTGGGTGTGAGTCACATGTACCCATACATCCTCTGTTGGCTGGCAAAGTGCAGTGAAAAGAAAGCAAAGATAATGAAGAGAAAACAATAGAAGAAATAGGTGACAACCACTATCATGTTTTCTCTAAGGTGAAAGTTACCAGATGGTTGGTTACTTTGTATGATATTTAACTAAAGCCAACAAAATGGATACTAAAAAAAGTTTTTTTAATCTTATGTTCAAAGCTTTAAGCTTGAGATTTTAAAAGTTTAAACAAAAATTCAATATACTTTATTTGGAAATTTGATCTCAGTTTCTATTTGCAAGTTATTGAATTCTTTTTCACTTGAGAAAATTACTAAATCTCTCCTTCACTGTCTGGGAAACTGAAAACCAAAAATTGTTGTTTTGCTCCCTCCCTGAAGGCTCTTAAAAGGCAGCCAGTGAGTGCTATGTTTCAAACCACAGTGGTCTGAAGGGGCTGTTTATCTGCCTTTGTTGGAATGGAAACTAAAAGCATTTTGATTAATGGATTCAAAGTTTGCATAGTTTATTCTGATTTTAGAACTAAATCCAGGATTATTTATGAAAAACACTTATTTAAAATTAGTTTTTAAAATTGATCAGAAAGTGGTGACAGCTATTATTTAGATGTAAACACACACACTACAGGCACTTCAGAAAAATAGTAAAATAGAGACTCAGGACTTCTCAATGTGTTTTTATTCCTAAGAGTGAGATCTCAGGATAAATATAGAACAAATTATGGTTAGAGGTTAGGAGATTTAGAATGGACCCATTGCTTTCAGGGATGCACTTCTGACATCAAATATCACAGATTCTGAAGTGTAGCTTTCCTGTTTTCATCTGTGTAGGCTACGTTTAGTAAAACACAAATTCAGGAACTATTTATAATCTGTATAATTTTCTAACCTGCTTATAGGCAACAAATGTGAAAATAGACAAATGGGAATAAATAAAACTAAAAAGTGTCTTCAGAGCAAAGGAAACAATCATTAGAGTGAAGAGACAACCTACGATGGGAGAAAATATTTGCAAGCCATACATTTGATAAGGGGTTAATATCAAAAATATATAAGGAACTCAATAGCAAGAAGACAACCCCATTAAACAGTGGGCAAAGGGCCGGGCACGGTGGCTCACGCCTGTAATCTCAGCACTTTGGGAGGCTGAGGCAGGTGGATCACCAGAAGTCGAGAGTTCGAGATCAGCCTGGCTAACATGGTAAAACCCTGTCTCTACTAAATATACAAAATTAGCTGGGTGTGGTAGTGCACACCTGTAATCCCAGCTACTTGGGAAGCTGAGGCAGGAGAATTGCTTGAACCCAGGAGGTGGAGGTTGCAATGAGCCAGGATCAAGCCACTGCATTCCAGCCTGGGCAACAGAGTGAGACTCGGTCTCCAAAAAAAAAGTGGGCAAAGGACTTGTTGTGGTTTAAATGTTTGTATTCTCTTCATAATTCATGTTGAAACTTTATCCCCAATGCAACAGTATTAAGAGGTGGGGCCTTTAGCCACCTTTAGCGTGTGATTAGGACACAAGGACAGAGATGAATGCCCTTATAAAGGAGCTAGAGGGAATCAGTCAGGCCCGTTTGCTCTTCTACCCTTCCACCATGTAAGGACACAGCATTTGCCCTCTCTGGAGGATGCAGCGACAAGGCACTAACTTGGAGACCAAATCTCTCACTGGACAACAGCCTACAGTGCCTTGATCTTGGACTTTCCAGCCTCTAGAACAGTGAGAAATAAATTTCTGTTCTTTTTTTTTTTTTTTTTTTTTTTTTTGAGATGAAGTCTCACTCTGTTGCTCAGGCTGGAGTGCAGTGGCACGATCTCGTCTCACTGCAACCTCCTCCTCCTGGGTTCAAGCAATTCTCCTGTCTCAGCCTCCCAAGTAGCTGGGACTACAGGTGCACACCACCACGTTCGGCTAGTTTTTGTATTTTTAGTAGAGATGGGGTTTCACCATATTGACCAGGCTGGTCTTGAACTCCTGACCTCAGGTGATCCACCCACCTTGGCCTCCCAAAGTGCTGGGATTACAGGCATGAGCCACTGCGCCCGGCCAATTTCTGTTCTTTATAAAATGCCCACTCTAAGGGATTTTGTTATGGTAGCAGGAATGGACTAAGAACCTCAATACACATTTCTCAAAAGATGACCTACAAATGGCCAAGAGATATATGAAAAAATGCTCAATATCATTAGTCATCAGACAAATGAAGTCTAGGACCATGGTGAGATATTGCCTCATAACTATTATCAAAAAGATGAAAGAGGTGTTGGCAAGAATGTGGAGGAAAGGGAGCATTTGCACACTGATGGTGGGCATGCAAATAGCACAGCCATTATGGAAGATGGTATGGAGGTTCCTCAAAATATTAAAAATGGAACTACCATATGATCCAGCAATCCCAATACAGGGCATGTACCCAAAGAAATGAAGTTAGTTTGTTATCTACAGTCCCATGTTCATTGAATGCAGTTTTGTTACTGCATCTATAGTTTCTTGCTCTGCGGACAAAGTGAGAAAGTCATCACGTTCAGCAGCTGTGTTATCATTTATACCACTATGTCTCAAGCAGGTTAGAAAATTATTATTTTTTCTCTTTCCAGCATAGTACCTAGCCCATTGTGAGTCCTAAAGAGTGATCAGGCTTTGAGAAGCATCTTGCTCACTTTATTCTATGATTTCTAAGTGCTGTGCTAACTGAACACTAAAGAACCGTAAAATGATTGCTTTTTAAATTGTGTGGTCATTCAAAGATAGTATGTCATATTTTAAAATGTTATTTGAAATTTATATTTATTATTATTAGAGATGGGGGTCTCACTATGTTGCCCAAACTCCTGGGATCAAAGGATCCTCCTGCCTCAGCCTCCCAAGCAGTAGGGACTATAGGCACACACAACTATGCCTAACTGTATATTGTATTTTAAAAATCAGTTTATGAGGCTGGGCGCGGTGGCTCACGCCTGTAATCCCACCACTTTGGGAGGCCAAAGCGGGTGGATCACGAGGTCAGGAGTTTGAGACCAGCCTGACCAACATGGTGAAACCCCGTCTCTACTAAAAATACAAAAGTTAGCCAGGTGTGGTGGCGGGCACCTGTAATTCCAGCTAGTCAGGAGGCTGAGGCAGGAGAATCGCTTGAACTGGGGAGGTGGAGCTTGCAGTGAGCCGAGATGGCACCACTGCACTCCAGCCTGGGTGACAGAGCAAGACTCCTTCTCAAAAAAAAGGAAAAAGAAAAAAAATCAGTTTATATACAACTCTTCAAATACTAATGGCACACAAGGATATACTTATATTCTTTTCAAATAAACTACTCTTCAAGTATCCTAATAGCACATCTTATTTCAGTATTACAATTTATATTAACTATCTATACATACATCCTTTTACATATATACATAGTTTATGTTTGTTTCACATATATTTACGTATACTTCACCCATCGCCCTACCTAGACTGAACAACACTTGAAAATACAGATCATGTGTTTTTCTTATTCTTCTTTTTTTTTTCCCCCTTGGCTTATAGCTTCTTACAAGACCTTGTAGAGTCTTGTAGAGTTACTCGCCTCATATATGGTGAGTAAGTGTTGTTTCCTGATTAAATGACCAGGAAAAACTCTTCAAATGTATAAAAGGTCATTGCAGCATCAGAACTGCAATTGTGCTTCCTCTATTGTGGACAAGAAATAATACTGCTAAGTGAAAGAAGAGAACAATCGGGTTAAATTTCAGGTAATACTTGCTAGCAGTTAGGTTATTGAAACATCTGTACAACAATTTGTATGGGACAGGAAGAAAGCAAGCATCTATTGAGCATTTATGGTGCATGGAGCTTGTTATGCATTTGTTTTTATGGAATTCTCAATAAAGAATTAGAAAGTCCTTATTATCATTGTTGCCATTTTACAGACAAGGAAACGAAAGTTCAGAGGGACTACATAACTTGCCCATGTTCATTTAGCTAGAAAATGGTTAGAATTCAAACCCAGGTCTTTGGACTCCAAAGCTATGACAGTAGGCTGTCTCCAGCTTAGATGATGTTATAGCACCCAATAACATAATGTGAAGATAGCATTGCTCTGTCTTGCAAGAAAGTTTTTAGAAAAAGTCTTTTGGCTTGGATTTTTTTTTTTCAGTTGTGAATGCTTCCCAGTTTTTCCCATGTTCCTTCATAATAGCCCCCATGTTTCTAGAAGAAAATTTAATGTCAGTAATTAATCTCTATAAAATGTCTTAATTTCACAAAGTACATTTTATTTTAGCCAGAAGACAAGCAGCAGGATCCAGGATAGCAAGTAATAAAGTACCCCCCTGCACCCCGCCGATTTAAAGCCCCTTGACACATTCTACAACATGGATGAACCTTGAAAATATGCTAAGTGACATAAGCCAGATACGGAAAGACAAATTTGTATGATTCCACTTATATGAGGTACCTAGAATAGGCCAATTCATGGAGACAGAAAGTAGATTAGAGGTTACTAGGGGCTAGGGGAGTGTGGGGAGGGAAGATGGGCAGTTATTGTTCAGTGGGTCCAGAGCTTCCCTTAGGGATGATAGAGAAGTTCTGGAAATGGATGGCGGTGATGGTGGTGCAACTATATGAATGTATTTAATGCTGACAAGCTGTACACTTAAGGAGGGTTAAGACGGTAAATTTTGTTTTGTATATTTTACCACAATAAAAATATGACCAAAAAAGGAAATATACAGATGACTATAGTATGACTGTAATACTATATAAGGGCCATAAAAACAAAGCATATCATAGGCAACTGCGGTAGGGATAAATAATGAATTAAGAAATGGAGCTGCATACACACACAAAGGCACCTTGACACTTTAGGAATTTGGCTGTGGATAAGCATGATAAATGGTACACTTCTTTCACACTAAGAGGGAAAGCCTCTGTTCTATCAGGGTTCTATGAAAATTTTGTGTCTTTTTTTTGTTCCCCAGCCTGGAGTGCAGTGGCGTGGTCACAGCTAACAGCAGCCTCGACTTCCCTGGGCTCAAGTGATCCTCCCATCTCAGCCTCCTGAATAGCTGGGACTAAGGTGTGCGCCACACAGCCCACTCATTTTTGTTTTTGTAGGGATGGGGTTTCGCCATGTTGCCCAGGCTGGTCTCGAACTCCTGGGCTCAAAGCAATCCCAAAGTGCTGGGATTACAGGCATGAGCCACTGCACCCAGCTAAAAATTCTATGTCTTATTTTCAGTTGACAAAGATCCAGGGCCAAATATATGGTAGCATTAGAACTGGAGGTAGCAAGGTAGGGACATGTCTGAGTAGTAATGGCAGAAATTGCCCTGGGAGGTTAAGACAATACTAATGACAGGGAGCAGGAGACCTGAACATCATTCAGTGAGCTGGATTCATGGGCTGCTATGGGGCAACAGGGAGTTTCCTGACCACACATTCCCAGGGTGCTTATAGCTGTGGCAAATGCTACAGTTTCTACAATCTTAATATAGGGCTTAATATCTCAGAGCAGATGGACTGCTTCATTTGTCTGTAAGGCAAATTTGGTTCAAAACTTAAAATGCAGATATTTCATTTTCTTTAGAAGAATTATTCTCCTACCTCCCAGATTTTCTCCAGCTGTTCAAGGATGTTGGAAACCCCAGGAAACAAAGGTTGACCCTGGAACATTTCAATAAAGATGCAGCCTGCACCCCTAGCAAATGAAATAAGAGTAAATTGACACTTTGAAAGAAATCATACAAGCGAAACTGAACTACTAGAATTTCTCTTCCCAAGAAATATTTTAGGGAGAGTTAAATACGGACCACATGATATTAAAAGTCTTGGGCCAAAAAAAAAGTCCCTATGTCAAACAAAATAAGAACAGCCCACAGCTTTTTATTAAAATGGAACACCACGAGCAGCAGTTAGGAAAGCAGTAGAGTTAGCAAACATTGTAGATCATTCAAGCTCATTATCTGTTTTAGGAGAAGAGGGGAAAGTACTGTATCCCCAAATTTCATTTCATCCCCACTTTTCATTGAGTCTAAGATGCTATCATTGTAAGAAGCGTCATTGGTTTTTTGCCATTAAGACAAAAAAATGCAAGTTAAACTATGACATGATCAGAATGTTCATTTTATACTTATTGAAAGGGCTGTTATAAATTTAATTAAATAGAGATTATTTTCTCATATAGCATACTTGTACACGAAAAAGAGAAACATTAAGCAAAATAAATTGGTTTCGGTATTCCTAAAACTTTTTCACATTCAGCATTTGACTCAGACTCTTTGATGTCTACACTTACCCATGTATCATCCTCTATATTAAGAATTTGATGATGCAGCATTTCTTAAAATAATCCATAAAACAACAGAGAGTCATTGGTCCTGGGCTCCTAAGCTGGCCTTGCAGTTATGTAGTGTTAGCTTACTTTTGACTCCTGCTTAAAGAATGTTGCTAAACATGTCTGATTTACTCCTTCTCCACAACCATTTGGTTCCTAGGAGTTTAAAAAAAAAAAGAAAAAAAAAGGACTTTTCTTTGCAGAATTTTCTTCCAAGTCGCTGACACCAATTCTGCAATTTTTTTTTTTTTTTTGGTGGAATCTTGGTCTGTCGCCCAGGCTGGAGTGCAGTGGTGCGATCTCAGCTCACTGCAACCTCCGCCTCCCAGGTTCAAGCGATTCTCCTGACTTAGCCTACCAAGTAGCTGGGATTACAGGCACCTGCCACCATGCCTGGCTAATTTTTGTATTTTTAGTAGAAACGTGATTTCACCATCTTGGCCAGGCTGGTCTTGAATTCCTGACCTCAAGTGATCCACCCACCTCAGCTTCCCAAAGTGCTGGGATCACAGGTGTGAGCCACTGTGCCTGGCCATTCTGCACGTTTTGATGCTGGCTCATTTGATGTTCACACATGTGCAATTCTAACTACAGTCACAACTGCAGCCTGGCTGACTTATATTGTTAGATGCTACTGATTATAAGGTGCATCCTGATTTAATGGGAAATGTTCATCTTTAAATAGATTAAACAGTGAAATGTAAATTTTCTTTCATACATGGTCAAGCTGAAGGATAATTAGAGAGGGACAGGAAGGAGTAAGATTTATTTTGCTAATAAATCTTAGCAAAAATCAGATTTTTATTCTCATAAGTCTTTTGAGTATTAAAAGTGGTTCAGGTGACTGATTACAGAGACTATCCCCATGGCCCCATACTTCTCTCTCTCTCTCTCTCTCTTTTTTTTTTTTAACCGCAAACCTCTTTCACTATACCACATAATTTTGCAAACTCTCTTAATCATTTTGCCATTTTTGTGTGGCATGATAAAGAACGAAATTTAAGTAAAACATTTTATCGTAGATAATATTATTAAAAATTTATTATCAAGTTTATTTTAAAATATGGTCCTTAATATTATTCATATGTGTTTATTACATATTTTTACTTTTTCCATCTGACTGCAGACATATGGTCTTTTTTTTTTTTTTTTTTTAATACAGATGGGGTTTCGCCATGTTGTCCAGGCTGGTCTTGAAATTCTGGGCTCAAGCAATCTGCCTGCCTAGGCCTCCCAAAATGCTAGGACTACAGATGTGAGCCACTGTGCCTGGCCTGACAAACACTGTTTAGATTACTTTTCATTGATTGTGTAGGAGAAAACAGATTTCTTGACGATCAAGTTTAAAAATTGCTTTGTGTCTGGTTTGGGAACAGAATACATATTAAAAGAAAGACTGAAATTTATTTGTATCTTATCCTGTAAAAATATACAAAAACCCTTTTCATAATCAAATATTTGGTTTTAGCTTAACTGACTGGCTTGTTCTTAGAGTTTTGTTTAAAAAATGATATCAGACTGAGCTTTGCAAGCAGGTTTTTCCTCCAGCAAGCAACAGGTTGTTTTTATTGCCAATTTTTTTTTTTCTTTTTTTTTGAGACAGGGTCTCACTCTGTCACTCAGGCTGGAGTGCAGTGGTGCAATCTCAGCTCACTGCAACCTCCACCTCCCAGGTTCAAGTGATTCTCCTGCCTCAGCCTCCTGAGTAACTGGGATTACAGGCATGCACCAGCATGCCTGGCTAATTTTTGTATTTTTAGTACAGACAGGGTTTCACCATGTTCGCCAGGCTGGTCTCAAACTCTTGGCCTCAATTGATCCGCCTGCCTCAGCCTTCCAAAGTGCTGGAATTACAGGTGTGAGCCACCACACCCGGCCTTATTGCTGATTTTTAAAAAGCCAATTTGGATATAACAGCCCCATTTTATTCTTTTTCTTTTCTAATTTTTTTAATAGAGATGGGATCTCACTGTGTTGCCCAGGCTGGTCTTGAACTCCAAACCTCAAGCAATCCTCCTGCCTTGGCCTCCCAAAGTACTGGGATTACAGGTGTGAGCCACCACACGCTTGGCCTATTTTTTCTTTTCTACTGATTTCTGCTGTATAAGAAACATCTTGATATGTGACACAAGAATTTTGATCAGATAAATGTAACTTATGAATTTGGTAAAGTATCTTGAGGTAAATTTGTAGAATTATTATTATTTTAAAGTTCCTCATTAACTTGTATTTAAATATCCATGTTCTTTTTGTCTCCTGTCTTTAAAACAAGAGATACTAAGGGTGTAAATGAAACAATATATGAAGGCAAATAAAAGTGATGGAAAACTGTCAAATGCTTAAAAACACCCTGGTTGCTAGCAATGGTCCACTAAGAGATAAGCCAACTGAGAAACCTAGTTAGTGGGCACCACCAAATGGTCTCCACCCTGCCCCCCATGACTTCGCCACATGCACTTTCTTGAAAGGCCTCAGACCATTTTGTTTTGGAGTAAAAATAAATACGTGTCTGTGTATATAAAATACATGCATAATTGGGTTATTACTTGGTTATAAAAGAGAAATGGAAATGTATTGGCTTTTAAAGGCATGAACTAACCCTCTATCCAGTTCCCAAACACCTTCCAGAAACCCCAGGAGCTCACAAACCACTAGAAGGATTGAAAATATTTTAAACAAGTTTCAAAAAATGACATTCCTAGGTTTAAACCTGTAATTCACTTTCTTTTCTCCCCCAAAAAGCCTTCCATTGCCTGGAAGAAGCTTGTTGCCTTTTCATGGTGTGTTTTCATACTTAACAGCTGTAGGGAACCAAGAAGTCATTTTGTTACACAATTCCTTAGTGTCCTTTATCTTCTATACCACTAAACTTGTATACAAAATTATGTAAAATATATTGGCAAAAACTAGAGCATTCAGGCCATTACGTAAGTACCATAAAGTAACACAAGATGTTTGTGTTCCAGAGATAAAATGCCAATATTTGGTTTATATGGTTGAAATTCTCCATTTGCATTTTGGGGAAGGTTGAAACCTTCCTCATCTAACAAATCTAAGTCTAAGGTTACTCATTTATATACACGCACATGCACACACACTATGTATATAGTGTGTGTATGTGTGCACTTGTGCAAGTCTTTAGAACACTTATAAGACAAAATTCCTAAATCAATTTTATTTCAGTACATGGACTATCCATAGGTACTGTAAATATCAATGCATTGATAACAAAACAAGCCCACACTGTAAGTTTGAAAGGTGACAGATCTGTTCTAGGTGTAAGCATTGTAATCCTAGCACTTTGGGAGGCCGAGGCGGGCAGATCATGAGGTCAGTTCGAGACCAGCCTGGCCAACATGGTGAAACCCCGTCTCTACCAAAAATCCAAAAATTAGCCGGGTATGGTGGTGTGTTCCTGTAATCCCAGCTACTCAGGAGGTTGAGGCAGGAGAATCACTTGAACCGGGGAGTTGGAGGTTGCAGTGAGCCGACATCGCACCACTGCACTCCAGCCTGGGCGACAGAGCCAGACTCCATCTAATAAAAAAAAAGAACTATGCAATTTATCTTATTTTTTCATTTCTGTTCAGAACTGTTTCTTTTTTTTAATTTGCTTCTTACCCTTAGGAATACAAGTCATGTGGCTATCATCTATTTTGCCCACCACAGACTATTCTTAAAGCAAACATTTTAAATATTCTGAACATTCAAGTCCAGATAGGGAACCAGCTTCTATTTCCTTTTATTTTTCTGTTTTGTCCTTAAATCTTCATTCCTGGGGCTCCTCTTACCCTACATATCTTTAAGCTTCTCTGAGGATTTCTGCTGTGTGGAGATACCCGTGGGGCAGCCCGTGTAGACGAAGGGGAAATTCATATGCAGGGGAGAAAAGACCCTGTGACATCAAACATTAAACCCTTCCAGAAGGGAGAGATGTGCTGGGTCATTTTATTGTTCCAAATGTGGTTCTTCAGTCAAGTTAGAGGAAACTGCTTAGATGTTTTCTCCTCTTTCTGGTTCTCCTCCTACTTTTTCTCTATTCTGAGCATGAACAAATTCTTCCATAAGAGGGGGAAAGATTCCTCAGATTCCTTAGGCAGTCCCTGGAGAAAAAAAATCCATCTCGGGAGTTTTAGGCTTTTTGGAGGTGCAAGGAGAATATCAAAATGTTGTTGGGAGAAATGAATCAGTATTTCATTTCTTACTGTTGAAGTTAATTCAGAATAACGTAATATATGGCAGTGACATGACATTCTCACTTGCTTTTCTCTAGACCACCCTTTTTATATTTGGAAGTTTGCAGCGAGAAATGTGACAGTAAATGATCTGTTAGGCAGAGACAACTTTCTCTAGTCCTAACACCAGCAGCTGCCTGAAACTGATACTGAATAGATGACCTTGTGTACTGAAATAAATGCTTCTGGAAAACTCAGTGTACTACGACATGGATGAACCTTGAAAATGTTATGCCAAGCAAAACAAGCTAGACACAGAAGAGGTATTGTAGGATTCCACTTTTATATGAGGTACCAAGAATAGTCAAATTCATCAAGATAAAAAGCAGAATCGTGGTTACCAGGGACTGAGGAGAGGGGGTAATGGGAAATTATCATTTAATACGTGCAGAGTTTGAGTTTGGGATGATGAAAAGTTCTGGAGATGGACAGTGGTGACGGTTACACAACAATGTGAATGTACTGAATGCCACTGAATTGTACACCTGAAAATCGTGATGAATGGTAAATTTTATGTATATTTTAACACAATACAAAAAACTAAAAACCACACCATTTAATAATCCTAAAATATTGCATTTTTCTCACTAAAGTCACTAATGGAATCTTTTAAGGTCTGAAAAGGTAGCAGAAAGAGAGAGAAGAAAAGACGTCAGAAGATGAGAGAATGTTGGTTGGGAGCTTTGGGAATAACCAATATGTCCTAGTTGCAAGTTTTCCATAATTAACTAGAGCCCCTGTTTATTTGCTCTGGCCCCCTACTGACACTGCTGCCACCAGGCCTCATTGTGAAGGAGAGGCTCTGCACTACGGGTTATAATTGGTTTCTTTAAGACAAATGCACTAATGCTGACCCAGTGTCATCTACCTCCTACAAGGGCATTCACTTTGGACCCTATGGGGTTGCATGGCCTAGCAGAATAGGATTATTCTTTCTTTTTCATTCTTTGTCAACTGGAAATCTTCTCCCTTCTCACTTCCCCTCTTATCACTCTGAAAAGAAAAAGAAAAAAATGGGAGGAGAGGGATCTCAGTGTAAATACCCAAGGTCTAGCAATTACTTTGAGGGTAAACAAATATAGTGAGCTCAATGGAAGATGCATATTGTTCTATTTCTACATTACATTTTTAGTTTTACCAGGAAAACAACAATCAAATGGAATGAATAAGAGTAATAACAATAATTTTGACTTATAACTGCATTTTTATATTGTGTCATTGTTGCTCATGGTTAAATTCATGAAACACTTATTCATAGAATAACATACATTTTTGTATATGTGGTAAAAAGGTAAGAGATATAGGTTGATGCAAAAGCAACTATGGTTTTGCCATTACTTTTAATGGCAAAAACTGCAATTACTTTTGCACCAACCTAATACATAGTTTAAGAGAGACTTAAAGAACTGGTAGATGAGCTGAAGAAATTACCCAGAATGCATCACAGAAAGTTAAGGAAATGGAAAATATGAAGGAGAGAAGAGAAATGGATAACAGAAGAATGTGGTCTAATAGTCTTTCATTGGAGCTCTACAGAGAGAGAATAGAATAGAGTCAATATTCAAAAAGAAAATGGCTGATGAAAGACATGAATTCACAAATGGAAGAAACACAAGATATACCAAACAGGGTAAGTAAAAAGAAATCCACACTGGACACCTCCTAGAGAAAACTGCATAATCATAAAGGCAAAGAAAAAAGTCTTTAAAACATCCAGAGAAAATGAGATCACCTGCAAAAGGAAGATAATAAGGCTAAAAGCAAACTCCTCGACAGCAACAATGGAAGACAAAGAAGGGGAATGACATCTTCAAAGTTCTGAGAGAAAATAACTGTCAGTCTAGAATCACATCCCCAACAAAACCACCTTTCAATAATTAGGGTTTATCTTCTGAAAACAAAAACGAAGAATTTGCCACCAGCAGGCCTACACACACACAAACAAAACAAAACACTCTAAAAGATGTATTTCAGGAGAAATGAAAATTATTCTGAAAGTGGTAACTAAAGTGTACAAAGGAATAATGAGCAGTCTTAAATTTATTTGCCCTTAGTGAAAATAGCTTCAAAGCATATAAAGCAAAAGTGGATAGAATTCTGACAAATCAACAATATAGTGAATGAGTTCAACACACCTTTCATTGGTAGGTTAAAAAGACAAAAATAATATAAAGAAGATTTGGATAATATAATTAGCAACCTTGAATTTTTGAACATATGTAAAAATGGGTACTTGGCCAGGCGCGGTGGCTCATGCCTGTAATCCCAACACTTTGGGAGGCTGATCACCTGACATCTAAAGTTCGAAACCAGCCTGGCCAACATGGCGAAACTCCGTCTCTACTAAAACTACAAAAATTAGCCGGGTGTGATGGTGTGCTCCTGTAATCCCAGCTACTTGGGAGGTTAAGGCAGGAGAATCGCTTGAACCCAGGAGGTGGAGGTTGCAGTGAGCCGAGGTTGAGTCACTGCATTCCAGGCATGGAGACAGAGTGAGACTCTGTCTCAAAAAAAACAAAAACAAAAACAAAAACAAAAAAAAAACCCCAGCAGCACTCAACAATTGGGTGGACACACACATTCTTCTCAAACACACATGAAGAAATTACAAACACTGATCACATATTAGGCTAGTGCTGTCTTACACTAACTTTGATGAAACAGCAAGGATTTCGCAATTTGGAGGCAACTTTTAATCTTGAAATAATTTCAAACTTATAGAAAAGTTGCAGCAGTATAAAGAACTCTCTTATATCCTCCAAACAGGTTCATCCATCGCCAATATTTTGTCACTTTTGTTTCGTTATTTTATCTATCTATCTGTCTGTCTGTCTGTCTGTCTGTCTATATCTTTTCTGAAACATTAGGGAGTAAATTGTAGATATCATGACTCTTCATCCCTAAATAATTATGTTGGTATTTTCTGAGAACCAAAGTATCCTCTTACATAACAACAGTGCAATTATCAAAATCAGGAAATTTAACATTCATCCAATACCCCTATCTAATCCACAGTCCCTACTGAAATTTCACCTATAGTCCCTACAGTATTCTTTAGAGCACCATCTCCCCCAAGATCCAATCTAGGACCATGCATTACATTTAGTTGGCAGGTTTCTGGAGTCTCCTTTAATCTGGAACAGTTCCTCAGTCTTTATCTTTTAAAATCTTGACACTTCCAATAAGTACAGGTCAGTTACTCTGTAGAATGTCCCTTAAACTAGGTTTATCTGATGTATCCTCATGAAGAAGATGAATAGGCTGGGAGACTTGGCCTACAAGGTATCAAGTATTATTGCAAAGCTATAGACATTAAAAAAAATGAAATATTCACTAACAGAAAATAAAGTATAGCTAAACAGATCAACATGGATGAATCTTAGAAACATGTAACATATTGAATGAAACAAAGCCAAGTCACAGAAGACTAGAAGCAATATAACATCATGGCTGAGGCAGGAGAATGGCGTGAACCTGGGAGGCGGAGCTTGCAGTGAGCTGAGATCGCACCACTGCACTCCAGCCTGGGCGACGAGCGAGACTCCGTCTCAAAAAAAAACAACCCTTAAAATCAAGTAAAACAAAAAAATATTTTTAAGAATACCTCTAAAATGTAAAAGGATTATTTTTAAAAAGATATGAGAATACTGATGAAAAAAGGAAAAAAAATTTTGGTAGAAGGCCTTCTAGTGGAGGGGCAGGTTGATGGGAAAGGGACACAGTTGATAGGACAGTACGGATTATGTTCTAGTTGTTACACTGGGTAGCAGGTTATGAAGTTCACGTTATTAAGCTTCTTAATTGGTTGGGCACGGTGGCTTATACCTGTAATCCCAGCAGTTGGGAAGGCCAAGGCAGGAGGATCTCTTGAAGCCAGGAGTTTGAGACCAGCATGGGCAACAAAGTGAGACTCTGTCTCTACACTTTTTTTTTTTTAATTAGCCAGGTGTGGTGGCACACACCTGTATTCCCAGCTACTCAGGAGGCTGAGGCAGGAGGATCACTTAAACCCAGGAGTTGGAGGCTGCAGTGAGACAATCTCACCTCTGTACTCCAGCCTGGGCAACCAAGGGAGACCCTGTCTCTAAAAGTAAATTAAGCTTCTTAACCTACATCGGCTTTCTTAATCTTGATACTACAGATGTTTTGGGTTGGAAAAATCTTTGTTGCAGGGGCTGTCCTCTGCACTGTAGGATGTTTAGCAGTATCCCTGGTCTCTACCCACTAGATGCCAGTGATACCCCCCACCACCCCACCCCCAGCTGTGAAAACAAAAAATGTTTCCAGACATTGCCAAATGTCCCCTGCAGAGCAAAATTGCTCCCTGGTTGAGAATCACTGATCTACATATATGTTATATATACTCTTGAATGTTTTAACTATTCCATAATAAAATTAGTTTAAAATTGACGGGTAGAAGTTTCACTCTGTGAAACATAATCAGGAAGACATCATTAAGAGCTGAGTAAGCCAGAGCCTGCCGGAGTCCTTTGAAGTGACAGTGCTGAGCGGTGTGAGCTGACAGTTTCAGGAGGGTTTTGACTAGCAGATGATATTTCTATAAATTGTACTGGGTATCAGAAATCAATGACTCTACACTGGAGAAAAATGTCTGCAACCTTTCTTAATTCTTTGGGAGATCTAAAAGCTTAGTTTAGCCTTTTAGGACACCATTTAATTTTTTAAAATCAATTATGGATTTTTGAAAATGGGGCTTTGTGTTTTTATATAAACCCTTTCTTCCAAGGTACTGAAAGAGATTCATATATTTCCTTACCTTTGGGGAGTTGTCTACGTCTGTAAAGTCATCACATATCTAACAGTGGCCCCCAAATGACTGGGAAGTCTCCAGGAACATGATCCAGAGAAAATAACACTGCCGTTCTAGGATGATGCATGTCTGACAGCCCATGCTCACTATTGTAACCCATTAACCTTAGAGCCTCCCCAACTCTGTGGCTTTACTTGATAGCACCTATCTGGATTCTTTCCTTCTTTCCTTCCTTCCTTCCTTCCTTCCTTCCTTCCTTCCTTCCTTCCTTCCTTCCTTCCTTCCTTCCTTTCCTTCCTTCCTTCCCTTCCTCCCTCCCTCCCTCCCTCCCCACCTCTCCCCCCTCTCCCCTTCTCCCCCTCTCTCCCCCTCTCCCTTTCTCCCCCTCTCCCTCTCCTTCTCTTTTCCTTTCTTTCTCTCTCTCTCTCTCTCTCTGTTTCTTTCTTTCTTTCAGACGGGGTCTCGCTCTGTAACCCAGGCTGGATTGCAGGGGTACCATCAAAACTCACTGCAGCCTCAATTTCTCAGGCTCAGGAGATCCTCCTACTTCAGCCTCCTGAAGTGTTTAATTAGCCATCATGCCTGACTAATTTTTTTGAAAAATGTAGAGACAGCATCTCACTGTGCTACCCAGGCTGATCTTAAACAACTGGGCTGAAGCAATCGATCCTCCAGCCTTGGTCTCCCAAAGCGCTGTGATTACAGGCATGAGACGGCAAGCCCAGCCACCTATTTGGTTCTTATATTTGTACTACAATTCCATTTAACTCAGATGGAGAGAGTTTATTACCTTCATTTTTAAAAATGGAGAAACATAGACACAGAGAGGATACATGACTTTTTCAAGATAACAGAATCCAGAGTTAATTGATTAGAAATCGAACTGGCATGAAAATCAGGTGTCTTGAAGCTTGGTCTTTATGCTTTTTTTTTTTTTTCCTAAACCAGGCTCTGAACTACGTTTGGACATGTGTGAGTATGTTCATGCAGATGTGTGTGCATGCACATGCACGTGCACACACATCTGTGTGTCTGTGGTTTGGGGATATATGTTTGTTTCTCTGTGGATAAGGTGTCAAGGAGAAGACAAGGCAAAGGATTAAAGAGAGGAGCTAGGAGGAAAGGCGTGAAAGAAAGAGCATGAGATTGCCAGGGTGCAGTGGTGCAGCCCTATAGTCCCAGCTACTCAAGAGGCTGAAGTGGGAGAACTGCTTCAGCCTGGGAGCTCAAGACCAGCCTGGACAATATAGCAAGACCCCAATCTCAAAAAATAAAATAACATAAAAAGAGTGTCAGATTCAGAAGATGCCTTGGGCAGGAACTCTGTGGGTCTCAGTTCAACAGTAAAAGGTTATAGAATAATTGCAAGAATCTTCTACAAATATTAGTATTTTTTTAGTAGAGCTACTCAGAAGGCTGAGGCAGGAGAATTGCTTGAATCTGGGAGGTGGAGGTTGCAGTGAGCTGAGATCGTGCCACTGCACTCCAGCCTGGGCAATAGAGTGAGACTCCATCTCAAAAAAAAAAAATACATATATATATATATAAAAAAATATATATAATATATAAATATATAAATATATAAAATATATATAATATATAAATATATAAAATATATAATATATATAAATATATAAATATATATAAATATATAAATATATATAAATATAAATATATATAATATATATATAAATATATATAAAATATATATAAATATATAAAAATATAAAAATATAAATATATATAAATATATAAAAATATATAAATATATAAATATATACAAATATATATAAATATATAAATATATAAAATATAAATATATAACTATATAAATATATATAAAATATATAAATATAAATATATATAAAAATATATACGTGATTGCCATTTTTAGAATTATTATTAAAATATAATGTAGATGATAAAGCAACCCTCGTGAGTAGGATGACTCACATTTTCTCGGCACCACTCTTACCATATGTCCAGCTCAGAGGAATATTCAGTGGCTCCCAGCAAAGCATCAGGGGGCCGGTACCAGAGGGTCACGACTTCTGAAGAGTATGTCTGGCTGGGAATGGACTTGGCCCGGGCAAGACCTGTCCAAAAGGGAAAAGCATAAAACCCATCGTTCTGGACCTTGGCTTGCACCATGATGCACTGGACCAGGGTAAACACCATTAGAAAAAATAACACACAAACTTTAGGTGCTTTTAGTAGAACTAATCACTATCTTGACTCTTGTCTATCACTTCATCAAGTGAATTTCTCAAATTTTGGCCTGCTTTGCAGCTAGATGTGGCCTTCTTGGCAGCTGGGTGTGGTCAGGTGACTAAGTTCTTGCCTATATGATATGAACAGAGGTGATGTGTGAACTTCCAGATTATGCCTTAGTGGAGGGGTTAAGGGTTCTGCTTCCCTTTTCTCCCTCCTCTGGGCTGTGATGAGCAGGAAGTGGCAGCCATCTTGAAACATACAATTGGGGATGGAGGAGCCACGTGACAGAAGCAGCCTGGGCCAAGATAGCATGGGGCCACCATACATGCTCTGCCTGCTTAGGTCAGGACTGTGATGCGAAAGAAAGTTAAGTTTCTAGCATGTTATACCTCTGTAATTTTGGGTCTCTGTAACAGAAACTGAGCTGTTCATGACTAACATGGCCACCTTCCGTTTTGGCACTCCAGGAAAGCCCAGTTTAGTAGATAAACGGTAGGGACTGCTCATCCAAATTAATTAGTTTGGTAGGACCTTAGATGAATTTCTAAGTACTGTTCTGCAAAATGAGTCTTTCTGTCAGTCAGCTGTTTATCTCACAGAATTGCATGATCTATTGTTGGGAAAAACTTCAATAGATGAGTTTGCTATTGTGGAGAATTGATAAACAAATATCTGTTAAATGCTTACATGTCAGGATAAAAGCTGCCATCTCAGAATAAATACTGCAGTGATAGTATCACCATTTGGCATCTGCCAAACAGAGAAGAGTGGTTCCTTAGCTCACATAGAGCCAGTTTTTCAACAAGTACTTATTAAGCACCTACTATGGTACCAGGCACTAAGGATAAAATGATAAGCAAAAACAAACCCAGGCTGCCCTCATTATGCTTACAGTCCAGTTGAGACAAAATCATCACGCAAATCTATATATATTTGTGTGTGGGGGTGTGCTCACACATGTATATATATTTGTATGTATGCATGTATGTATTTATGTGTGTGAATATAATTATAAACTGCGATAAGTGCTAAAATGGAAGGATACAGTGATACTTAGAGGAAATCTGCTTCACTTTAATGGGAATAAAACTTTGCATCTCACACTTATATAAAGAAGGTAGGAGAGCAGGAACAAGTGTCCTGGAGTCTCCATCCTGACAGGAGTCCATGCTACAATCTGGGGTTAACCTCTTTATCATCTTGGGATAATCTCAATCTATTCCAATATAATTTGTATATTCACTTAGATTTAGGAAAACTTACTAAGTACAGTTTACTCTACCAATGTCTCTATATCAAAACTGGCAGTGGGGCAGCAAGGGTGCCCAGCTTTTGGCCATCTGACTAAACTGGGACTTGGTGGAATCCTAGAAAGCTACCAATCCCTCCCTGTTTCGTGCCTCACACTTCCTTTGTGGTAGTTTGATATCCTCACAAAGCATCATGTTCTTGGGCCTCCAGTTTTCAAAGGCCAGGCCCAGTCAACGCTTAAACAAGTGCACACAAAAGCATCATTGTTCACAGCCCAGAATGAGACCCGAGGGGCGACTTACCAAAATCAGCCAGTTTGAGCTCTCCCAGGTGACTGATGAGTAAGTTCTGAGGTTTCAGGTCCCTGTGAAGAACGTGTTGGTGGTGGATGTACGCCAGGCCCCGCAAAAGTTGAAACATGAAAAGCTGGAAGGAAGAAACACTATCCATAAGGAGATTTGAGCCACCACGTGCTGATTTCGCCTCTAAATCAAAAACAGTCATCTCAAAGAATATAGTAAAAGTGTCTCTTGAGAGACCAAAAAAAAAAAAAAAAAGAAGAAGAAGAAGAAGATTTTTACATTCAGAGGGGGAAGAAAAAGGACAAGAAAAGTCAAGTAACTAGACTGTGTCCTAAACAAAGGGATTCTGGCTTTTCCTGACATCTCATTTCTTTGATACTGAAGGAATTACCCTTCTTTAAAAATCTAAAGTGAAACTTTGAAGTTTCCTTTGGAACACTAGTTATTGATTTAGATGTGAAAGATTTAATTTTTTTCCCCACCGATGAACTTGGCATATAAGATCAAAGTTGACCTGGAAATGATATTCTAAAGTTTACAACTGCTTAAGTTTTCCAGGCTCTCCAATATGAAACCCTTTTAAAAACACAACACAAGGAGACCACACTAAAAAATATATCTTTAGATGGTATTAGAAAATAAAGAAATCTTTATCTTTTTAAAGCTATTTTTAAAGTCTTAAATTCAAAGTTGAAAACAAGGGAAATACACAGTACAGATGAAAAGGGAAGAGAGACCAAAATAAGTTAGACCCCCCCCCTCAAAAAAAATCAAAAAAGAATAAGGAACAAATTGTAGGAGGAAGAAGGGAGAAAGGGTAAATGGTAGTGGTGGAGAAATAAAAGGGAAAAACACATTCTGAGCCCCAAATTAAAAATGTTTCATGTGGTTATGAGGCACAGAAACCAAAGCCATTAACTAGGTTCCCATCACTACAGAAACTTACGGGAAAAAAAGAATGCTTAGTATTCCAAGTATCTTTTGCTATTTTCCAGTGCCATTGGCAATTGAGAATTCAAACACCAACATCAGTATTTACAAAGACGTATGTCAACTGAGAACGTGTTCTGGCAGTTCAGAAAGGAAGGGCTAGGCCCAGCATTCCTGGGACATGGGCAAAATGGCAGATGCAGAGTTATGTGGATTAATCCTCTTTTTCAACAGCATCTTAGAAAGCTAGGACTTTCAGAGATGCTAGGACCAGTATTGATCTAACAAAGACCTGGAGACATTGGAGCCAAATGGTCCAATGGAAGCAGGAGCATGGAGAGTTTACCTACCATAGCATACCTGCAGCTATGCAGGTTTCATGTAGCTACCACATCAGGTTCATAAACCATTTAAGTATTTTAAAAATTTCTTATGACTCCTAGTTCAAATGTTAACTGGTTCTATGAATCTTCCCAGCATTTTCTCTTTCTGATGCTTCAAATATACACACATTATTCATTTTACCATTCACCAAGCCACGAAGCTTCCATAGCACAAAATTCCTACACTGACATTTAAACCTTCTGATTGGTTATAAATATAAATGTCCATGGAAAAGGTAATACAAACAACCAGCTTAAATTCCAGGTAAAAGACAAGAAGATATGATAGTATGTGCTTAAAAATACGTTTTTCAGACTGGCGCAGTGGCCCACGCCTATAATCCCAGCACTTTGGAAGACCAAAGCGAGCGGATCACCTGAGGTCAGGAGTTCGAGACCAGCCTGGCCAATGTGGTGAAACTCCATCTCTACTAAAAATACAAAAATTAGCCAGATGTGGTGGTATATGCTTATAATCCCAGCTACTCGGGAGGCTGAGGCAGGAGAATTGCTTGAACCTGGAAGGCAGAGGTTGCAGTGAGCCAGGATCGTGCCTCTGCACTCCAGCCTGGGTGGCAGAGCAAGACTCCATCTCAAAAAAAAAAAAAAATGTTTTTCAATATGCAGGACTAGGGAAAGAGGAAGAGGAAGACAGGTGGATAGAAGACAGGAAGCTGGTGACCAGTGAGGGATACAACCTTTGGGATAGCATGCTTATCCTCAGTTTACAGAGAAAACCAGGGCTCAATGTAACTTTTAAAACATGTCTAGGAATAGTCAGAGCCAAGACTCAAATTCAGACTTGTCTGACTCCACTATACCATCCTGAGAAACTAGAGAAAAGACAGAAAATGAAAACATGACAGGGAAGGAGAGAGCCAGCTGGCTGAGTCAGAGACAGAGCTTCTTAGTAGGTCAGCTTGAAATGCCTTTTATGTCCCAAGTGTAGACTATTTTCACTAACTAGCCACAGTCCCTTCCCACATTCTTGCCATTCAACCCCTTTCCTCTCTGCCAGATACGTCTACAGGCATTTGTGAGTGGTAAAGCACTGCGGTATTAAGGTATGGTATTTTATAACCACATTTCTCAAAATTGCAGTCTGTGCTGACAAACCTCATCACCCACTCACCCTTTCATCCCTTCCAACCTGGATTCTTCATTCAACACTACAGAAGCTTCACCAATTATTGCATCCTAACATAACCAAATATGATGGTGTCTGCACAGTTCAACATCAGCCAGATCGTGGGTGACTCTTTCCAGAAAGGCTTCCCAGATCCCAGGAGTTAGACCTGTTTCCAACTCAATAAGTTTTGGGGGAACAAAATAATTCCATTGAACTAGTGCCATCTGGGCCAGGAGTTACTCAAAAACCAATGAGATCCGTTAGCCAACTCCTTATAGGGAAGCCTGAGTCCTTCCATCCCCCCTGGAATCCCTGGGACTCATTCTACTAGAAATCTGAAACAAGATAACCTCACGAGGATTCCCACCCTGTCTTCCTTGGTCACAACTCAAAATATAAGCCTCTGACTATTCCTTTTCCTCCCAACATACTCATCTCCATTCTGTTCTGTGCTTCCTCTGTTTAGCTTCATATCTATTGCTCCTCTCTCTCCCAAACATTTTCACTGTTTAGTCTCCATTCTTCAATCCTGCTTTAAAAACTACCTAAAAGCTAACCTCTGGTGAATTTCCTTTTGGCTCCTTTCCTTAAATGAGACCTTGAGCTCACTGCTTCCCTATAATATTCTCAAGTGGATGTTAGTTTTTCTATAACTTCCTCATACCTTTGACCACTGACAAGTGTCATAAGCTGCCTCCCTTTTCCCCACTACCACTTCAAAACCATTACTTCTCTACTTTTAAGTAAAAACCCCTGTCCCTTGGATTTTAATGCCATCCAGCCACATCTTCCATTACTCTTCTTTTAGCGGTCATTCACTGAACTCTCAATCCCTCTCTGTCATTCACTGAAGATGTGGGCACTTGGATCACAGCTGTTGACTCCATGACATTAGTGCCCATGAGAACAGCTCTAGCCAACCTCAGCTCCAATGATCTGCTTCTCCAATCCACTTCAGACACTAACTCCCGTGGTCACACACTAGATCTTGCCATTGTATGGAACTGTTTGTCCTCTGAAATACAAAATTCATCCCCCTATAAAAATGCTTTTGCAACGATTGTGTCATTCACAATGTTTTTTTACCATGGTTTCCCATGACTTTTCCTATGAAATCCAATGGATACTTCTTATTCCTTATCTTTGCAGCATTTGGCATCATAGACCATGCCTTCCTTCCTGAGGCACTCTCTTCTTTTGGTTCCACAATCTCCTAATTTTTCTTCTGCCCCTCTGGCTGTTCTTTTTATAGGTTCTACTTCTACTAAAATCTAATATATTGATATTCTGGCCAGGCGCAGGGACTCACACGTGTAATCCCAGAACTTTGGGAGGCCAAGGCAGGAGGATTGCTTGAGTCCAGGAGTTCGAGACCAGCCTGGGCAACATAGCAAGACCCCATCTCTATAAAAAACAAAAATAGGCCAGGCACAGTGGCTCATACCTGTAATCCCAGCACTTTGGAAGGCCAAGGCAGGTGAATCACTCAAGGTCAGAAGTTCAAGACCAGCCTGGCCAACATGGTGAAACCCCGTCTCTACTAAAAATACAAAAATTAGTCAGGTGAGGTGGTGGGTGCCTGTAGTCCCAGCTACTTGAGAGGCTGAGGCAGGAGGCTCCCTTGAACCCAGGAAGCGGAGGTTGCAGTGAGCTGAGTTTGCGCCACTGCACTCCAGCCTGGGCAGCAGAGCGAGACTCCCATCTAAAAATAAATAAATAAATAAAAATAAAATTAAAAAATAAAACATAATAAAATAATAAATAATAACTTATTGTTATTCTTAGGGTTCCGTCTTTGATCTTCTGTTATCACTCTACACATGCTCCCTTAGCTATCTTACCCACTGACAGTGCTCTAATGAACAACCGTATTCTGATGATTTCAAAATCTTTATCTCCAACTCAGATTGCCTTTCTACTTTAGGCCCACACAGTCTGGAGCTCGCCTGTACATCCCATAATCACCTCAAACTTAGCATGTCTAAAACACAATTCATGGTATCTCTCCAAAATAAATTTTTCTTTCTGATTCTCTATCACAGTGAATGGCACCATCATCCATTTTAATACTCAGATCCAGAAAAAAATATCGCTGACTCTTGTTTTTCCCGTCAGTTCCGGCTAAGTAATTGGTCTCATATCTGTCCACTTTCTCCCACCATCATCTCACATCTGTACCACTGTGGTTCTGATTAGCCTCACTGTCAAGGCTGGAACCTTAACAGACACCAGCATTCAGGGAATGAGTAGAGGGAGAGAAGTTTTCTGTGTGAGTAGGGGGAGAGAGGTAGAAGAAAACAAGGAGAAAGTAGGGTCAGGGGAATATAACATTTCAAAAAAAAAGTATTGCCCTCATCCCAATCTATTCACCACACTGTCATCAGTGTAAGCTTTATAAAAAGAAAATCTGAATTTATCACCTCTTTGTTTAAAACCATTTAATGGCGCCTGATATAAAATAGCACGACTGTGATATTGTGAAATATATATTTGATCTTCAACTAAATTCCTGACAGCCAACTCCTAAAATCCTTAGAATCTCCAAAGTGATGTCTTTTTGTAGAGTTGACTGATAGCTGGCAGACCATTGGGTAGCTTAGGATAGGGACTGGTCACTGGAAAGACCAAGGCATGATTAGGGAGGGGAGAGGGGTTGAAGGTTAAGTTGATCACCAGTGGCCAATAGTTTAATAAATCATGCCTACACAATGAAGCCTATGCAAAACCCAGAAAGATTAGGGTACAGAGACCTTCTGGATAGCTGAACTCTCATGGAGGCTTCTGGAGGGTGGCTTGCCTGGGATGGGCATGGATGCTCTGTGCCCCTTCCCACATTCACTGATGCCTCCACCTTGGAGAACTCATCCCTACTCCCACCTGCTTTGATTTGGATAACCTCTTCCTTTGTGCCTCCATATACCCACAATAAATTCCTTTATTTATTAGTGTGTCCCTCACAAATCCACAAGGTCAATGCATCAAGAGTATGACTTTTAGCTGTATTCCTGATGCTTGTAATACTGTCCACCATACCCTCCTTCTTGAAATTCTTCTTCCCTTGACTTCCATGACAGTGTGTATTTTTTTTTCAGATGCTCTACATTCCTACAAGCTGCTTCCCTTCATTCCTTCATTTCCTGTTCCTCTTCTCATCCTAAAAGGCAAAAGTCTCATCATCAGTCCTCCTCTCTTTGTGTATTTGCTCTTTTGGTTGCCTACTCCTTGTCTTCTAAACTCTATGTGCTGATGACCCTCAGATCTACACGTCGAGCTCACAGCTCCCTTCTGAGCACAGATTTCCTTTTAGGTTGCCTACTGCTCATTTCCCTTTGGAGATCCTGTCTCACCTGGGACCTCAACACGTCTGAAACAGGACTCCTCTTTCTCTCCAAACCAACTTCTTCTCCTATTTCTGTTAATAGAGCTACAATTCTCCTCGTCAGTCAAACACAAAACCAGTTATGTTTGGCCCCATCCTTTTCCTCCTCATGCTCACATTACCAAGAGGTGAACTCTTCTTTGTTACTGATTTTCACATTCCTCTCCATTCTTATTGTCACTACCATAATATCAACCTTGATTACTAATTGCTAACTAGATCCTTGCTGCTCAGTGCTTGGCTCTTGACCAGCACCATCTGCATCAGCTTGACTCATGTTAGAATGCAGAGGCTCAGGCTTAAACCCAGACTTGTTGAGTCAGGTTCCCGGTCACTTGTCTGCTCACTGAAGTTTGAGAGGCACTAGGCCAGACCACATCAATAAACCCTTTGGCTCACACCTGTAATTCCAGCACTTTGGGAGGCCGAGCTGGGAAGATAATTTGAGGCTGGGAGTTTGAGGCTGCGGTGAGCCATGACTGCACCATTGCACTCTAGCCTGGGTAACAAAAAGAGACTCTGTCTCAAAACAAACAAACAAACACTTAAGTGGAATCCCTGACTCTAGTCTCTTATTTCCTTTCATATATCCTACAGACCACAGTGATATAAATTTCTTCTGATCATATTATTTTCTCTCAACTCAAACTTAATGACTAATGACTGTACTGTCTAAGGAATAAAATCCACATTTCTTTCTTTTTTAGGGACAGGGTCTTCCTCTGTCACTCAAGCTGGAGTGCAGTTGTGTGATCATGGCTCACCTTAGCCTCAAACTCCTGTGCTCAAGCGATCCACCCACCTAGCCTCCCAGGTAGCTGGGACTACAGGCGTATGCCACCATGCTCAGCTGATTTTTAAATTTTTTGTAGAGATGAGGTCTTGCTATGTTGCCCATGCTAGTCTTGAACTCTTGGGTTCAAGCGATCTTCTTGACTTGGCCTCCCAAAGTGCTGGAATTATAGGTGTGAGCCACCATACCCTGCCTAAGGTCCACATTTCTTAGAAAATGAGGCTCTCAGCCACCTACCCAATATATTTCCCCAGACTTGTGTATGCTGTTTCACTAATATATTCTGTATTTCAGGCCAACAGAACTAGAAATGCAGTATGGCACTAGTGGGAAAGAATTTTAACTAAGAATCACTTTTAGCAATGGCATAAGCTGGTTCTATAACCTCAGGCAAAATGTTTGTCCTCTCAGATCTTGGATTTCTCCTCTGCAAAATAAGGAAGTTAGACCAGGCCAGTGCTTTAAAGATTTTTTGACTGCAGTCTACAGTAAGAAATATATATGTATCTGGTATTCACATCCATACATAAAAATATAAGTACAGTTACAATTGGAGCAAAAGTTGCAGAAAATAATACTTGCTCTTTCAAAATGTAATGCATGCTAATATTTTCTATTCTCTTCTCATCCATTTATTTCATTTTTTAAAATGCAGGTTGCTAACCACCATATTGATTTCATAACGCACTAATGGAACCTGGAGATTGCAAAACACTGTGTTTCCTCTAACCCTAACAAACCATGACTCTGGGGTCCTCTTCCTTGAACATATCCTCTATTTCCCTACTCTGTACCTTTGCTGAAAACATTTTCTCTCCCTGTAACATGCTCTCCTATTCTAGACTGTTGAAATGCAGTGTGTTTAAGATCTGAAACTTTTTTTTTTTTTTTTTTTTTTTGAGACGCAGTCTCACTCTGTCGCCCAGGCTGGAGTGCAGTGGCGCGATCTCGGCTCACGCAAACTCTACCTCCCGGGTTCACGCCATTCTCCTGCCTCAGCCTCCTGAGTAGCTGGGACTACAGGCGCCCGCCACCACGCCTGGCTAATTTTTTATATTTTTAGTAGAGACGGGGTTTCACCGTGTTAACCAGGATGGTCTTGATCTCCTGACCTTGTGATCCACCCGCCTCGGCCTCCCAAAGTGCTGGGATTACAGGCGTGAGCCACTGCGCCCGGCCGATCTGAAACTTCTTGAAACTAGAAGATATCTTTGATGCCGTTGCACATCTACAGTACTAGATCGTATTTCTTTCTTGATATTCTACACAAGTGTCCTATAATAGTATTGGTGTGTATTTCTTATCTCTTGTTTTTGGCTGTAAGTCCCTTGAGGGCAGGGATCATGTCTTTGAAGCATTTAGCACAGTGTCTGGTATGTGAGAGTCACTCAAGCCTGAAAATCTCACTCTCTCACAGTTATTCTTTCTCCAATCATTCTTCTATTTAATCAACACCTGTAGGTCCTTGAAGCCTTCCACTCTCTTCATAACTATCAGCAAGCTGCTTATCTTCACTTCCTTCCCTCAGATTAGACTCAGACTAGATGCCACTGGCCAGCACATTAACTTCTGTCTTGATAATCTCTTCAACTCTCTTGCCTACCTGTCTCTTCCTTTCACATGTCTGGCAGAACTTCAACTCTGACTCAATCCAACTGTCTACATTCTCTGCTCCTCTATTTAAATTGCCAAGCATTACCATAAAAAAAAAGTCCCGCGATGGTGCAGATAATGTAATGGTCTTCACCCTTACCAGGGTCCTTAACATACCATGAAACATTCCTATTTGATTTCTCTAGTTAGCTCCCTATCCCATTCTCCACACAGCTAACTGGTATTTTAATTTTTTTTTTTCACTCTCTTTAACCCTTTGTCCTCAAACATTCCTTTCCAAAACCTTACTTCCAGGACTGGGTTAGGTTCCCTTATTATGTGTTCCCACAGTATTCCTAGTTACCATGGTCATAGGCTTTAGCACTTTGCTTCTCACTGCCTATTTATTTGTTATAGCACAACTTACATATTTCTTTTTTTTTTTTTTTTTTGAGTTGGAGTCTTGCCCTGTCATCCAGGCTACAGTGCATTGGTGTGATCTTTGCTCGCTGCACCTCTGCCTCCTGGGTTCAAGCAATTCTCCTGCCTCACTCTCTCGAGCAGCTGGGGTTACAGGTGTGCGCCACCACACCTGGCTAATTTTTTGTATCTTTAGTAGAGACGGGGTTTCACCATGTTGGCTAGGCTGGTCTCAAACTCCTGACCTCATGATCTGCCCACTCTGGCCTCCCAAAGGGCTGGGATTACAGGCGTGAGCCACCGCGCCAGGCTAACAACTTATATATTCCAAATGTACAAAAATTAGTATCATTTACAGTATCTTAAGATAAATTTCCTTTGAATGGGAGCTTTCTTTCCAGTACTTTGAGCTCTACAAGCTGTATCTAGAAAATTTACTACTATGGAAAATGAAGACTGCTTACATCAAGTATGGGGGAAGGGGAAGGGCCTGTGGTTTTTCTTTTTGATCAATTGCTGTAACACTGTCCTTCAGATGGCTGAGGGTGTTTCACATTTTCTTTAGACATCATTAGGCGCTGAAGCTCTTGAAGGATAACTTTGATGATATATGAATTCTGCCATTTTGCTAGCGCTGATATGGCTCTTGGGTTCACCATTCCATTAGAACTATTAACTCTACTCATATTAATTTTTGTTACAAATCTTACAAAGGGGAGTTCTTCTGGGTATTTAGGTCCACATTCTATTTTAAGGCTGTATATTTGGCTTTCATAAATTGCCTGAGCCCATGGTGGCTGCCATCTTGCATTGCTGTTGCTTGAAGACTGGCCCTCACTGCCTATTTAAGTTCATATATCTTACTGGACTTTAAGCTCATTGAAAATAAGAAACAGAACTTATTCATTATTGAAACCCCAGAACTTATTACAGCAATAAGTACTCAATAAATATTTCTTAAATTAATGAATAAATGAATACATAAATAAATATTAGTTAAATGAATAAATACATCATATACAAATTTCATACGGTTATTTTAAGAGCCAATCAATTAATTAATGCCAATAAAACCTTAGGGAATGAAAAGTATGAAATATAAATGGTTTCTAAAATTTATAACAGATGTAGAATTATAGCTAATTAAGAGTTTATTATTTCGATTCTAATGACTGGAAAAATGGGAGTTAGGGCCACATATATAATAGGATCTGCTAGTACAAGTATTGCAGACTTCACCTTAGACCACAGTAATCTGATATGAAGAAGGTATTTATTTTTTGATGGCCTAGCTTTACTTTTTTCCTTTTAGTATAATTCTCCTTCACTCGTTTATTCATCTAAAGGCACATTTGCATGTAGCCATGACTGACAGCATTAGGTTGCTCAGAAAACATTGCTCCATATCTTAAGAAGCAACTCAGCAACTCTTTTTCTTTTTTCTTTCCTTTTTAAAAAAAAACAAAAACGAAAACAAAACAAAACTTTTTTCTGGAATATCAGTGATGTCCATCCTCTTATTTAGTATCATAGGACTTTGCTTTGTGAGACAGTCTGTTTCAGAATTCTCCTTCTGTGGGCAAGCCAGGAGAGGGTCCTGACCCTTAACGTACTCACTCTGACATTATGAGGATGAAGCCCTCCTGGATGCTGAGACATATACTGGGCCAGGTCTGTGTGCTAAATAAAACAGCGGAGAAAGAGAAGTGAGTGAATTTAGTGGTGCTTAGATAGCATCCTAAAGCAGAACATTGACTTGACTGTCAGAAGGTATTACGAAGTACAGAATTTTAAGAATAAGGTGCAAAAGGAATATAACCAGGTTTTCTGAGAACCCACTGTTAAGGTCAAACACAGTGTGTCTTTCTAACTGGCTGTTCTTAGAACAAAGCCTGTTTCTCAGCACAGAGATGCTCATTTTAAATGACTGGCACTGAACACAACGACGCAGGAATTTTTCACTCTCCAAGTGTCCTTGGAGGCAAGTCAAGTACACATACCTTATAAGTTCTTTCTACTTATTTAAATATTTTTTCTTCCAAAAATACAACATGAGTTATTCTTTAGCAAGCTTGCATACAATTTTTAAATATCTTGTGATTTTTACCTTTATTGTCAATGAAAAAATGTTGGATTCTGCTCAGATAGTGATTAAAATTAGATTAAAAATAAGTGCAAAAGTTTTATTTAGAAGGTAAACTCAAGATCCTCATTTATTATTGCTGATGAGGGGAAAAGGGACAGCAAAAGTCATGGGTAAGGAAGCAGGACCAAAGATGGATGTGGGAACAATAAGGTTCTACTAATCACAATAATGAAAATTTCCATGATACTTTTCACATTATAATAAAAGTTTTATCATGCCATAAAATATTAACAGATTCATTATACAAGTACCAGGTTATTTTTCTCAAGTGTTGTAAAATGCTCGAACAACTCACCATGTATTCAAAAACGAATGTCAGTGTCTCTTTGGTGTGGATTATGTCATGCAGGAGCACAATATTGGCATGTTTCAAACCCTTCAGGAGAGAAGCTAGAAAAATTAAACAAAATGTTAAATCCATCATTGATAATGAAAGTGCTGCTCTAAAGATATCAGACGGTATATATTTTTTCAACATTTCAAATCAAACATTCTGGTTATTTTACTGCTGGAAAACAATCTCTTGTGGCAAAAGAATATTTAAAATTACAAAGAACCTTCATTATTTCAAAAATGGCAAATCATTGCAACTTATTGTTTCTACAGGCTAGAGTGGTTGCAAAAAATATGTTTCCATTTACCTAATCAATTTCATCAAAGCACTCAGAGCACTAAATGCTCCCCTCTGGGAATCTCATCAATCCAGCTTCAGAGCTACAGGAGGAGAGGCCTGGAGAGATAAAGGGCTTTGGAGGAGCAGGAAATGGAGTGTTCTGCCTTCTAGAGCAGGACTTTGTGACATATGACCAGTCTCCAAAATTCTAACTCCCACAAGCGGTCAATAGGGCCGGTGGATATGATTGGTGGGAGACAGGGATAAAAGCATGGGGTAAAGAACTGTTGAAACATGATAGAGACTGGAGATGATTTCTTAAAGGTAATGTTGCAAACCTCTGTGGAAAGGAGAAAATGTGAACTTGAAAAGAGGAGTCGGCCAAACTTGGGGAGCCCAGGGAGGTGAAAGTGGAGAAGGCTGAGGGCTTTCTCTTGCCTCTTCAATAATCGGTTACTAAAGGCAGCCTTGAAGGAAAGAAGTCATCACAAAAGGCCAAGTGACTGGGAGGGGTTTGAAAGTGTGTCTTTGGAGCTTCTGGAGATAGGAAGACCTCTGGCTTCAGGAAAGCAGAGACTAGAAAAGGTACAATAAAGAGACCATGAGGCCGGGCGTGGTAGCGCATGCTTGTGATCCCAGCACTCAGGGAGGCCGAGGTGGGTGGATCACCTGAGGTCAGGAGTTTGAGACCAGCCTGGCCAACGCGGTGAAACCCCGTCTCTACTAAAAATACAAAAATTAGCCGGGCGTGGTGGGGCCTGGTGGTGCACACCTGTAATCCCAGCCACTCGGGAAGCTGAGGCAAGAGAATCACTTGAACCTGGGAGGTGGAGGTTGCAGTGAGCCAAGATTGCACCACTGCACTCTGGCCTGGGTGACAGAGCGAGACTCCATCTCAAAAAAAAGAGATGATGAGGCTCACCTCAGGGCAACCCTGCATGAAGAAATCGTGTCTTTAAAGCTTAAAGGAAAGGAAAAGTAAAGGATAAAAACTCAAAGCATTATTCTGTAGCCTATGCCTGCATATCATGAATCTCCTGCACCAACTCCCTCCCAGTGTAGAATTCCATAAGATTAAAAACAACTGAAATACTCCCTTAAATTTAGGAATAAAATTATTTTCTTTAGGCATCAACCTATTTTAGTGAATCTGTCGTTTTGCCCTCCTGACAGCCATTCTCCCTTCTAGCGGGGGCACTTCTATTTTCCCCTGGAAAAACAACCGTCTTCTTCCTCAGACCATGCTCATCTGGTGGAACTGACCCGGCCTCTACCCAAGAATGGGCATATGACCCAGGGCTGGCCAATCAGAGCACGGCACTCCCCTATCCCTAGTGATTGGTTCAGAGACAGGCACAAAACCCAAGTTTGGCAGAGCCCTGTTTTGCTGGTGCCATTAGAAAAGAAGTGCTTTCTTTTCTATTGTGAGAGCTAAACCTGTGGGATTTAGCCAGGAGTTGCTGGGGTCAGATTACCAACACCTGGTGACAACATGCCTGGGAATAAAATGAATGCACAGCAAACCAGTGTTGGGTAATGAGAGACACGGCTTCCTGATGATATTGCTTATGCCCTACCAGCCTGTAGTTATCAGATCTGTGAGCCAGTGAATTTCTCTCTTTACTTGTCAATTTAAGCTGACTTACGCCGAAGGAGCTCCATCACACCTGTTAACCTTATTTGCTGTAATGACTAATGCCTTAATTTTTACTTTTTGCCCCCAGAGTCCTTATGGGCTAAATTTATTATTTCACTTTGACAAATGTGTTGCTTTGTAAATGTAATAAACAGCTTCTCAGGCATCTGTTTAATCTCCCTAGTCTCAGACTGAAGGCCACATGGGAATTGAGGGAGTGACTTTCCCCCTTTTTGAGATGCTGCCACACCACCTAGTACCACACTCAGCCGAGAGTAAGCACTTAATTTGTCAAACATATTTATTGAAAGTCTTAAGGAGAACTGTCTGTGGAGCCAGAAGCCCTAATATGAATCCTGGCCCTGTCACTTCCTATCTGAGTAAGCTCTGGAGAGTATCTCAACCTAAGTCTCAATTCATTCCTTAGGAAAAGAGACATCGTCTTTTCTGACTTACTTCATAGGGTTGATATGAGGATGGAATCAGATACCATTTGTGGAACCTTGGTAAATGTAAAGCATTACAGAGGCAAATTAGAATTAGTATCCCTTCCCTCTTCTTGCCAGCTTCTTGCCCCTGCCTTTCACCCTGAACCCCACTAAACGTCTACTTTCAGTCTTAAAATCTTGTTTATGGTATGTTTCTGCTAGAGTTTTGAATACCTTCCATATTTTCTGACCATCAGTTGAGAATGCTTATACTTTAGGTGTATTTTTATTTATAAATTATCTCATAAATTTCTCTCTTTCCCCCACCCCTATGTTACAAAGCATATAGCAAAATTAGATTTCAAAAGGATATGGTAAAGCTGAAATTGCTAAGAATATTGTTAAGATATTTTAATTTTATGTTTAGTATAATTTTAGTCTCACCTAACTATATTACTAAAACTCCAGATGCTTCTTTTTAAATCATGATGGCATGATTTGTTCATTATGATGGCCTCATGCTCTCACTTGCTAAAATGGCCAAGGAAAAATATCTACTTGGAATGAGGCTTCCTGCTAACAATACTGGGTATAAACTTCATGTCATCTTCTTGATAATTACAGTTTTTGTAGGAGTAGGAAAAATGTCTGTTTTGTATTTCTCTGTTGTTCACTTACATTGGAGTTACTAGTTTTACCTTCAACCCACAGTTTCTTTGCGGAAATCTTTTTAACCATTCATCCATTTTATGAAGATTAACCACTCGTACACGTCAAGTCCTCTCAACTTTTTATCACATACAAATCTATTGGCATTACCTTCCAAATTGTCCAGAACCCCTCCCTTGCCATATCTTCTGCCAGCACCCTGGACCAAGCCACTATCATATGTTGGCTGAATTATTGCAAATGCCTGCTTCCCTGCTTTCCTCCTATGGCCACTTCTTCACAGGACAGCCAGACACTGCTATCCTTCTCAAATGAGTTAGGGCATGTGCCTCCTGGTTCCAAACCCTCCAGTGGCCTCTCATCTCCTGCAGAGTAAATTCAAAGGACTTGCGATTTCCTGCCCACCCTACTGTTGGCTGTGCCCATCGTGACCTGTCATCTCCTCACACTCCCATCTTTGCTCACTTGGCTTTAGCCTCACTGGCCTCCTAGCTGTTCCTTAGACACACTTGCAAACACATTTCCACCCCAGGATTTTACACTTGCCAATGTCTTTTCCTGTAATCCTCTCTTCTCACCTCTCTGCCTTCATCCTCCCTCACTTTCTTCAGAGCCTCCGCTCAAGTGATACATATAGGTGCAGACTTCCTTGACCATTCTAGGTGAGATAGCAGCCCTCTACTCCATCCCACCTCAGCAGCCCTCCACCCCATCCCACCTCTACCCCATCCTACCCTCTCTCTCTGGGCCCTGCTTTATTCTTTTCCATAGTGCCTGTCACCACCATCTGACATTTTATATATAAATATTTGTTTATTGTCTGTCTCCACAATTGAGAATATAAACTCCATTGAGAGTGGGCACTTTTGTTTTGTTTTGTTTTGTTTTTTTTGCTTATTGCTATATACTCAGTGCCTGGAACAATGTCTGGCACTCAATAAATATTTATCTTTAAATTAGTGGTCACTAATTACCTAATATCATTTCTATACCTCTAGTTGGTTGGTAAAGGGTGTTTCTGTTGAAGATGCTTTTATTCCTTCTTTCTTTTAGTTGTCTCCCTCATTAGATTATAAATATTCTATGCTTTATGGCCATTCCTAGTACTGCTTTTCTGGTGCCCTAGAACTACTGAAATCGTTATATGAAAACTGTGAATGTTGCCGAATAATGAATAGGGAATTCAGATGAAAGAGCAGATGATGTTTAAAGCATTTATCTCACAGTATTGTTTATCATTTTGGTCCATCCACCAGAGGGATCTGAAATGCCTACAGCCTCAGATGTGTGGGTCTTAAACCCAGGAAGACAAGGTCTTTCTTTCTTCTAATTTTAAGGACATTTTATAAACTGCACAGCAGGATGTGATATCTGTCCTGCAGACTAAACAGTTGAGGGACACAAAAGTCAACTGAGAAGGGCAAAGATCCTAAAATTAGCATTCTGAGTCTCATAAAATACTGTTTTTTTATTATTAATGTATCCTATGTATACTTATTTTTGTTTTTCTTCAAAGAAAAGACACAAAAGTAAATAGGGATGTCTTTAAGGCTCCAGAGGAAAGCTGATTCTCCAAGTCCTAGGATGTCGCTCTATGTAATGAAGGCCTGGTAGTCAAAGTCGTCTTTAGGCTGTAAACTCATTGAGGGCATGGATTGAACTTGCCCTTGTCTTTGCATCTCCAGCACTAGCACAGGCCTGGCATGTGGTGCTCAATAAGTGCTCATGAATTAATGAAAGCCAGGCCAATTGTAATGAGTTTATGAGGAATTATATAATGAGTCAATGATGGAGTCCTCCCCAACCCTCATTGGACATTGAATAAAAAAGTGTTTCTAGACCCTGTTGTTACATTTCCTTTGATCTGAGAATCATAAATCAAGTCAATGAGTCAAGTTATGCATTCCGAGAAAAGAAATAATTGAAATAATTTTAGATAAATGTTAGAGAAATACTAAGACAAGTGTCAGATAAGTAGTTGTCTTGGTATCTTTGGAATTGTAATGCTGATCACATACCATTATCCTGGCATTATTTTGTTTTATAAAGACGTAACTATGCACAATGAATTTGCTGTATTTGTCATGTGATATGATGGTGTTCAATGGCAGACTTTCTGTCAACCAGGCCTACCCTAGACTATTTGTGGTCATTGGCAATTCAGAAGTTCTAATCAGCCTCCTCCCCTGCCTCATTGTATGACCTTAGGGAGGCTCCTTAGCCTATTTTTGGCTCAGTTTTCTCATATATGGATTGGGAATCATTACTTTGTAATGTTTTTCTACTAGAGAATGATCTTAAAAGATTCTTAGCTGAGACTGTTTCTAATTTAAACACTGCAATTACCGGCACTGTAGAATCAATGATAGAATCAGAATTGATGAATATACAACATGATGTATTATTTTCTTTAAAATATTTCTTTTGGACACACAAGTGGCCAACAAACATATGAAAAAATTGCTCAACATCACGAATCATCAGAGAAATGCAAATCAAAACCTCAATGAGATACCATCTCACACCAGTCAAAAAGGCTATTATTTAGAAGTAAAAAGTTAATGGATGCTGGTAAGCTTGAGAAGAAAAGGGAGTGCTTATACACTGTGGGTGGGAATGTTAATTAGTTCAGCCACTGTGGAAAACAGTTTAGAAATTTCTCAAAGTGAGGCAGGGCAGGCAAGTCCCAAAACTGGGGCTTAGCCTGGGAGGGTTCTTGGCTTCACCCAGGAAAGAATTCAAGGGTGAGCCTGTGGTGTTAGACAGCAGCTTTTATTGAAGCAGCAGTGTTCAGCAGCAGCGGGTGTACCTCTCCTTGCAGAGCAGGGCTGCCACATAGGCAGTGTGCCCAGAGTAGCAGCTCATAGGTAGCTCTACAGTTATATTTATACCCACTTTTAGTTATATGCAAATTAAGGGGCAGTTTATGCAGAAAGTTTTAGGAAAAGAGTGGTAATTCCAGGTTGTCAGGTTGTTGCTACGGGAAAGGGTGGTAACTTTCAGGTGTTGCCATGGCAATGGTAAACTGACATGGCACACTGGTGGGTGTGTCTTCTGGAAAGCTGCCTCCCCCCAGGCCCTGTTTTGGCTAGTCCTAAATTTGGTTTAGTGTTCAAGCCCCATCTCTGGAGTCGAGTCCCATCTCCTGCCTCAAAAAAACCAAAAACAGAATTACCATTTGACCCAGCAATTCCATTCCTGGGTATATACCCAAAGGAAAATAAATCGTTCTGTCAAAAAGACACCTAGACTTTTATGTTCGTCACAGCACTATTCACAATAGCAAAGACATGGACTCAACCTAGGTGCCCAGCAATGGTGGATTGGATAAAGAAAATTTGTACACTGGCACCATAAAACACTATGCAGCCACAAAAAAAAAAAAAAAAAAAAAAAACCATTTCCTTAGCAGCAACATGGATGCAGATGGAGGCCATTATCCTAAGTGAATTAACCCAGGAACAGAAAACAAATACCACATGTTCTCACTTACAAGTGAAAGCTAATAACTGGGGGTATTGGGAACACACAGACATAAGATGGGAATAATAGACACTACACCAGGGACTCCAAAAGGGGAGAGGAAGGGAGAGGGACACGGGTTGAAAAACTACCTATCAGGTACTATACTCACTATTTGGGTGACAAGATACCTCAGCATCATGCAATATACTCATGTAACAAACCTGGACATGTACCCCTTGAATCTAAAATTAAAGATTAAAAAAATACTTCTTCTGCATTTTCCTTAATGTTTATATAAAATGTATAATAAAAACAGATTTCTATTTTTATTTTTACTGTTGCTAAACAATAAATACTTTAGTTAAGCATTTCCAAATTCATCATAATAAAGTAGAAGGGATTTTAAATAGAATAGAAATGGATTCTAACAACTCTGATTACTATCTCTGTGACCTCAGACAAGTTAACTAACCTCTCTGAGGCTAGAATTTCTTTATCTCTACAACAAAAATAGCACATTTTACTTCCTAGGGTTGGTATAAAGGTTTTAAAAATATACATTATGTAGGGGAAGGGGGAGATTATGTCATATGCCTTGTCCTCAAAAAAGATTAGTTATATGACTCCTTCCTAAGAAAAATGCTATTAACAGGCTGAAAGTCCTCAGTTTAAACCAAAAGTTGACCACTTGAACAAAAATATTTAAAACAATGCACATTATATTAAGATATTGCTATAAAGTTTCATAAAACTAAGAAATGTTGTACTATGTAAAAACATAACACATTAGCCTATTCAAATGAAAGTATTTCCTCCTAGTTGTAAAAATCAACACTTAAAATACAATTCTAGAGTCAATTATGAGAGATTTCCAAGGCACTATGAAGGCCTCTGCTTTTCTTAATTAGCAAAGGAATGAGGGTGGTAGGGAACACATCTATTTTGTGTATTGCTGTGTATCTAGCAGTTCGGCAGAGTACCTGGTCATAGTAGGTGCTAAATGAATATTTCTACAGTGGGTGCGTAGAAAGCCTATGAATTTTTGAATCAGAGAGATTTGGTTTGAATCACCACCATATAGTGGAATAATATTAATAATATCTATCTCTAAAGATTGTTAAGAGGATTGAAAGAAGTATGAAAAGCACTGACACATGTATTAAGATATATTTCCCTTGGGAGGCTGAGACACGCAGATCACTTGAGGTCAGGAGTTCAAGACCAGCCTGGCCAACATGGGGAAACCCTGTCTCTACTAAAAATACAAAATTAGCTGGGTGTGGTGGCACATGCCTGTAATCCCAGCTACTCCGGAGGCTGAGGCAGGAGAATTGCTTGAACCCCGAAGGCAGAGGTTGCAGTAAGCCAAGATTGTGCCATTGCACTCCAGCCTGGGCAACAAGAGCAAAACTTCGTCTCAAAAAAAAAAAAAAAAAAATGTTCCTTAGTGCTGTTCATACTTTTGCTAGTTTCATAATATCACATGTTAAGGTCAAATGAAAATAGTACTCCAAATGACCAGACTAGTAAATTGCCACATGTATTCTACCTGTATAGAAAGAGACCATATATGTAGTAAAATCATACTTAATAAATCTTTGGCTGCTATACCATCAGGGCAGCCAAATTGTTCAGGAAAAGCAATTCCTGCTTCAAGGCTTTTTAAAGAGGGCTGCATTACTTGTTCAGTTTTCCTGCACGTGCCTTTCGGTTGCCTTTTTAGCTAGTGACCCTGGATTTTAGCTAATGAACTCCAGCTGTTCTTACTTTGCCTTCCAGCCCTTCTCATTTAACCTCCTGTCTCCCTGGTCTCACATCCTTAAAGTTCTTACAGGAAAAATGGGACAGTGCCAAAGTTTTCGAATAAAGCCTCATATCTTCTTGAGGGGAGAGGGCTCTTTTAACAAGGGCTCCAAGCTTTTATAGTGGTGTAAAAAGAAACATTCATTGTTGGAAATTGGATTCCTAACAACCTCCAATGTGTCAGAAATCCTCTTGTGGTTTTTAATATTACACGAGCAAAGCATTCGGTAAGGTAAGTCCATAAAACAAACCAAGAAAGTCCACAGTTGACTACTAAATGTAATTGTAAACACCTGTGATGGAGAGGCAATTCCTCCGTAAATATGCAATGAAAGAAACATTTAGCATACAGAAGAAAACGGATCCAGGTTTTCTGAACCATGCTGAGAACCATCTGTTAGCAAACCTGGCAAAAGGTTTCACTGTTACAGTTAAATGTCAACCTGAAAAACTTGGCTGTGGGCAATATCTAAGCAAAGCCAATCTTAAGCAATTGGCAAACTCAAGCTCACAAAGGAAACCTTCCTCTTATGCGGGTGACCTGGGAATTTCTATTACGTTCACAAATACTCTTTAACCTATCCATACATCTCTTTCCAAATCTGATCATCCTTTCATGGAGACCATTAATAAGTACATTAGTTAATGCAGTTTCCATTATATTAAACACTTAAAACCATGCCTTCTCCCAGAATGCACCTGATCCTACCAGGATGAATCTCTGGCTAAACCAATAGCCCATTTGGCCCTTCCAATTAAATTCAAAATGATGTATTCCTCAGGGGCTCTGAAAGACTTTTGAAAAGGGTATCAAATTCAGTTATAAACTCATTTTCTGAATTGCTTTTTCCATGCTTGTTTGCATAACCTATCCTTCCAAGCTCAGTTCAAAATCTAGTGACTCCATCAGTCACACTGAGACTAACTTGCTCTCATCTTAGTTTATGTCTTTTATACACTTGTAACTTGAATCATGTGCTCTGTTAAGACTGCAAATGATAGAACAAAGACATGGGTTTCTCTTCTCATCCTTCACAGCATCCAGCAGCATACTCTGCATATAGCATGTGCTCAGTAAAGAACAGAAGATAAGTAGTTAAAAGTGGGAGAAAATAAGGCCAGGGAAGTGCCATTTCTCTGGGATTTTGCTGAAATGCATAGCAATCCTATCATCATCTTATTTCAAATGGCTCATGCAATAAAGGTTGATAAATTATATTTTTAATGATTCATTTCACTATGTTGGCTTCTTGATGTTTATGTTATAAAGTATTAGTTATCTTGATGGTAAATAAGACATTACCCAGGAAAAGAAGAATGGAATAAAAATGGTCAACATTTGTTGAACTCTGAAAAACTGACTCTGTGATAAGTGCTTTATATACATATTCTTGTTGAATACTCATAACAACTCCATGAAATAGGTACCACTATTATCCTCTTCCTGCAAGAAACTGAGTAATAAATAGCTAAAGTAACCTACCCAACATCATACCACTAGTGATTGGTGGACCTGTGCTGCAAACCCAAGTCCATTTGACACCAGGTTCCTCACCCATTTGCTGTACTGTCCAGGGCACAGAGAAAATACAGGCAGAACACTAAACATGCATGCCTTCTGGAGAATCTCCAAGTGCTAGCTAACAACATGTTATGTTCAGGCAAATTTCCCAGTAAGAATTTGTGTGATTATATATTTTCTCTTTTATAGGAATTTTCTGAGGTTATATAGGTATAGCCTTAGCACCTAGCATGAGGCCAAACACATGGAAAGTATTAGTAATTGCTCAGTGAATTTATAGTTTTGGTCAAGTGATATAATAGTTTTAAATCTCAATTTCCTCAAAATTAAGTAATAAAATAGCAGTGTAAATTTCTTGAAAAACTTGTATGAAAAATAAAAATGTAATTATAGTATTCCAGAAGAATCAAAACTAGATGCTGAATGGATCAATGCAATACATTTTTTACCAAATCAAGGACTCAAAACAGATCTATTGGGTCCATTTCTGCTGTTCTTACCTTCTCGGATAGCTGTAAATGGGACTCCTTCCTCTGCATTCATGCTGATGACTTTTAAAGCCACTAGTTGTCCATTTATTCTAGAAGAGAGGGATTGAGGGGCACACACTTATTGAGGTGGTTCAAAGCAGCAATTTATACCAAAGATGGCTTAACAAAAGCACTTTCACTTCAAAATATATTCTAGCATATAAATCTATAATTTTCTCAAAATAAAAAGTTTAACATGTATCAATACATATATAACATATATATTCCAAAGCATTTTCCCTCTTTACTAAAGTGATATATATATATATGTCCATTATAGAAAATTTGGAGCTTATTATTATTTTTCATCTGACTTATTGTAGTGTTTTTTTGTTTTTTTGTTTTTTTTTTTTTTTTTTGAGACAGAATCTCGCTCTGTTGCCCAGGCTGGAGTACAGTGGCACGATCTTGGCTCACTGCAACCTCCACCTCCTGGGTTCAAGCAATTCTCCTGCCTCAGCCTCCCAAGAAGCTGGGATTACAGGGGACCCCCACCACACCTGGCTAATTTTTGTATTTTTAGCAGAGATGGGGGTTTCACCATTTTGGCCAGGCTGGTCTCGAACTCCTGACCTCAGGTGATCTGCCCACGTCAGGCTCCCAAAGTGCTGGGATTACAGGCACGAGCCACCAAGCCCAGCCTTGTAGTGGTCTTCTAACAGTTTCCCTGCTGAGACACTTGCACTCCTACTATTTACTCTCAGCAGAGTAGTTGGAGGCATACTTTTCAAATGACAATCAGGACAAGTCACTTTTCTGTTCAAAAGCCACCATATCTCCACGCATTACTTAGAATAAAAGCCAAATTCTTGCAGCGGGCTTCTAAGTGCTACCTGATCTTCCCAGGCCACACCATTATTCTCTCTCTCTTCATTTCCTCCTACTGTCCCCTCATTCATCATTTTATTCATATCAGCTAAGTGCTGAGAATAGAGAAGATTTTAATGCAGGTATAAATCCATTGTTTTTAATACAGTGGGATTAAAATCATATTGTTAGTAACCTTTTTTCCTCCATGTAACTTTTCTCTTATAGTTCATTCTTGTACAATCCGATATTTAATAAAGATTTAACATTTCATCAGGCCGGGCACAGTGGCTCACGCCTGTAATCCCAGCACTTTGGGAGGCGAAGGCCGGTGGATCAGGAGGTCAGGAGATCGAGACCATCCTGCCTAACACAGTGAAACCCCGTCTCTACTAAAAATACAAAAAATTAGCCGGGTGTGGTGGTGGGCACCTGTAGTCCCAGCTACTGGGGAGGCTGAGGCAGGAGAATGGCGTGAACCTGGGAGGCGGAGCTTGCAGTGAGCCAAGATCGTGCCACTGCACTCCAGCCTGGGCGACAGAGCAAGACTCCGTCTCAAAAAAAAAAAAAAGTGCATACCCTCAGCCAGGCGCAGTGGCTCATGCCTGTAATCCTAGCACTTTGGGAGGTTGAGGTGGGTGGATTGCCTGAGCTCGGGAGTTTGAGACCAGCCTGGGCAACATGGTGAAACCCCGTCTCTACTAAAATACAAAAAATTAGCCGGGTATGGTGGCACGCGCCTGTGATCCCAGCTACTCAGGAGGCTGAGAGGAGAATCGCTTGAACCCGGGAGCCGGAGGTTGCAGTGAGCTGAGATTGCGCCACTGCACCCCAGCCTGGGCGACAGAGTGAGACTCCATCTGAGAAAAAAAAAAAAAAAAAAAAAAAGAGTGCATACCATCATCATGATTTATGACTTTTGATGTTGACCTTAGTCACCTGTCTGAGATAGTGTTGGTCAGGTTTCTCTACTCTAAAGTTACTCTTTCTCCCCCTTTTTCATACTGTACTTTTAGAGAAATGCCACTATGAATGACCCACACTTAAGGAGTGGAGAGTTATGCTGTACCTCTTTGAAGGTATATTATCTACATAAATTATTTGTATTTATTTGGCATGAGAGATTTGTTTCTTCTCTCCCATTTGTTAATGTATTGAATCATTTATTTATATCAGTACGGACTCATAGATATTTATTTTATACTTTGGGTTATAATTTAATACCACTTTTTTTGGTTGCTCATATTTTTGCAGCTTTGTCCTTTGGAAGCTCTTTCGGTTGGCTCCTGTGTCCCTCTGTCATAGCCCTATCATGTGGGTTGGCTTTTCGCTTTCATCTTCTTTTTTTTTTTGGCCTATTTGAAAAGTAAAAAGGTTTATCGCATTTTAATTTATATTTCTTTAACCATATGTGAAACTGACTTTTCATAAGTTTATGGATCTTTTCTGTTTTTCTTGTGATTTGCCGATTTGCCCACCTTTTTATTGAACTATTTTGCATATACTTTTCCCCAGTTTCTTTTGTTTGCCTTATCATGTCTTTGAAATTTTGTTTTAGAGTTTTATGAGGTAAGTATTTTCCTCAGAACATGGTTCTGTGAAATTCTCCCCCAAACCCTGCAAAAAGTTTTTTGGCAAATATGTTTATAAGAGAAAATGCTTTTTTTTTTTTTTGAGACAGTGTCACTCTCACCCAGGCTGGAGTGCGGTGGTGCCGATCTCAGCTCACTGCAACCTCTGCCTCCAAAGTTCAAGTGATTCTCCTGCCTCAGCCTCCTGACTAGCTGGGACTACAGTTTTATAAATAAGGTAACACTTGAACCAGGAATCTGATGGCGAGGGGGAGTCAGCTGTGTGCATGAACAGTGGAAGGCAGCTCCAGGCAGAGGGAACAGCAAGTTAAAAGTCCTTGACTGAGGCAGGAGCAGTCTGTCATTGAAGCAGGAGAGGGGAAGGAGATGAGGACAGGGAGGAGCTGAGTGTGTGCCGGGGAATGGAGGGTAGGGATTCTATAGGGTCTTGTACAGTGACCATCCAGAGACTGTTGTATTAGATATTTACAGGATATTTGTATTAGAAAATCTAATAATGCAAAGATGTCAATAATTCTCTAACGTAGAGTTTTGATATATTCTAAAAATAGCCTAAAGCAACAATAATTAAAATCATGCAGCACAAATATAAGAAAAGATAGATTAAGGAAACATGATTTTTAAAAGATTAGAACAGAAAGAATTTCAAGTATTCGTGAGATCTAATATATAATCATGGCAGCATTTCAAACCATCAGAGAAAAGAAAATCTAATAAATGGAGCTGGGGTGATTGTGAATATACAATATAAATTCCCAGTAGATGAAAGAGTTAAATGAAAAAGAAAACATAAAGTAACTAGAAGAAAAGATAAGTGAATTCTGTGTAAACTTCGGGCTGGAAAGGTCTGTGCAGAACAATCAAAGTCAGAACTCAGAAGAGAGGATCAGAAGTGTCCATGGTGCCCATGTATCCAAGTATGTTCCAGGGTGCCCCCGTTCCGAGCCACCTTGAAAACAGTTACCATGGCCAAATTGATATGAGGAAGCTTAGAATAAAATAAAATGTGGTCCTTTATTGCAGATGTTCTCAGCATTGAAAAAAGTTAAGGTACACCATGACTAAAACAGATTAAGAAAGTATAAAGGGCCAGGGGCAGGAGAGTTGCTTGAACTCAGGAGGCAGAGGTTGCAGTCATCTGAGATCGCACCACTGCACTCCAGCGTGGGTGACAGAGATTCCATTCCAAAATAAATAAATAAATAAATATATAAATAATAAAATAAAATAAAACTGTATGTCCCCTACAATCCTGTTTTAACAAGTAAAAATAATAATAACAGCATAAATACTAAGATAAATAATAAATATTTAGTCTTGTAGTAGTTATATAAAATTTTTCTTTTTTCGTTTTTGGCCAGTTAAGTGAAGCAGTGGGAGTGGAGAAGGAACAAAGAAATCTGTAACTGGTTGTGATCAAGTAGTTGTAAACACCACTGCACTCGGATCAGCTATATTTTTAAAATTAATATTTAACCACTATTGAGCCATTACTTTTCTCTCTATTGGAGTAACATAAAGAAAAAAGCGACCATCCAACTTTCCCACCTTGACTAAAAGGGGAATTCATGGATCTTTTACATATATTTAACAAAGTTGGTTGTTTACCAAAATTAGTACTTAGCTTTTGGATAAGCAGTATTTTTATTCTCCAGACATTTTGTGTATTTTGCAAATATAAAAAATCTAGGATTTATCATCTTTTGCATGTACCATAATTTGCAGAAACCAACTTCAGTTTCTTCTATAAAGGCCAGGTGGAGGAATGAAGCAGCAAATTCCAGGTTGCCATTACAAACCTCTGTCATTGTGATTTAGGGAGGGATATAAAAAACCTGTTAGAGACGCTTTACCAACTGTGCCTCCCACAGGCCTGAAGAGTGATAATTGTTCTTTGGGTCAGTAGTAGAGAATGTCTATTTTCTTTGAATTCTCTGAATTGAATGCAAGAAGGGAAAGGCTGATAAACATTTAAGTGGGCTGATTTTAATTAGGGCAGGGCAGGTTTGTTTTTCTTTCAAGGCTGTTTAAGTTATCATGTCTCTCTCCCTGTCGGCCATGGTGTCTTGCACAGGTCCTGAGTGCTATGAACTTCTATGATGTCTCACCTGGCTTTATAATATGAAATTGGGGGGGCGGGACTCTCATCTCTAAAGTCTCTCCCAGCTATGTGTCACTCACCTGCTAATCCCCTTGTAAACTGTCGCATAAGAGCCTTCACCCAGCTTCTCCAAGTTCAAGTAAGATGAGGCTGCCCCAAAAGGGAGGCTCTTCCTCTGCTCTAGGGGAATGGGGAAAAGGAGCGGGTGAAAGGGAAGAGAGAAAGAACACTTTTTTTTAGTGTTGACTTTTTTTCCCCAGGGAAATTAGACAGCATTGCCAGAGCAGACTTGGGAAGGCTCGCTCAGTAATTGCCCTGGAAGCAAGGGCCGGCCTCCGTAGACAAGCTCACATTAAATTCTTCTTGATCAACATCAGCTGCTCACTCACCCACTGAAAACCCTGCCTCAGATCCTCTTCCTGAAAACAATCACTGTTACTCCGTGGCCTTTTACTCTTGAACTTCTGGGCACGGGCAGCTTGAAGTCCCCTGGGGTGAAATGAAGTCATGGAACATGATGCTTCTTTTAGGTCTGTTAGCTAGAGAAAAAAGAAAGAGCAGAAATAAAATTTATGCAAAGTAAAGATTCAGTGCCTGGTAAAACCATTTTTTCTTTATTTGCCTCATTTTCACTCTTCAAATGTTTTCTAAGCTTCCTGTACCCCCAAAAGGCACTTTTCTTGAAAGATCCCTGAAAAAGACCATAATGGTATCAACTCCTGAAATACTACATTCTTTCTTCACCTAAAAATGTGTCTTTAACATTCAGGTTAACCTAAATCTCTTTGATGGATGTTTTGCAACTTTTTTCTGTTTAAGTCTGGCTTTTTTTTTTCATGTCCACTTAATTTATTGCTGTAGGGGAATAATCTATGGCATTGCTAATAATCATGAACTAATTACTAAAGTTTCAAATCCATAGCATACCAACTAATACTGCAGCTTGCCTTTTAAGTTTCAGCTCTGTAATTTAGGACCTTAGAGATTTTGAGAGAACTACTTTCTCGACTTCAAGCCAAGTGAGTTTCGTGCAGCCCAAAGCCAAGGATTATTTTTCCCTTTTGGTTTACAAGAAATTCCCCAAATTTGATAACTACAGCCATAAATTTTCTGTGACTTTAATAGAATTTTCATTTTATTGGTTTAGACCTACCGCAGAAGAATCAGATCCCGCTACAAAAAGGGAGTGTCTGAACTCCTTGGTTTATCAATAGAGAAAGATGCTCTCTCCTGGGATACAAATACCTTGAACGCAGCCTCCGTGGTCTCAGGCTGACTCCTCCGACAGCTGTGTGCCTCGCCTCCCTCTGAACAATGGTAGCAGCTGCATCCAGGCTGTACAGTCTTTGCACACAGCTCTTGACCCATAATCTTGTAGGTTCAAGGAGAAAACCCGCACTTGAACCTTTCCCCCACTGCCTCTCCTATCCTTGTTCTCTCCCTTTTTGCCAGAGGTCAGCAGCGTGGAGCTTTCATATGACTCACATGATGGCTCTGCCTGGAGCAGCCTCACAACTTCAGCAGTTTTTCCTTATCAGTGCAAGAAACTCCACATCAGACAGGGATTGCTTGCATTCAGATGTGCACAACTGAAAACGAGGCAGCTGTTATTGAATAGAATAAAATTTGGCACAGTTAAGGTTCTTGTTCTGGCCACAAGTTAGTGCTATTGGTATACATAGTTTTTAGGGATTGACATTGCTTATCTATGCAATGATATTTATATGATATCATTGATGGTGATATTGATATTAGGTTTTCCTGGTGCTAAAGTGGACATGTTGAGGAGTATTTTTCTCCCTACCTTTTATCTGAAAGCATTTTGGTTTTCAGACTTTAAAACAAATTTGCTACCTAGCTAACTTTTAGTAGTCAAAGAAACCACAGAATCATAAAACAGGAAAAAAGTTGAAAATATCTACTGCATCTCTTTGCCTTCAAACAATAGTGTATCCAATAGTCTTAGAAGGGTTGCCATTCATTCATTTATTCAAAAACTATGTGGTGAGCACCTATGTTGTTCTTAACTGTACAAATGATGATATTAGCCAATGGTGATGGAGAGAGAGGAGTTTGAATGAAATACTTTCTTCCTTTCTTGCTTGCTTCCTTCCACATATATGTAATTAATGTTTACTATATGTAAAGTACTATATTAACAGCACAACATGTCAAGGAATCTGGCTTAAATTGGTTTGCAGTCTGTAGTCTTCAAATGCAACACTTTTCTCTGTTAGATTCCTAAGATTATTGCCACTATAATATACTAATCATAAAGTGAGACAGAATGGAGGATATATAAACAATCATTATTAAGGGAAAAAATAAGAGTTATGTCTATTATCACAACAATATTTATGAATATTTGATATTTGAACCTCATGATGGTTTTTTAAAATGTTCAGGTAATTTAATTATGAGCATGTATTTTTTCATTTCAAAATTGCCACAAGAGAAGAGACTTAAGCCAATTCCAAGATTCAATCTAGAGATATTTTTTGAAAAAAAAAAAAAAAGAAGAAGAAGAAAAGGAAGACTACTTGGCTCAAAGACCATTCAACTTTTTTTTTTTTTTTTTTTTTGAGACAGAGTCTCGCACTGTCGCCCAGGCTGGAGTGCAGTGGCGCAATCTCGGCTCACTGCAAGCTCCGCCTCCCGGGTTCACACCATTCTCCTGCCTCAGCCTCCTGAGCAGCTGGGACTACAGGCGTCTGGCACCGCACCCGGCTAATTTTTTGTATTTTTAGTAGAGACGAGGTTTCACCGTGTTAGCCAGGATGGTCTCGATCTCCTAACCTTGTGATCCACCCGCCTCGGCCTCCCAAAGTGCTGGGATTACAGGCGTGAGCCACCGCACCCGGCCAAAGACCATTAAAGTTTTGACTGACAACTGAGAGAGTGAGAAGCTAGTTTCTCAGAATATTTAATTCCATTTGAATTTATAATAATATAATTATAATACATTTTATCAGAAATGCTAATTTCTTCCTAAAAGATTGTGAATTTCATCACATAAAAGTTATGTCCCAGGTCAAGTTTATGATGTCTTTTCTTGCATTTTTTTTTTTTTTTTTTTTTGGAAACAGGGTCTCCCTCTGTCTTCCAGGCTGGAATCCAGCTGGGTGATCACTGTTCACTGCAGCCTCAGCCTCCTGGGCTCAGTGATCCTCCCACCTCAGTCTTCCGAGTAGCTAGCTGCAGGCCTGTGCCAAGACAACCAGCTAATTATTTTTTATAGACACAGGGTCTCACTATGTTGCCTAGGCTTGTCTTCAACTCCTGGCTTCAAGCATTCCTCCTACCTCAGCCTCCCAAATAGCTGGCACTGGGGGTGCACGCCACCATGCCTGGAAAATTCTTTTATTATTTGTACAGACAGAGGTTTCACTATGTTACGTAGGCTTGTCTCCAATTCCTGAGCTCAAGCGATCCTCCTGCCTCCCAAAGTGCTGGGAATACACGCGTGAGCCACAGCATTGGCCTATAGCCTGATTATTAAAGGTGTAAATTGCTATGTTTAGATACTAGAATTAACTACTTTTTTTTTTTTTTCTTCCGGAGACAGGGTCTTGCTTTCTTGCTCAGGCTGGAGTGCAGAAGCTATTCACAGGCATGCACCGCGTACCTGTCTAGAACTCCTGGGCTCAAGCAATCCTCCCACCTCTGCCTCCCAAATAGCTGAAACTACAGGTGTGTGCAAGCACACTGGCTTTATAGTCTTGTTTAAAGCCAAGGAAAAATATCTGATGACTTCTTAAGATGTTTTCTTGCGTGTTAGAAATAGCTTTTGTTCTGAAAGATTTCTGAAAGACAAAAGACTTAGATGATTTCATTTAGCATTGTGCATTAGGCTCAGCTTCTGAACCACTCCAGATTGGCTTGGCTGTACCTCCTTTAGCAGCCTGGTCGCCATCATAGCAACAGAGGCCATTTCTGGGGTCTTGAAGCACACTCATTGTTGCTGCCACCTCCCCCCATCAGAGGACAAGAAGCCCCAACACATGAAGCTGACTGACCAGGAGAAACCCTTGCGCTTGCCCACCAGCCTAAATAGACCAAGAGCCAGAGAGGCTCAGGCTTCTCTAGCAACTGCTTGCGAGGGCCAGGTGATACAATCCAGAACTGCAGGAAGTTCCATGGAGCACGCTTCCACCACTGGGAAGCCAGAGATGTTGTGGAGCTGAGATCAGCTCAGAAACATGCTCCATTTGGGGAGTGTCACTTGAGCCTGGGAGTTTGAGGTTGCAGTGAGCTATGATTGCATCATCCACTCCATCCTGGGCAAAAGAGTGAGACCCTGTCTCAAAAAAAAAAAAAAAAAAAAAAAAAAAAAAAAAAAAAAAGAGAGAGAGAGAGATGAAAGATGAAAGAAAGAAAAAAAGAAAGGGAAAAAAATCTTCCATTTATAAGGTTGATGCAAAAGTAATTACAGTTTTGCCATTACTTTCAATGGCAAAAACCACAATTACTCTTGCACCAACCCAATAATCCTAATATTTGCTCTCTCCTTCTCCTCACTTCTACTTCCCTAGGATTGTACAAACTGCCCCTACAACCCTACCCCTTTTCCTTCAGGCTCTGTTTTCAGGGAATTTGTGTTAAGACAAATGGTAGCCACTTTTTAAATTGGCAGTGAACATTTTAGGTTACTGATCATTTCAGGCTAGCTTCTCCACCTACCACATTTTTGGAGTTCTTTTTCCTTTCTCAAGTGGTGTGAATTCAAATTACTATGTTTAGTTAAGAGTTGCCATTTTTTTCCAGTCTTTGCATTCTATCTTTATTTAGCCAAATATAACATTTCTAGAATATGTTGGTTATCACAGCATTCAACAGATAATATGAGAAATAATGTAAAATCTATGTTATAAACATTGAAAATAATTCATATATGTCCACACAATGGAGTAATATGCAGCTGTTAAAAGAAAGGAGATCTATATATAATGACATGGAGTGATGACCAAAATATATTGTTAAGTTAAAAAAGCAAAATGCAGAACAATATTTGGTGGCAAAGAAATGAAGGGAAATAAAGTATAGTCAGGGCCAGGCATGGTGGCTCACACCTATAATCTCGACATTCTGGGAGGCCAAGGTGGGAGGATTGCTTGAGCCCAGGAGTTGGAGACCAGCCTGGGTAACATGGTGAGACCCCATCCCAAAAAATAAAAATAACAAATAAAAAAAGTGTAGTAGTAATCTTACCAATAGTAGCAATATTATTGCTATTATTTTAAATCTGTTGTAGAGGAAAAAAGATTTCTCACCCATCTCTAGGTTCATGAATGACATCCATATACCAATAGACAGATTAACAAGAGAACAGCACACAAATTTATTTAATGCAAGTTTACACAACACAGGAGCCTTCAGAAATGAAGACCCAAACAAACAGGGAAATCTGTATTTTTATGCTAAGCTTGATGAAGAAAAGTAGATAATTGTGAAGAAACATGATTGGAGGACAAAAGGGTCTGATCTAATGGTAAGAAACTGGGGAGAACTTAGCAAGACCTGTTTGTTCAGATTATTCTTGGTGTCTCTGTGTCTTCAAGGATAATGATATTCCTTTTTACGGGGTATAGGAAATTTATCTCTGGAGTTGAGGTCTTATGACCTACTGTAGAGGAAAGTCAGCTAGATTTTATGACCTGCTTTAATGGAGAAGGGATGAGAGGAAGATGGGAAGATGAGAATGACTTTCCTGCTTCTGCTATTTTCTCAAATACCAAGGTGCCATACTTGGGGGTAGCATATTCTCAACCCCATCATTATTATAGGCATATCTTAGGTTAAAACTAGTGAGCAATTATGCTAATGCCATTGGAAACCAAACTTTTCAGCGTGAGAGAAAATAGACATAAATATCAAATCAAAGAAATCAAGTAAAAATTATGTGATCTTAAATTTGACTTGGAAATAAAAACTTACGGTTTTTATTTGTTTAAAAAAAGCTCTGTCAACCAAAAAGACCTAGAAGCAATGACAACTCAATAGCTATGAGCAGCCCTACTGCTCCAATTTTGGTCTCTTAACACCATTTTCCACTAAAAAGAAAGAGCTAAACATCCATGGAGAAATGGTGGATTCCAGATTCCAGGTCTGGAGTATGAACTCAACAAATGAGCCTGGGATATCTTTCTTGCCAGAAAACAAGGAAGTTATCAAGAAAGATGTCCTAGGCTCATCTTAAGCCAGTTGGAGTCCTGTCAAAAGGATATGAAAGCCAACCTGAAAGGGACTCTCATTGGTTTAAGATTGGGCAATCTGAGTAGCAAAAATAATAATGACTGCAATGGATTGAAACACAGGGAATGCGTAAAATCTATAACTTTACAGTAATTCTAAACAAAAGTGGTCACTTGAAGGTTTCTAGTTTACAAACTTATTACTCTGAATATTAATAAAGGAGAAAAGTCAAGTATTTCTGTTTTCTATATAAATTATTTTTTCAAGATTATAAAATACTTAATGAGGGAAAATTTTTTCCTTATGGGAGAATTCCAGCTAATAAATGCAGAAGAAGGGATAGAAATAGAAATATCACTATCATGGAATCTCTAATGCAATGATCTAAGAAAACAATCATTAATGGATGCTAAAATCATTAGGTGGAGGATTGATGAGGAACTTTGCAATGAAGGGGTCAGGCTGACACTATCTGAGCCCACTGATCAGTCTTAGCTTCACTAAATTTGGGACATCCAGATACTATGTGCCTCCTGTTATGATGGAACGGGACATATAGCACCACCTGTGATGTATTTTTGACTGAAGAAAACAATTAAACCAGAATCTAATAAAGTTTCTAGCTCTAAAACCAAATTACAAGAAACATGGAGGACGCAGAAGTTAAATAACACCACAAGGAATCAAATAGGCAAATCAGGAAGGACAAAAATCTCTAACAGATTTCTCTAACAAATCAATGGCATTAAATAAGAAGAAAATGAAGAGAATTTAAAAGACTTAAGGGCCAGGCCCAGTGGCTTACGCCTGTAATCCCAACACTTTGAGAGGTCGAAGTGGGACAATTGCTTGATCTAGGAGTTCAAGACCAGCCTGGGTAACATAGTGAGACCGCATCTCTACAAAAACTGTAAATTAGCCAGATGTGGTGGCATGCACCTGTGGTCCTAGCAACTGGGAAGGCTGAGGTAGGACAATTGCTTGAGTTCAGGAGGTCAAGGCTGCATAGAGCCATGGTTGTGCCACAGCACTTCAGACTGGGTGACAGAGCAAGATCCTGTTTCAAAAAAAAAAAAAGACAAAAGATAAAAAATGCAATATGTAGATATTGTTTGGATCCTGATTTGAACAAATTAACTGTAAAATGACATTCCTGAAAGCAGTATTGAAATTCAAATATGGTATTAGATGATTTTAAGAATTTATTTTTAATTTTACATGATGATTATGTTTTAAAAACAATCCTGACATTAGAGATGTACACTAAAGTATTTATAGGTAGAATAGCATAATTTCCAGGCTTCCTTTAAAATATTACAGACATATAATGCTGGGGGTAGAAAATACAAAAGTGGTAAAAATATTGATCATCGTTTAAACTGAGTGATAACTATATGGAGGTTCATTTCTGTGTATTTAAGACTTCTGAATAAAAATGTAGAAAAATAACAGTATTAAAAAAACACCTTTATACAAAATCTATACATTTCAATAATGTACTTCTTTTTTTATATTCATGGCTATTTTCATCAAGGGTAGTGGAGGCTTTCAATAAAAATACAGCAATCATCATCATCATCATAGCAACAGCTACCATGTCACTGCTTGCTCTGTGCCAGGCTCCATGCAGGCAGAGATTAATCCTTACAATGCCATGACAGTGAGGTAGGTACCATTATTAACCACACTTAATCATTGAGGGAACTGAGTTCAGGGAGTTTAAGTAACTTTCCCCCAAGGTTATTAAACTAGCAAATAGGCCAGGCATGGTGGCTCGTGCCTGTAGTCCCAGCACTTTGGGATGCCAAGGCGAGTGGATCACCTGAGGTCAGGAGTTCGAGACCAGCCTGGCCAACATGGTGAAACCCCATCTCTACTAAAAATACAAAAATTAGCCAGGTGTGGTGGCACGTGGCTGAAATCCCAGCTACTTGGGAGGCTGAGGCACAAGAATCGCTTGAACCCAGGAGGCGGAGGTTGCAGTGAGCCAAGATCTCGCCACTGCACTCCAGCCTGGGCAATACAGCAAGACCCTGTCTCAAAATAAATAAATAATAAAATAAACTAGCAAATAGTAGAAAATATTTATAAAACTCCCCAAAGACTATATACCAAATTTCACAAATTTTATTTAATGAGGAGACATTAATAATTTGTATTTGTAAAAGAGCATGAACTCTCTCTCAGTGTGCTCACATTTCTTACTAATTATAAGGCTGAAGTTTAAATGAGTTGTTATATTTCAAATAAACCAGTAATAGATAAACTAAACCAGGTATAAGTGATGCTAGTTCATTAATCAGGAGGCCTGTAACATTATCCTTTGTAAAAAGATGGTATGTCTTTTGGTAAAAAATAAAAGCAGCAGAGTACAATTCTTTTTTTTTTTTTTTTTTTTGAGACGGAGTTTCGCTCTTGTTGCCCAGGCTGGAGTGCAGTGGTGCAATCTTGGCTCACTGCAACCTCCACCTCCCGGGTTCAAGTGATTCTCCTGCTTCAGCCTCCCAAGCAGCTAGAATTACAGGCACGTGCCAACAGACCTGGCTAATTTTGTATTTTTAGTAAAGATGGAGTTTCACCATGTTGGCCAGGCTGGTCTCGAATTCCTGACCTCAGGTGATCCACCTGCCTCAGCCTCCCAAAGTACTGGGATTACAGGTGTGAGCCACCACGCCCAGCCAATTCTTAAGTCACACTTCTTCCTGGAGTACCCTAACTTGAAACTGACATGCTGAGAGTGCTGTCTGCTGACAGTCAACAGAACTGCAGGCACATGGTATCTAGGTCTCCTTTGTAGCCTTACACACATACCTATCTGTTCTTTCTTTATATCATACTATTATTTCATAATAGTATGCTATTTGTTTACTTGTACTTGCTTTTCACAATGAAGTTGATGTTGCAAATTCCAGTGTTATCTTCTGTTTCCATTGTTTTTAATAAAGAGTAAGGTTCGAAACTGGTGAGTTATTCAGTTTTTACTGACTTTAAAAGACCATTCTTGGGGCCTGCGAATAATATGCTTAGGTTTCTAGCCTTAAATTCCATGGTCCTTGCCTTGATACTAGATTCCTGCCTCTCATTCAGGCTTTCTCCACATCCTGGACTTCACTCCTGAAACAAGATTACTGGTTGTGGATCAAAATTCTTTTAACTACAAATGGAATGCTCAAGAATGCTGAGTGATTCCATATGTGTAGGTCCACATTCTAAATCTACTGGAAAGCATTTGACGTGAAAAAAAAAAAAAGACATTGCACAGGCAGGTAAGGAAATCTCATTGCAAGGTGTTCTTGTGACAGAATGGCTTAGCTTGTGAAACAATGCCATTCCAGTAGTCCTCCCCAATCCATGGTTCTGCTTTCCATGGTTTCAGTTACCCGTGGTCAACCACAGTTTGAAAATATTTAATGAAAAATTCCAGAAATAAACACCGCATAAGTTTTAAATTGCACGCCATCCTGAGTAGTGTGATAAAAATCTCACACTAACCTGCCCAGGATGTGAATCATCCCTTTGTCCAGCTTATTCACCCTGTATATTCTTCCCTCTTATTCGTTACTTTGTAGCCCTCTAGGTTATCAGATCAACTGTATCTCAGCGCTTGTGTTCAATAACCCTTATTTTACCTAATGGCCTCAAAGCGCAAGACTAGTGATGCTGATATATTGTTACAATTGTTCTATTTTATTATTAGTTTTTGTTATTAATCTCATATTGTCCCCAATATAAATTAAACTTTATCATAGGCATGTATGTATAGGAAAAAACGCAGTGTATATAGATGTTCGGTACTAGCTTTGATTTCAGGCATCCACTGTAGGTCTTGGAACACATATCCCTCGCCGCTCACAGATAAAGGGGGACTGCTGTGTACTGAACACTGTACCTAAAAAAGGACTCGTCATCTCAAACTGTAGGAATACTTGGGATAGCTGTAGAAGCAGGGAAAGTGGAAGACTTCTTTCTTCCAGTCTAAACAAAAAAGAAAATTATGCTTCTACAGACTGGATACTTTCTGTTTTTCTTTGCATTTATACGGTTGATTGGTTTCTTGAGTCTGAATGGACTATGGGAAAATTCCAGAAAGGACTTGAACTGATGATGTGATTCCCCTGAAATGGAGAACCACAACTTTATATTTAATTTTCCACTCTCAGTATAACAGCATGAATTTTTAAAAGAATGACTCAACGTTCTTTTTATAAAGAACAGGTTGCAAATATAGCACAATCAGGTCCCAGAGTGAGGCAACTTGTCATGAATTTAGTCCAAGTCTTCTGGCTCTAGGAAGTGAAAATAAGAAGGCAAACACATGGTTTACTTACATTTACTCATAACCATTCTGTGGCAAAATTATTAAATAATTTGCCCAAATAAGCAAGATGTGGTAGAACTAGGATTTGAACCAAGGTGGATCAGCTGCAGAGGCCATACTTTTAGCCTACTTCACCATTTTCCTTCTCCATACAATTTAAGAATGTGGAGATGATGAGTCATACCAGAGTTTTTGTGCCCGCGCTTGCTTCTGCCTTCCTTCAGTAGGCATTATCACCGAATATGGCTACCATTTTGTATCTGTTCTAAACAAGCACTTTGCATACATTATCTTAGTTAATTCTGTGATGTAGATATTTATTCCCCCAATTTTGAATAAGAAAACTGCAAATTGTTCAAAGTTTTTTAGAGCATAGATATCAGAACTAGAATTTAAACTCACTGGTTCTGGGATCAGTGGCTCACGCCTATAATTCCAGCACTTTGGGTGGACGAGGTGGGTGGATCACCTGAGGTCAGGAGTTTGAGACCAGCCTGGCCAACATGGTGAAACCCCGTCTCTACTAAAAATACAAAAATTAGCTGGGTGTGGTGGTGTGCACCTGTAATCCAAGCTACTTGGGAGGCTGGGACAGGAGAGTTGCTTGAACCCGAGAGGCAGAGGTTGCAGTGAGCCAAGATTGCACCATTGCACTCTAGCCTGGGTGACAAGAGCAAAACTCTGTCTTGAAAAAATAAAAATAAATAAATAAACTCACTGGTATTGACACTAGGGACTTAGCCATATCTCCAACAATGAGGACCTGGGTACTGTGAGTAAGCACCCTTTCCCCTGACACAATGGGTCTGAGAGCTCAGCACATCATTCCTTGTATGTGGGATTTGCTTTTTGATACTCATGTGAAAAAACTTCCTCTCTGACAGGAAACATGCATTACTAAAATAGAGGCTGAGGTGAGCTTCCTCCACCTGCTGTCTTCAATTCCATGTCTCTCTCTCTAGCACTCCCTCACAGTCAGTGTACATGCAGAACAATCAGTCCACTATAGAAGTGCCCAGCCTATTGACTAAAGAATGATGATATCTTTGTACAACTTGTTAATTCCTGTGAAGTACACTGAAACGCTCCCATTAACTTCTTTAATATTATCCTAAAGTTTCCTGCTGTGTCAGAATAAAGTGGTCTGGCCTGGAAACCCTCCTTTTTCATGAAGTTCAGCACACTCCGCAGTACTAAAAACAGTAATTTTAGAACTGTTTGAAAAGTCTTCTGCAAGTTATTATTACTTTAAAATATGCTGCATGTTTTGTGGATGTATAAAATACAAATAAATGCAAGTTGCAAAACCTGATTTGTAAATTTCTGATATTCACAAATTGTGTGGGAGATCCTCTAAGACTCCCTCTTCCCATCTCAATCCCAGGGTGCCTGGACACTTTCTGGCTCTCTTTCCAGAAAGAAGACAGCCTTGTACCGACAGCACCACTCGGTGGTCAGGATGGAGAACTGACCAAATCAACTTTTCTTCCCTCCCAACTTTTTTTTCAAGATGATGATGCCCTTCCAAACCCCAAACCTCTTCACCTACCCCAATTTTCCTTGGACTTTGCTACTCACAGCCAAGTTGGTTCCACCTCAGGCACTCTTTCTCAAATGTACACACATCCTTTGTTAAAAAATCTTTTTTCTTTGCCCTATCCAGTTGCTTCATAACATTTTCTCACTCTTCCAACTGCCTTTATCACATACATAAGCCTAGCAGTTGCTAGGGCCAGACAAGCCGGACTTGGCCCCAAGGCTCTGAAATGTAGAGGGGCTAACCACACTTTTTAAAAATTAAGTATTTTAAAGCTTTGTGTAAAACTGATTAGGCCATTCACCCCTCAGAAATTCTGTCCTCCTCCCAGCTCCCAGCCCCTAGTATCCAGTTGGCTCCTGCCCATAGCAGAGTCTTCTATAGCAGCCAGGGATGGAGGTGCAAAGTAAGAAAAGAAAATGGAAAGGAAAAAAGGAAGGAAGAGAGGGAGGGAGAGAGGAAGAAAGAAAAAGAATGGAGAAAAAGAAAAAGAGGGAATATTTTCGCCTGGGGGACCCCTTATGTAGCTCCCTTCCTCACTGTTTCCCATGGGTGCTGGGACTGAGAGGAAGCATAAGGGGACCCCAAAACACTCAGTAGTTAAATGCATAAAAATAATAAATAATCTTATAATGCAATATTTCTAAAACAAACTTTAAAATTAAAATAGGCTGGATGCGCTGGCTCACTCCTGTAATCCCAGCACTTTGGGAGGCTGAGGCGGGTGGATCACCTGAAGTCAGGAGTTCGAGACCAGCCTGGCCAACATGGTGAAACTCCATCTCTACTAAAAATACAAAAATTAGCTGGGCGTGGTGGCGGGCACCTGTAGTCCCAGCTACTCGGGAGGCTGAGGCAGGAGGATCGTTTGAACCTGGGAGGTGAAGGTTGCAGGGAGCTGAGATCACACCACTGCACTCCAACCTGGGCAACAGAGTGAGACTCAGTCTAAAAAAATAATAATAATTAAAATAAAAATTAATGCACAAAAATCTATGACGAGCAAAATAATCAGTATCAGAATTTTAAAAAGAGAATAGTGGTTTCCAATCAGTCCACAGGTCCCAGGTCACTGGGCTGCCAGGAGGGCCCCCCCTCCCCATCCTCCTCTCTGCCCCAGCCCCTACAGAGAGGGTTGATCTCTATGTGAGAACAGATCGACAACACAGGGCTTTATATATAGGTGTTTCCCAAATTATAGGAATTATATTAATTTTTCTACTTGATTCAATATGTGGAAGGATATTTTGATATCCATAAGTATAAAGGCACACATTGTTCCTTCTGCTTTGGGCTCCCATATGGCTGGGCAGGGTGCTGTTTCTGCTCACCAACCCCTTCTTCGCTGTGCCCCACAACTCCATGGTTTCCGTGGATCTCTCGGTCCTGGTACCCTGAAACATGCTTTTCTCTAAGCACCGATATTCATGAAAAATGACTCACTCCATACCAAGGGTTTTTTCTTCTCATTTTCTAAATTACAAAATACTGCAAAAGCATTGCTTTCAGCTAAGAACGACATCATAAATCAGTAATTGTAAGTAAGCCCAGGAACTAAACCATTATTAACCTCACTGTTTCTATGGGAAAACAATTCACTTGCAAATAAATATCTGAGGCATGATTTTTTGGTAGATGGGGGACTAATGCTTTTTAAATAAAAACGTATATAGAAATGTATGTGTTATGCATTGTAATATGAAAAAAGAAGCTCTTTAGCCCTAAACTACTGCTCTTAATTTTTAGAAAAAAAAAGAAAGAAATTTTAAAAAGAAAAAAACAAACCAACCAGGGTGCTTGTAATGCCCAGCTTGAGATCAGAATGCTAGGCCATGTCAACAGTACAGGCTTTGCCAACAACACTGAGACAAGAAAAGAAAAAGACAGGGAAGTATAACACCATTAGGCACACATTGCATAAAACTATTCAGATATAGAAGAACATTTTATTTAAATATAGATATTTACATTTTATTAAAATATTCTTGCTTTGATGTCTAATTACTTATAAGTCAATATAGGATTTATGAATGTGTCTCAACCAGTCTCAAACAGCATGTGCTTCCATTTTAAAAATAGCAAGCTAGCATCTGCTTACCTGCAGCTGGTGATTAATCATTCAGTCCACTCATTATTTTTTGGTATGAGATGAATAGAAGCATTGCTATTTAAATCATTCCTCCAAATTACCGCATGTCATCAGCAGGTCTTTGCTCTTCACTTTGGGCTTTATCTTCTTGCATGAAGTTCAGCCACATAGTAAAATACTCCCAGATGTCAATGAGGGGTGAGTGCCCCTTTTCTAAGATCTCATCCACTTAGAATCTCAGCATATATTTTTTAAAAACAATAATCTAAGTTATTCTTAACTACCTTGTTTAACTTGAGAGAGGAAATGTAATCTAATTTAGTAAGAATAAAAAATGTAACATGCACACACACACACAAACACACAATCTCTATTTTAATAGTTAAGTAGAATAAGGTACCCAGACTACGACTGTACTTTGAAAGCGCAGAAGATCTTTCTGCGGTTTATTTATTTATTTATTTATTTTTGAGACGGAGTCTTGCTCTGTCGACCAGGCTGGAGTGCAGTGGCGCTATCTCCGCTCACTGCAAGCTCCGCCTCCCGGGTTCACGCCGTTCTCCTGCCTCAGCCTCTCTGGGTAGCTGGGACTACAGGCGTCCGCCACCGCGCCCGGCTAATTTTTTGTATTTTTAGTAGAGACAGGGTTTCACCGTGTTAGCCAGGATGGTCGCGATCTCCTGACCTTGTGATCCACCCGCCTCGGCCTCCCAAAATGCTGGGATTACAGGCGTGAGCCACTGCGCCCCGCCTGCAGTTTGTTTTTTTAAATGCCTCTTTGACCATTTCTGATTAAACATCCTCAAGTTCCCCTACTTACCTATGGAATCAAGTGTCGATTCCTCAGCTTGGCTTCTAACTGCCTGACTCTATCGTGCCCTACCTACCTGTGTTCACAGGAGCCACACCAGCAGCTCCTCTTTCTAACCAACCTTCCTTGCTCATCTGGCTGAACCTTCACGTGTTTCTCATCTGACATGTTCCCCTTCCTTTGTGCCTAGCCCTCCTTCAAGTCCAGACTGAGGTGCCATGTCTGCTAAACCTTTACTTGCTTCTTTGCCCTCCCCTCCCCAACACTGACTTTCCTCAAGGCTGAGCTCTGGGTCACTGTCTGATTTGTGCAATCTTTTTTTTTTTTTTTAATTTTTTTAAAGACGTTCTCGCTCTGTCACCCAGGCTGGAGTGCAGTGGCATGATCTTGGGTCACTGCAACCTCCACCTCCTGGGTTCAAGTGATTCTCCTGCCTCAGCCTCCCGAGTAGCTGGGATTACAGGAGTGCACCACCACACCCGGCTAATTTTTGTATTTTTAGTAGAGACGGGGTTTCACCATGTTGGCCAGGCTGGTCTTGAACTCCTGACCGCAGGTGATCCACCCACTTTGGCCTCCCAAAGTGCTGGGATTACAGGAATGAGTCACTGCGCCTGATCCTGATTTGTTCATTCTAATCACTATTTTTATTGTTTTCCTCACAAGATGGTAAGTATACTGTCAGGGTATGAACTAGATCTTCTACCTCTTTTAGAGTCCTAATAAACACTTGTCAAATTAAATAAGAGTACTTATATAAATGTGAATACACCTCTCCCACACACCCACACATACACACACACAGGATGGGCCCCTGGAACCAATGTTTACTTAGTATTCATTCCGATCCCCCTCTAAGGCATATCCCTGTACCACCCTCCCATGAATCTTATCCTCAGTTTTTAATACTGGCCTTCACTGACCTTGTTATTTCATTTCTGTCATCCTCTATCATCCCTTTCTTAAACCGCACTTTTTATATTAGTCCTGAACTCTACTTAACACCTTAATTTGTCCGGGCGTGGTAGTTCACACCCGTAATCCCAGCACTTTGGGTAGGCTGAGGTGGAAGGATCACTTAAGGCCAGGAGTTCAAGACTGGTGTGGGCAACATAGGGAGACCCTGTCTCTGCAAAAAATCAAAAAATTATCTGGATATGGTGGTACCTGCCTGTGGTCCCAGCTACTCAGGAGGCTGAGGCAGGAGGATCATTTGAGCCTAGGAGTTCGAGATTGCAGTGAGCCATGGTTGCCCCACTGTACTCCAGCCTTGGTGATAGAGTGAGACCCTGTCTCAAAAAATAAAAAATAAAATAAAAACACCTTGATTCATTAGGGGTTGAAGTAGGGAGAAAGCAGAGTATTTGGAGTTTGGAGACCTGGGTTTGAGTCTCCCACTTAGAATAGCTGAATTAACTTGGACAGGTCACTGGGCCTCAGTTTCTTCATCTGTATTTTGGGAATAATTATTCCTAGTATGGGGTTGTTTTGAGGATAAAATGCACACACAAAGAATTTTGCAAATAGTACATTAAAAATATATCATATTGCAACATTATTAAAATTAGTCCAAATATCATCACCTCCCAGAGGCTGCATCACATACCACTCCACACTTGTGGATCACTCTGGGGAAGAAAAGCCATTGCTTTCAGTCTTTTTGCCGTTTGAGACGAGGAAGATCCTTGTCTTGTATGACTTTTAAGGATAGGGAAGTGGGAAGAACTCTCTTCAATTCCTCCCAGTGGGCAGCCAATCACAGGATGTGAACTATAAGCAATGGCAACCAGGTAGGTGACAGAAAAGGCAAGTACTTATGTCTATTTCAATGAACTGCATTTCAACAAATGGTTAAATTGCTGAATCTCAATAAATGAATTCATCGAATAGTCAGTAAAGTGCAAGGCACTGTGCTAGACTCACGAATTTAAAAATAAGTAAAATTGAGAGCTTAGACTCTAATAAGAGAGACAGACAGGTTTGTAAATTAGTGTTATATATGCCATGATAAAAGAACTTATAAGTAGATTTGACCCAGACTGTGCACTCACAGTATTGAGTCTACAACAATATATAGAGAGATACATTTGGATATCTTTTCTGTTTTCCTTTTAAGGTCAGATTCTGCTAATAGAAAATCTAGCTTTGCTGTCATGCTATCTGTTGTCGTCGTCATCGTTGTTTTTAAATGCTTGGGTTTGGAGTATCTACTCTATACCTTGACCCCACATCCTCTCTAGATACTGCCCCAGGTTTTGACTCCGCAGCAAACCTTGAAGGAGATGTCTTCACTTCCTCACCTCCTATTCTGTCTTTAACTCACCCCAATAAAGTTTCTGGGTTTATTGCTCTAACAAACCTGCCTTTGCCAAGTCACCAGAAATTCCATGCTATCAAAATCCAAAGGCTACTTCTCAGATCTTACCTTGCTTTACTCTTTGGTGGCATTTAACACCATAATCATGCCACCCTTTTTGAAAGCCTCCTTGATTCTGTGAAGTGGGCACTTCCTTGGTTTTCCTCCTGCCTCTCTGGGGACTCCTCTGCAACCATCTTTGCTGATTCCTCCTCCCCTGCTCAACTTCCTAATTTGAGTGGACCCAGTGTTCAGTCTGGGCCTTATCTGTACTTTGCTTCTAGATAACTTCATCTAGTCCCTTGGCTTTGAACGGCGCCTATCTATGAATAATTCTCAAATCTCCAGCGTGACTTCTTTACAACACCAACTGTCAATTTGACATTTCTACTTGACTGCCTAAAAGGTATTCCAAAGTTTAATAATATGGCAAAAACAGATTTCTTGAACTGTGCAGAGATGGCTTCTCCTTAGTTTTCTCCAGTTCAGAAAATGGTATTCTTGGCCGGGCGTGGTGGCTCATGCCTGTAATCCCAGCACTTTGGGAGGCTGAGGCGGGCGGATCATGAGGTCAGGAGATCGAGACCATCCTGGCTAACACGGTGAAACCCTGTCTCTACTAAAAATACAAAAAAAAAAATTAGCCGGGCATGGTGGCACATGCCTGTAGTCCCAGCTACTTGGGAGGCTGAGGCAGGAGAATGGTGTGAACCTGGGAGGCAGAGGTTGCAGTGAGCCAAGATCGTGCCACTGTACTCCAGCCTGGGTGACAGAGTGAGACTCTGTCTCAAAAAAAAGAAAACAACAACAACAACAACAAAACCCAGAAAATGGTATTCCCATCAATCAGTTACTCAGAAAAGTAAACCCAGGCAGCATACAAATAAAATCTCACATTTAATCCATCAGTAAATCATGTCAATTCTACTTCCAGAAAGTAACTCAAATCTATCTAATTCTCTATTCATACAGCTGTCTCTCTCTAGTCCAAGCATCACCATCCCTCATCTGGCCTAAAGCAATACCTTCTACTAAGTTTCCCTGCTTCTGAAACCACCTTTGCAAAAATTAAAACTGAGGAAATTATGACAGTGAAAGTGATCAGACCTAACCGACTCGATCCTGCTTCTAACCTTTGAGCTGTCCTTGTTCATTCCTGGGTGAAGGCCAAACTAACTTTGGGAAGGAAATCAGTTCATGGTTTGACTCTGAAACAAAATTGATAATAACCCTTTCATGAAAAAGGGCCCCTTCATGCCTGGGGACCAGTTTGCCTTTGCAGGACTAACAAGGTAGTTATAAGACTAGAAATTAGGTTTAGGAGTCATGCAGCCTCTGGCTCCAAGAGTCTGAACCTCCCCAAATTGCTCCTGGGGATAATGTTACTATTATAAAACCTAAGATCAGTGCTTGGGATATTTTGCAGACCCTGCACTGGATGGATCAGCTGACACCACCCGGACCCATAATCTGGCTCAACCAGTTCTGTCATCCCACTCAGGAACAGAAGACAGCCAGAAAACCCACTTCGACCCCCTATGATTCCATCTCCAATCTTACCAGTCAGCACTCCCCACTTCCCAAGCCCCTACCTGCCACTTTGTCTTTAAAAGCTCCGATCCCCCAAGACTGATTTGAGTAATAATAAAACTCTGGTCTCCCGCACACCAGCTCTGCCTGAATTACTCTTTCTCCATTGTAATTTCCCTGATAAATTTTCCTTGATAAATCAGCTCTGTCTAGGCAGCAGGAAAGGTGAAGCCATTGGGCGGTTACTTCCTTCCTAAATTTCCTATAATCTATTCAGTCTGAATGAACTTAAACAAATAATATTAATTTTATGAACTCCTAACTCTTAAGTAAACATCTTTTTAATATTCTGTTTAATGAAATGGAAGTACCTGTAAAGCACACGCTAGAATGAACTTTGAAAAATACAAATCAGGTCAGGTCATTCCCCCACTTAAAACTTTCTGATGGATTTAGGATAAAATACAAAGTCATACTCTGGCCTACCAACCGCTACATGATCGTTGTAACCTCATTTTGTGCCACTCTTCCCTCTCACCCCTTCTCTGCTAGCTATTTTTGGCCTTCTTTCTGTTCTCATTCACGAACACAAATCATTCTCAAACACAAATGATTTCTCCCTTCAGAGAACCCAGCAGGATCTTGGACTAGATGCTTTCCATCTTACAATCTCTAAATAGAATGAGTGTCCCAGGGCTCAGGCTTCAGACTGCTTCTCTTTTCTATCAATGACTTCCAGTGTTATATCTCCAGCCCTGATCATTCTCCTCAACACCAGACTCCTATCCAGTCAATGCCTAGTAGCCATATAAAATATTGCCACTTTCTGAACATGAAAACCTAATACTTCCTTCCCATAGCCTCCAATATACTCTTTTTCCAGTCTTCCCTATCTCAGTAAATTACAGCTTATTTTTTTTTTTTGAGACGGAGTTGAGTGCAAGGTTGCTTACTGCAACCTCCACCTCCCAAGTTCAAGCGATTCTTCTGCCTCAGTCTCCCTAGTAGCTGGGATTACAGGCAGATGCCATGACGTCCAGCTAATTTTTGCATTTTTAGTAGAGACGGGGTTTCACCATGTTGGTCAGGCTGGTTTCGAACTCCTGACCTCTGGTGATCCTCCTGCCTCAGCCTCCCAAAGTGCTGGTATTACAAGCGTAAGCCACTGCACCCAGCCAGCTCATCTTTACCAATAACTCAGGCCTTAATTCTTTTTTTCAAAGCTCATGTCTAATCAATGAGCAAATATGGCAGGCTCTACCTTCAAAATACATCCAGAACCAAACCGCTTTTTACCTTTTCCTCAATTGCCGCTTGGGGCTAAGCCATCATAACTATCTGCAACTATTACATTAGCCTCTTACTGATCTTTCCGCTTCCAATCTTCCACTCCTACATTCTGTTCTCTACTCTCCACAAAGCAGAACAATCATCCCTTGAAAAAGGGAAGCTAGATTACAAAACCCTCTGTGAAAAGGCCTCCAAGGGTTGCCTGTATCACTCAGATAAACCCTTAGTTCTTTTCCTGGCCCTATTACCAGATCATTATCTACTGGCTCTTATCTTATCTCTCACCTTCCCACCCTTTTCTCAGCTCTAGCAGCAGCACCCTCCTTGCCTTTGCAGTTATGTCCATGTGGTTTATGTCCTCACTTCTTTACAGGTCTCTGTTCAGATGTCTTCTTCTTTTTTTTTTTTTTTTTTGAGACGGAGTCTCACTCTGTCGCCCAGGCTGGGGTGCAGTGGCGCGATCTCAGCTCACTGCAAGCTCTGCCTCCTGGGTTCACGCCATTCTCCTGCCTCAGCCTCCCGAGTAGCTGGGACTACAGGGGCCCATCACCACGCCCGGCTAATTTTTTGTATTTTTTAGTAGAGACGGGGTTTCATTGTGTTAGCCAGGATGGTCTCGATCTCCTGACCTCGTGATCCGCCCACCTTGGCCTCCCAAAATGCTGGGATTACAGGCGTAAGCCACCACATCCGGCCCAGATGTCTTCTTAAAAGAGAGGCTTTCCCTGTCCAGTTAATATAAAATTAGACCCTTTGCCTTCTAGTTCCTCACCTTTCTTTGTTGTTCTCAATAATAATAGTAATAACAACATACATAACATTTACTATGTACCAGGTACAATAGCACTTTATATATATTAGGTCATTTAAATCTCATATCACTCCATAAAGTAGGCAACATTATTATCCGTTTTCTGGATGATGACATTGAGACACAGGGAGGTTAAACAAATTGCACCAAGGTCACAAAGCTGGAGTTGAAATGTGAATGCAGGCTGTCTGGCTCCAGCATGGCCTTTTAGCTACTGCACTATTTTGCCTCTTTATAGCCCTGGTCATTACCATATTTTAGATTTATTATCTCCCATTCTTCCCACTTGTTTCAGTTACTGCTGCATAACCAACCACCCCAAAACTTGGTGGCTTAAAGCAACAACTTATTATTTCTCAGGAATTTAGGTCAGGAATTCAGGAAGTGTTTGACTAGGCTGTTCTTCTGCTTCACTTGGCATTGGCTGATGCCACTCATTCAGCTGCATTCAGATGGTGACTGGGCTGACCTGGAAGGTCCCAGAAGGCTTTACTCATATGTCTGGTACCTCAGTGTTTATCCATGTGACCTCTCTCTTCATATGGTCAATCAATCTGGGGTATACCATGGAAGCTGGCTTTTTAGAGAAAAACATGGAAGCTGGCTTTTTAGAGAGAAACATGGAAGCTGCCAGTTCTCTTTAAGGCCTTGATTCAGAACTTCATTACTGCCACATTCTATTACTTAAAAAAGAAAGTCTCAAGGCTAGCCTACATTTGCGGGGAGAGGACACAGGATCCATCTCTTGATGTCAATAATGATGTTTGTATGCATGGAGGGAGGAAGTGATGACTTCCGTGTTGAGACTCTCTTCCACACCACCAGAGTGTTTGTTCCATGAGATCAGGGACTCGTGTCTATTTTATTCATTATTATGTCTTTTCAGCGCCTATAACAATGCCTGACACATAATAAGTATGTAATAAATATTTATTTTGTCCCTGAATTTAAGGGGCAGGTGAAAGGAGTCTGCAAAGGTAAAGGAAAGGTCTGAAGGAGTAGGGGGGAAACTCCTGCTATGACTCTTGGAAGGAGTGTGTCCCGGCAGTCAAGGAAGAAAAAAGTGAAAGGAAGATACGATTGAGAACTAGACCCTTAAGGAAAATGTTTAGGGATGGGTGCAGTGGCTCACGCCTGTAATCCCACCATTTTGGGAGGCCAAGGCAGGCGGATCGCTTGAGATCAGGAGTTCGAGACCAGCCTGGGCCACCTGGGCCACATGTGAAACCCCATCTCTACTAAAAATACAAAAATTAGCCAGGTGTGTGCACCTGTAATCCCAGCTACTTGGGAGCTTGAGGTGGGAGGATCACTTGACCCTAGGAAGTCAAGGCTGCAGTGAGCCAAGATTGTGCCACTGTACTTCAGCCTTGGCGATGGAGCAAGACCCTGCCAAAATAAAGTTTAAAAGCTTTAAAAATAAGTAAAGAGCATATGATTAAAAATTTAAACAGCACAAAATGGCATAGAGGGAAAAGTGAATTTTCTTCTCCCTCTTGTTCCTGATTCCCCTCCACAGTGGTAGCCACTCTTTATCCTTTCAGAGCTAATACATGCATATACTAGGATAAAAATATATGTTATACCTATCTATTTGTTGATAACTAAAATTAAAATCCTGAGTCCCCCACCCAACTGAATGGACCCTCTTTTGGCCAAGGGGACCCCTGAGAAACCTTAAAAACTGAGTTCCTGGCAATGGCAGAGTCAGACATGCCTCATTATAACCCCTCCCTTCTGTGGCTTAGACACGTGACGAGCCGTTAAAATAGAGATCACAAGACTGATGGAACAGACTCTTTGTGGCAATAAGATACCAAATTACAAACAGGATCTAAGGTCACACCAGGAAAAGGTTGTCACACACCCCTACACTTAAAGAATAACCTATGTTCTGGGCCAGGTGCAGTGGCTCGCACCTGTTTGGGAGGCCAAGGTGGGAGAACTGTTTGGGCCCAGGGGTTTGAGACCAGTCTAGGCAACAGAGTGAGACCCTGTCTCTACAGAAAAAAAAAAAAATTAATTAACTGAGTGTGGTGGCATGCACCTATAGTCTCATCTACTCGGGAGGCTGAGGTGGGAGGATCGCCTGAGCCCAGAAGGTTGAGGCTACAGTGAGCCATGTTCACGCCACTGCACTCCAGCCTGGGTGTCAGAGTAAGATCCTGTCTCAAAGATGAATGAATGAATGAATGAGCTATGTTCTAACTGCCAAAGGTTTCTTTCTTTCTTTTTTTTTTTCCTAGCAGCTAAACAAGTGCTGGCATTGAGATAAGCAATATTAAAACAATTGCAGCTCATTTACCACCAGATGCTGACTAACTGAGCCTCTGTCCCACAAGCCATAACTATAGCTTTGATTGGACAAGACACTGATTTCAGTAACTTTCTCCTGATAAGAGACCACCGGCCATGGACTGGTTCTGGCTAGTTCACAGTGGCTGAGCACTTAAGTGCCTTTGTATTCCTGCTTCACCTTCAACATTAAATGCATTACATAATTATAATTGCCCTCTATATCAAAATGATATTATAATTATGTAATGCAATTAATGTTAAGTCTCTATCCCAAAGTGAACATGGGGTGCATGTAACATGCATGCTATTCAGTATACATGTGTCAGGACCCCCCTTAGTGAATATTCAATCTGTTCAATGTGTATGTTTAGCCAACCCATTCAGCTCCTGACTCAATCGTTCCTCCTTCAAAATGCCTGCTAATGGTCTCTACTGTAGGCTATACTTCCAAGCCTGTCAGTATGGCCACCTTGCAGGTTATAACTCTTTATAAGAAAAGAAGTCTCAGCGGGGTGCAGTGGCTCACACCTGTAATCTCAGCATTTTGGGAGGCCGAGACGGGTGGATCACGAGGTCAGGAGTTTGAGACCAGCCTGGCCAGCATGGTGAAACCCCATCTCTACTGAAAATACAAACATTAGTTGGGTGTGGTGGCGCGTGCCTGTAATCCCAGCTAATCGGGAGGTTGAGGCAGGAGAATCACTTGAACTTGGGAGGCGGAGGTTGTAGTGAGCTGAGATCAAGCCACTGCACTCCAGCCTGGGTGACAGAGCAAGACTCTGTCTCAGAAAAAAAAAAAAAACGAAGTCTCCTTTCTAAATCTGAGACAATTTGTATATCTCAAATTTAGAAAGGTGATTCTTCAGTTTACACTATCTTCCAACCTACCTATCTCTCTCCTGAAAAGACATACATAACACACAATTGGTAGACTACTATGGACAGGACTTAGCATCTAGCTTTTTTCTCTTATCTCCTAATTTCCAGATCATTCCATATCAGTATATAGAGATCATCCTCTTTGTTTTAGATGGTTGCATAGAATGCTTCCATTCTATGACAGTACCATTAGATTACAAAATGAGAAGATGACTATTGATTTCAGTAGACTTAAGGAAATGGTGAGGAAGACTGGGAAGTCAGAAAGTAGAGGTAGGAAATGAGGTTGGAAAGGAAAAAAGGCAGAAAGTAAAAAAATTAAAGATGAGATAGATAGCAGGTTTATACACTGTAAGTATATAGGAATAAGAAGACAGGCAGAGGTTGAAAATACATGAAGGAGAAGGGATAAGTAATGGAAATGTAAATAAAAAAATGAAATTCTTAGCCCCCCCAACCAACTGAATAGATCTCCCTCCACCCTCCTTGGCCAAGGGGATCCTAAAGAAAACCTTAAAAACTAGTTAAGGCCATGATGCGAAGGCAGGTTGGACATACCTCATTATATCCTCTCCCTTTGGAGTTTAGACCAGCATTAAAGTGGTCTAAACCATTTTCATGAAATGAAAATAGAGATCATAAGACTGACAAAATAGACTCTTGTAGCAATAAGATTATCCAACTCTAACCTGACTATGGTATAGCATTACAAGACAGATAGTTGGCCCTGAAGAAAATAAAAATATTTTACCCCAAAATATATTTCTTTGACATATTTTGAAATGACCCTGCAAAGCTGTCTCTTGTGGGGGGAATTTGCATTTTATACAGAATCACTTTCCTTTTTCAGGTCTTTTCTTGATCCAGGAGAGATTTAACCAAGAGTCTGACACATTTTAAGGTCCTATAACATATGCTACCTGGAAGCTTCATCTACGTAACAAGAACCTTGGCTTCTATAACCCCCTTCATTTTAACTCAAATATTTCTTTCTGCTAACTTCAACTCTTTAGGAAAAGCTTAGCTTTTTCAACCCATCATAAAGTCTCTGAATCCACCTATAATCTGTGAGCACCACCGGCCCCCCATGTATTGATCTATGTCTTTGCCTATAACTTCTGTCTCTCTAAAATGTATAAAACCAAGCTATAACCCAACCACCCTGGGCACATGTTCTCAGGACTTCTTGAGGCTGTGTCCCAGGCCATGGTTACTCATGTTTCGATCAGAGTATATTTAACCTCTTCAAATATTTTATAAAGTTTGTCTTTTTTCATCAACAGAACAAAGTCTTTCCTTTGGGGAGATTAGGGATCCTGAGTTCAGGATCTTCTAAGAAGAAAGAGGGAGAAGAAAAGGACTCGGTGAAAAGGAGCCGGGGCTCGGTGGCTCGCGCCTGTAATCCTAGCACCTTGGGAGGCTGAGGCACGTGGATCAATTGAGGTCAGGAGTTCGAGACCAGGCTGGCCAACATGGTGAAATCCCATCTCTACTACAAACACAAAAATTAGCCGGGCGTAGTGGCGGGCACCTGTAATCCCAGCTATTTGGGAGGCTGAGGCAGGAGAATCGCTTGAACCTGGGAGGCGGAGGTTGCAGTGAGCCGAGATCGCGCCACTGCACTCCAGCCTGGGCGACAGATCGAGACTCCCTCTAAACAAAACAAAACAAATCAAAACTGGTTGCAGGTAGGTTTTGTGGTAGTGGCTGATGGGATTTGGGATTTAAGGAAATTCACCTCTAGTGGTCTCACTTTCCTCAGAGATGTAAGAGACAAAATTTTTTATTTTTATTTTTACCAAAGCGGGTGAGTGAGTAGAGTTCAGTAAGAGGTTAGAAGAGCGTGAGGGCTGGGAACAGCAGGGGAGGGGAATAGGAGATAATCTGAGTAGCAATGTGTAAATGTGACTGTCTTAGGCTCAGCAATATTGCGTAGTCGCACGTGGAAGTCCCGACTGAAGTTGGACACTTTTCGTTCGCAGTGGTGCCAATTCTCAGGGTTGTGTGATTTTCTGCACCGATGCAGGAGTGAGCAAGGTTGGTTGAACTGTTGCAGACTAACAGTTTTGCAGGTGGGCGAAGGATCAGGGAGGAAATTGAGTTGAGGGTGTTGGTGAATAGGATATAGGAGTTTCAGAACCCGACTACACATCTGTCGTTGATGGTCTAAATATTTGCATGTTTGCAGGTCCAGCGATGGCACAATGCCTAGCAGCAGAAGGTTTGCACCCACTGTGCGACATGAGTGGCAGCTCTGGAAAATCATAAAATCATGGGAGGACTTGAGAGTGCAGGCTGGGTGGGGTGGGACTGTGGCTGCGAAAAACAGTGTTATGAAACTGTGCGCGGGACAAGAAAGCTGATTTTACTGATTGTATATTGGGGAGTACTACGGGAATCACTGGAGAGGCCACTTCATTTTCTCCTATCCCACCCCATCTTTTGGGGTTGCAACTAACCAGTAAGTTTACACATTGAGGATACAATGGCGAAACGGGGCCGCGAGGCGATGACGTCATTCGCGGGAGTAGGGGGGAGAAGCGACCACTGTTAGGGTACTGTCCATAAAGGCAATTTGAAAATATTTCAGCCTTTTTACTTTTATACTTCCGGCCCTTGCAGTTTGAGGTGGTAACAAACGACTGCTGCTCCCAACCACTTTCACCACCGCCTGTTACCATGGGAGCGCTCGGGTAGCTAGGCTTGGACGACTCTATTCTACGTCATCATCAAAGCGCATCTCAGGACTGATAGCTCCGCCCTAAACTAAGGGAGAGACTGTGCTCCCAAGTACGTAGCCTGCAGTGCCTAACGCATTCTCAGCAATTTTGACCCCCAACAGACGCCGTCGACAGTCTCCCAAGAACAATTCCCAGGAGCTCGGATTCCAAGAGCCGCCCGCGCCCTCGTTTACCTTCGCTAGTCGCCCTGCAGCCCCGCCCTGTCCGGAGGCCCCGCCCTCCATGAATCAGCTGATCCCGCGGACCCACTGGGTTGCCAAGCTCGCGCCGGATGCGGAGCGCGGTGCTGCCGGTGGAGCTTCAGGTGAGCGAGTGTGGGTCCCGGGTTGGCTATTGGCTAAGGAGGGCTTATCGGCTGGGACCCCTTGTATGCGGAAGGCCGGGGACAGGGAGCTAGGCGGAGGCTGTGGTCGAGGCCGGAGAGCGCCCTGCGGGGGGCCTGCGGAGACGGCGCCCGCATTTTCCCAGCTCTGGGTGCGATCGACTGCTCCTGCCGGTCCAGCAGCGCCCGAGGCGGCCCCTGCCTTGGCCCCAGGTTCTCCCACTTGCCCCGGTCTCTCCCTCCCCAGACTGGGCGCCGCTGCAGTGGTCTCAGCTGCGTGAAATTCCTTCAAGCCCCCTCTTCCCGCCTCCACCCACGCTGCCTTCCAGCTATTCATTCACGAGAATTTCTTGAATGCCCACACTAGGCGCTGAGCTGATAAACTGGGGTCCGTGGCCTGGAACCCTGCTGAGTGTCCCTGGCGGCCTTGCCACAGGGTGCAAATCGCGTTGAAGAGTGGACCAAGGGCTACTTGAAAAGGCGGTTGCGGAGAAAGAAAATAGCTTTGATAATAAGAATTAGTAGTTTAGGCAAGTCTTTGAGCCTATCAAGTAATTCATCAAGAGGAGAAGATAAGTTATTTTGAGAAGCGAAGCCAGAAAAATAACACAGGTCCTTGACGCTGGTGTTCGTCCTCGGATAATAGGGCTGCTTTGGAGACAGGCAACAGTAGACTGGTAGAATCGTTCTATTGCTTAAGGCTTTGATGGTGGAAGAGAAAAAACACTCTTGTTGAAGTGGCATATCCAAGAACAGTGCTTTCTTTCTGGTTTAGGATGGAGAAGGAACTGACTGCTGTACCCAAGTGAAGATCTTTACTCAGTTACCCTTATATTTGGCTATATGGAATAAAATTGTGTGATATGTTTATTCTGAGCAGGTACAAAACTTCAGCAAACCTATTGGTCCCACATTTTCCCCCCCATTTATCATATGATTTGGAGTGACCGGTTGACCTTTGAGTTAATGAATAATTTAAAGCAGTGAAAAATTTTTTGCAGTAAACTACGGTGTTTTAACCTTGATAACATAAGCATAGTGGTTAAGATTCTAGGCTTTGTATCTGAACATACCCAGAGTCACATCCATTTACATCTTTGATTTTGGGCAAGTTATTTAATCTCTCTGCCTCAGTTCTCTTGTCTCTAAATTGGGGATAAAAATGTTTTCCTGATAACAGTACCTTTACGTGTAATGGTTCATGTATCGTATTTATTACAGTGCCTGTTTTATGGTAAATATTCAATACATATTAGCTGTTTTTATAATTAATTCCTCCCACTACATCATGATCCAAACTGACTCTTTTCTTAAGTGATGGGGAAGGGAACTGAATATTTTAAGGAAGTAGCTATAAAATATGATTTCAAGTTGTTCTGTAGTAATTTTGGTGTTCCATAAGGACATTTTAATGTGAAAAAGATACTGACAGAATCTATACATGGTTTGAATTTATTAGTTTCTAAACTATGACCAGTATTAGCAGATTTAAAATTCATAATTATAGCAAGAAAACGTCAAAGTTGTTTAACAGTGTTAAAATTTGAAACTGTAATGATCCAGAAAAATGAAATACCAAACCGATAATTTTGGGAAAAAAACAAAACTTGAGTGGCATTATGCAGGCCATTTACTTTTTAAATGTACTCAATATAAACAGGAATCCCTTCTCTCCAAATTTCAGTTTTTCAGAATTTGGGCTGTCATTTGAAACACTTACTTTGGGCACTTTGACTGTTAAAGAAGCAAAGGGTATGCTAAGAACTTCAATGAGTCTTGATGTTAGTGTTTTTGTAATTAGGTGGAATCTCCTACCTTTTCATGAAAACTGGGTTTAAAGCAGTAGCTGCTGGGTCCATTCTAATGATAATCTCAAAAATGTGACTGACTTGTAAAAATCTACAATTATTTATTAATGTGAGACTAGGTAAAGTATGAGTTGAAAAACTAGGAAGAAAGGCAGAGTGGTGATTTTTAAGCTTGTATAAAGGAAGGCCCGCTTTGGGTACTATGAGGTACCTTTCTCACTCAGAGGCATGCTGTGAGGATTTGTGACTTTTAAATCATTTAGCTCTTTTTATAACTTTGTGGAATTAAATCTACCACGTATTTCAAGTGTATTCAGGATATGAATTTTCCTGGTAGAGAGTTTTAACAGATTTTTTTCTCTTAACCCTTCATTGATGACCAAACAATTTTGTTGTCTGTAATAAGAAAGTACTCGGTTTTGTAGGGTGTCAGTCCTTAAGAAAATGTTAGGTAGTCATCAATAAAATAGCAACAATCTCTGGCTTGTTTCTTTTTCATATTGCATTTAATTTTCCTTTCCCTGTCTCTTATTCATCTGTATATGTGATGGTGCTTTCTTTAGCTTATGTCTTGATGTTTGCCTGCATGTAGCTGAACTGATTGATCCAGGTGGGTAGAGGAAAAAATATTTAAATTGGTAGTTTTTGGAGCTATTGTATATTTCTTTCAAATTTGAAGAAAATTTACAGTTTTCTCAATACCTATGAGAAAAAGACTGGGGTTTGTTGGCAGAGTTTCGCTTAGCTGCTAGTGAATTATGTCCAGAGAGAAGATCAGCTTTCATCTCATTAATTCCACAAATTGATCATCTCATGTTTCCCTTAATTATCACATTTTAAATATTTTTCTTTTGAGTCATCACACAGTTCTTCAGTTCACATGGCCTCCCTATCAGGAAGGGAGTGGTTTAGACCCAATAATGGCATTTGGGTGGGCTAACATTCACTCCAGGATTTTTTTTTCTTCCACAGCCTAAATTTTTGTAGAGCCAAGATCTTAACTAAACTTGGGGCAATTGGCTAAGCAAACATATAACAAGGATGATTATAGCAGCTCTTTAAAAGAGCAATAAAGTAGAGCAATCCAACTGTAAAGATTAGTGGGGAAATGGATAAACTGGTTTATTCATGCAATTCAATACTATCTTCTCATAAAAATGAATGAGCTAGATCTATACTTACCAACATATATACATCTCAAGTATGTAATACTGGGTGAAAAAAGCAAAATGCTAAAGGATTTATACAGTAAGATGCATTTGTGTACACTTTGAAAGCAACATAATAGCATGCATTATTTATTGATATGTGTATATCTAATGAAAGTACATAAAAGTAAATATGAAAACGTGGGAATGGGATACATTAACTTTAGAAATAGTAACTAATTCTGAGTGGAGTTTCTTCACCTCTGTAACTTATTTTTTCTTGTGTTTTAAAAAAGAGCTGAAGCCAATATGAAAATATGTTAATATGTGTTAAAACTGGATGATGAGTACATAGATTTGTTATTTATTTTTACAGTTTTATGTATAGTTAAGATAGTTTGTGAAACTAGCACTTTAACATTTTTATTTATAATCAGGACTGTTTCCCAATATGTTTGCTTTATTTTACTTTGTACCCTCAAATTAGGAGACTGTGGAAAAAGAACTCTTCTTTCCCTGCAATAAGAAAGGAATGTGCCAGTGCAGCTCCACTATGTAAAGCTTTTCTAAGGAGAGGAGACAGACCAATTATTTGGTCAGTTTTGCTTTGCTGTTTGTGCTCCTGGGAAAATGCTTTCTTTAGGACATGAAGCCTGCAGGGGAATTAACATTCTAGAGATGCTTGGGAAATGTAGGCATATACCAATCATGAACTCTGGAAGTATAGGGGAGCAAGTTGTATAATAAGGCCCTCAAAGGAATTTGGACATGTTGTGACTCAGATACAAAATTACTACAGATTTGTGTAGTATTAGCATTAACACTTTGAAAAGCTTAACTTGGTTACATTTTATTACAACGTAGTTATCTTGAGTTTATACCTTGAATGCAAGTATCCCAGTTGTTGCTCAAAGAAAATAGTTGTCTCTATAGATATTAGTAAGTAACCTGATGACAATGTGTTAAATGGTTGACTAATGAATAATACGTTTAGTAGCTGATCCCTAATGTAACCTCAGTATTTAAACTTGTGAGTTAAACAATATTTTTATTTCTAATAAAGAGAACCTGCTACTAGCACTATTAAAGCAAGTGAAACTTGTATCACGAGAATAATATTTTTTAGTATGTGTATTTCCTGTTTAGTTATGTGGCCCCTGAATGATCCTAAGCACTGTTATCAGTTGGTGAAAGAAGTCATCATACTTTGAACTGTAAATCTAATATTGCCTTTGAAAAAATTGTGGCCATTTTAATAAGAGAGTAGTTGCAAATATTAACGGAATAAGTAGTTTGTGTCAGGACTTACCAGGACATTCACTGTACCATGTAATAACAGGCACAAATAGTGGCAGTACCTGGGAATTTGAAATTCATTTGTTAGTATTATAATATTCATCACAATGCATCATGGGATTATTATTTAATAATCCTGAAAAATGTGTTTAAAATATGCAGTGGGTACAAAAAAGAGCTAAATGGGCATTGCTGGGAACTTATTGTACCATGTTTACACACTTTCCCCCCACTCCACCATGAATAATTTCCGATTAGAGGATCGTCATAACCAGGAGAGTGTAGTTTCAGTAAGTTTCAGCATGAAATTAGCAAGGCATTAAAAAAAGACTGTAAAGTCTTCCTGTTTCTCATTGCACCAAAAGCTGTCTGTGTACTAAGGAGAAAGGGAGAAAGGAACACTTCTCTGAGTTGTTTAACCATTTTTAAAGTGACATGAGATAAAAGTGTCTTCATTGTTAGGATATACCTTTAGCAAATTATATATGAGAGTTTCTATTAGGAGAAGACACTTTTTTCTTTTGTATCTGTTACTGACTTTTATTACAGGCACTAGAAATCTATAGCGTGGAAGTCTGTGGATTGCAACTGAAAATCAGGGGCTGTATCTTTCACTCAAGCACTCACTTAAATGTAACCAGCTTGTTCAGAATGATTATTATGGGTACAAGAGTATACCGGTGAATAAGTCATAGTCTCTGACCTCCAGGAGCTTAAAATATATTTTGAATCAGTGACTTAGTGCATATCCTATTAGTAACAACATTATAACTAATAAGTAGCTTTCTAGGCCAGCCTACCGAATATATCCAATGCCTTAATTTACTGAATTCTCTTACTCTGAGTCAAGATTTGAAGGCTCATTGGCTCCCATACTGGTATCAGGCAATGCTTTCTGTGCAGCAGTTAAGGCTGAGAGGCGTGGGGTTCCAAGTGGCCTTCTTGGTGGTTAGTTGGCCAAGGCTTCAGTGCAAGGTGAGTTTTCCTCAGCCTTCCACAGTGGTTGGGAAGGCTTCAGTGGCAGGATATCCAGGAAGTAGCAGTTGTTGTTGGTGTATAGATTATTTGTAAGTCAGGTGTTTGAGTCAAAGGTTACCATAATCCATGTGTAAACATTGACCTAGCCTCTAAAAGCAAATTATTTATTAAGCATTTACCATGTGTAAAATACCAGACTCTGTTATTGTTTACTGCAAAGTGTAAACTCTGGTTTACTACATTGTAATAATATGTAACCAACTCAGACTTTAAAAAGGAGGTGTTAATGACTATAGGAAATTGATGGTAATTTTGTATCCAAATCACTTGTCACTCTACTACATTGTAATAAAATGTAACCAACTCAGACTTTAAAAAGGAAGTGTTAATGGCTACATGAAATCTATGGTAATTTTGTATCCAAGTCACTCAATGTCTATATTCCATTCAGGGCATTATGATACAGTTTACTCACCTATTATTTTTATTGCCTTTCTATCTGAATGTCTTGTCATTCTAATCACTGATTAACATTACTCTTATAACTACAATTATTACTGTTGTTTTACTATTTTAAACCGGTAATTGAGACAGGAGAATAAGACTAGGAAGGCCCAGTTTTGCTAGTGTAAATTAGCTTTCTTATCCCTTAAGGGTACTGTCTAACTCTATAGAGAGCCATTATTCTAATGAGAAAGAGAACATACTAGTATGGAAATTTCTTAAGGGCAGGAAGTCATGTATTTACAGATGTTTATTGAGTACCTGTTATATATCAGGACTAAGCTGCTGGGATGTACTAGAAAATACGATATTTGTCACTCTGCTTCCATGGAAATTTTAGACTAGCATAATACCTGGAACATAGTAGATGAAAAAAAATACATGTGGTTTTAGTGGTTGAAATTTAAGCATTTGCAAGTTATTATACTTATGACTCACAAATTTACCTTTCACCGAATTAAGCCAAAAAGACTTTATCCAGAAAATAGTTGAGTAGAGATGAATACATAGGATCCTGCATGATTTAACTTTCTCTTTGCATTTGGGATAATACACTCAACACATTTCTCTACCACATTTAAAATTTTTATTTATATCCTGCCTTCTTCCCAAAAGGATTTAAAGCAGCTTACAAAAATGTATAGCAGGGTGGGATAAAATAAAGAAACAGACTATACAACATGCATACTGTGAAGTCCTCTTCACTTCCAGGTACCATCATATGGAACCCTTATCCTCCCACCACAAAATGTATAATTCTGCTTATATCTGTACCTGTGATCTCTCTTCTTTCAAAAACGTAGACCTTTCTTCTTATGAAAAAAACAATCCCCCCACATATATTCTGGATGGCATCCTCCTTCACTTTGTCTGGGACTTTGGCTCTGCCCACTGTCCTCATCATCCTTGTATCCAGGACCACAGCCTTTGTCATGCAGACATATTCAGCTTCCTCCCATCTCCCCAACCTCCAGCAAAAGAAAACCCTTCATTTTCACATTCCCCTTCAGCTACTGCTCCATTTCTTTGTTTGCCATTTCAACATTTTTCAAAAGGATCACCCACTGAAAATAAAGATATTTCCACATTGTCACCTCCTGTTTATATTCAGCTTACTTCAATCTGGTTTTCAGTGCCCAAACAAACCACTGAGATTGTGGCCATGCTCAGCCGTTACCTGTGTTGGCAAATCCAATGGACACTTTAGTTATCTTACAAGACCCCAGCTGCCTTGACCTAATTGACGTCCTCCCTGAAGTGCTTTCCTTTGCTTTCATGTGCCCACGGCAGACCACTTCTCAGTCTCAGTCCTCTTTGTCCGATCCTCATCCTATCCAACTTCCAGGCGCAGGAGCTCCTTAAAGCTTGACACTGCGCTTTCCTTTCTCTTTCCATATACCCAATGACATTATCTATTGTCTTGTTTTTAAACACTATCCATACGCCCTCCCAAGTTTAGCAGCTGCTGAGACTTTTCTCTTGAACTCCATGTTCATATATTCAGCTATTCACTTAATATGTACTCTTGGGTTTCTCACAGACATCTTGAACTTAAAAATAAATTTTATCCTACCAGAATCTTATCTTTGCTTCAGAATCGTATCTCCCTCACTCTTGCCCATTTCAGGAAATGGAGCCACCAACACACAGCTATTTGAGGCAGAACCAGGGATCATTTCTGATACCTGCTTCTCCTTGGTCCCCCACCTTTGTCTAATCACCAAGTACTAGTTGTTCTGCCCCCAGAGCATCTCTCATTTATTCACCTCTTCTTCACCAAATTGGCAGCATTGTATGAAACTTAAGAACCCAGGCTTCCTTCCTCCATTGAGAAGATGAGCCGATGGAGTATTTGCAGGCAGGATATTCCTTGCAAAAATTCATTTTGGTGCTCCGTGAGTGTTCACCATAAAATTGGTTTAAAACTTTTGAAACAAATGTAAATCGTCATTGAAATAAATCATTGGCCCTTCGCATTGGCTCACGCCTGTAATCCCAGCACTTTGGGAGTCCAAGGTGGGCAGGTCACAAGGTCAGGATTTCAAGACCAGTCTGGGCAACATAGTGAAACCCTGTCTCTACTAAAAATACAAAAATTAGCCAGGTGTGGTGGTGTGCACCTGTAATCCCAGCTACTCGGGAGGCTGAGGCAGGAGAATCATGTGAACCCAGGAGGTGGAGGTTGCAGTGAGCTGAGATCATGCCATTGCACTCTAGCCCAGGCGACAGTGCAAGACTCCATCTCAAAAATGAAAAAAAAAAAAAAAAAAAAAATCATGAAAGCATCCATAGACTGTCCCACTGGAAGCAATGCAACTCCCCAGTGTACTCTCCAAAATGAAGTAAATGTTCAAAGTACATAAAAGAAACCAAGTTAAGTATAAAATAGTTAAAAGTTTTGAGACTTCTACTAAAAAACGATAGTTGTTTTTGAATATAGATTCCTGGTCCTTTATTCAAAACCCTTGGGGCAAGGTGCATTTTGGAATTCAGATTTATGTTTTGTTCTTTAGAGTAAGATGCATAAACTATATATTATATAACACTTCCTGTGGGATCTGTGGTGCTGCCCTATTCATACTGATATTTCTACAACACGATGTATGAATATTCACACTAAAGGGATAAAAGTGATAAATAACCTCATATCAGTTCAGGTCAGATTTTGCTGTCAGATGAGTTCAGGTCAGATTAGATTTTGCCACCAAAAGTGTTATTGAAAAAACTTTTAATTTTCAGAGCTATAGATTTCTGGTTAAGGTATTGTAGACCTGTAAGATGGTTGTAGCTCATCTTTCTAACAGTTGGGACATCTAGACTAGATTGTTGTTGTTGTTGTTGTTGTTAAGGGCACTTCCAGATCATGGTATTAAAATGATATCCTTGGCTCGTACAGGACAACTTATTTCTCTGTTAGATGTAACAGAAGGATGTGTATCCAGTGGAGTCTAAAAGTGGCATCAGTTTATTAAGAAGCAAGGTTTGCTCTTTGTTTAAAGGGCCCCCTGGGGTTTTGTTACTTTACATATCACTGTGAAGGAGATAATAATTTGAAGGATAGAGTGGTATGCTTTAAAGTGAATCTAGCTGTGTCCTGCGGTTCAGAAGACTGAAGTCTGGTTTGCTCATTTTACGGAGATGCCATTTATCTGTGGAGAGGCCATGCAAGGTAAGAGAGGGTCCCACAGTAAATGCTGTTTATGCAACATCACATGGCTTCTTTATCAGAGCTGGTTAACAGGTCTATGCAGGAAAGTTACTGTAACAGAAGAAAAGCAGCAGAGTACAAGGATCTTGCCCTCTTAAGGAATGATAAAGACCTTAAAGCTTCTCTGGAAGAAATATCCCCAGAGGAAGTTTTATGATTAGGCAATTTTATAAAAACTTAAAATGTTAAAGCAATGAAATAACATACAGAAATTTGAATGCTATTTGACTGGTTGAGGTGAGTCTTAATAGATTTCCTGGAGAGACAATCATAAAAATATTAGAAAGACAAAAGTTTTTCATTTACTTTCTTTTCCTGGATGGATACGTAATTGAGAAAGAATGTTAGATTAAATAGAGTTGGTAAATACCACCCTTACTTAAGTATATGAGGATAAAACTTTAATAACATAAGATCCCCACATTTAGTTGCAATATTCCTTTTTAGTTATGTTTCCTCAGCAATCAGTTTTCTTCATTGCCCTATTGGAGTTTCAGGCAGACGTATCTTGTTGGAAGATGTCAAACATATTAAACACCATTAAAACAAAATGAGATAGGGGCCGGGCGCGGTGGCTCAAGGTGGCTCATACCTGTAATCCCAGCACTTTGGGAGGCCGAGGCAGGTGGATCACCTGAGGTCAGGAGTTCGAGACCAGCCTGGCCAACATGGTGAAACCCCGTCTCTACTAAAAATACAAAAATTAGCTAGGCGTAATGGCGGGTGCCTGTAATCCCAGCTACTCGGGAGGCTGAGGCAGGAGAATTGCTTGAACCTGGGAGGCGGAGGTTGCAATGAACCGAGAGCGTGCCATTGCACTCCAGCCTGGGTGACAAGAGCAAAACTCCGTCTCAAAAAAAAAAAAAAAAAAAAATCTGTAAATACTGATGTAAAAAGATGTCTGTGAAATAATATATTAGTTTTCTACTGCAGCTGCAACAAATTGTTATGAACTTAGTGGCTTAAAATAACACAAATAAATATATTATCTTCAAGTTCTGTGGGCTGAAAGTCTGTCACAGGTCTTGTAGACTAAAGTCAAGGTGTCGGCATGGCTGCTTTTTTCTGGACGCTCTAGGAAAGAATTCTTTTCCTTGCCTTTTCAGCTGCTACCTGTCACCTGCATTCCTTGGCTCATGGCTGCCTTCTTCCATGTTCAGTCAGCAGTGTAGCGTCATCTCTGACCCTGCCTCCATCATCATGTCTCTTTGATTCTCCTCCTGCCTCCCTCTTCCACTTTTAAGGATGTTTATGATTACATTGGGTGCACCTGGATAACCAGGATAATCTTTCTATCTTAAGGAGAGTTGGTTAGTATCACACAACCTAACATAGTCACAAGTTCTGGGCATTAGGACCTTGATGCCTTTGGAGACCGTTATTTGGCCTGCCCTATAGTAAGTAAGAAAAGAAAGTTGTAAAAACAGTTTGTAGAGTTTTAATTCCATTTAGGTTAAAAAAAAAAATGAGTGGTGGTGATAAATAATATTGAGTAAGGTGTAACCAACTTTAAGAAAACTGTGCTCAAAAATCTGGCACTAAGAGAGAATAAAGGTTGACTTTATTCATTTTATCAAAAGATTCTCAACATTTTTGATTGTTAGTAGGACAAAATTCCGTTTACATATAGTGTGTCAGTTGTGTGAAGTAAGGTGTGCTTGTGTGCTTCCACATCCTCGTAGAATAATTCTCTGGCTTCCGCTACCTATTGTTGAAATTTAATCAAGGGCGTAGTAACTCCATGATCTCTGATAGATAAGCACAGATTAGATCTGGTGGCAGAATTTCTCTGTACACCATGAACTGTGCATTTTACAAAAGGCTAATTACTATCATGGACAAAGCATAGTAGCACTTAATTGTATTTATTAAATGAATATCATTTATTAAATTTATTCAGATATATCTCTTGTTAACATAGTACCCATTTTCCAACTTTGAATGATTCATAATCTTTCTAAAATAAGCATTAGGTGGAAAGTAATTTTCTTCAGATGTACAGATGGGAAATGGTAAGAATTCACAGGCAACCTGGAGGAAACAGATGGACCCCAGATCACTCCTGCCAGTATGAGCTGTTTCCAGAACACAGTGACCATTCCATATCCTTTTGCAGAAAAACCACAAATTTGGCCCCAATATTTTTATGGTTTACACAAATAAGACCTAACTGCTTTTGTTTTCTTGTGTTTTGGTACCCTTACAAATGTGGATTTCTGAGTTGAAATGCACTCAGCATTTCTGTTTATTTTTCTATCTCTTATTTTATTAAATACTGAGTTTCTAAACTGATGGGCCATGATATTTGTAACTATAATTTTCATACAGCTATTTTCTATTAAAGGTGGATTTTAAAACAGCTGATTTAAAATTCAGACTTCTTTCTTTCAACCGTTTGGGTTATGAGGCATGTTGGTCTGAATCGAAGGTGATTTGGGGAAAATGTTCCTTCTTCCAATAAGTGGAAAACTTCCTATTTTAATGACATAATTTTTGTGCATTACTGAAAAGTATAAATTAAAACTACTTGAATCAGATACATTACTGAAGAGATTTTAGAAAATCTGAGTTAATTGGTATTTAAGTCTTCATGCATTCCAGACAGAGCGTTTAAAAAGTACCCTTAATGTGTGTGTACTTTTTGTACTTAACACATTGATTTTTCAGATTGAACTTTTTTCTTTATAATAAAAAACAAAATCTATTGCCTGGAAGAGTACAGCTTAATTGTGGGTAGTCTTTTCTTCCTTTGACATTACATTTGACAGTCAATGGGCATTTTTATAAGCTTAGTGGGCAGGCTCAGCCTATGTTTGACTTTGGCAGGCAAGATATGAAATAGTTTAAATAGTTTTACTGCATATTTATTTCCTAGTGAATGTGCACTTGTTAGAGGGCTGCTTTTTTTTTTTTTAATGTCTGAGGGGTAAAATATTCTTTTACTGCTCTTTTCCTTACTTGTACTGTTTAGGTCTTGATAGACTTTCTGTAAAGAAGGAATGATTTGGTGATGGAGTGTTCCCACTGACCGATGGACTCAAAGAAGAGAAGGTAAAATCATTTCTTCCTTTTCTCTTATCCTCCTAGGAAAACATAGCAAACAGCTTCACATATGTGTAGCTTCTCTTCAGTTTAATTTTCTTGTTGATGGTTGTTAAGTGGGAATAGTGACATTTGTAGTTAGTTCGTTGGTAAAGATAAAATTTTAAAAAGGCTTGTTAGTTGTAAGCTTTGTAAGAAGCACTAAATGTCTTCATTTCATCATTTTAAAGTGCTTGTAGCCATTTTTCCCTCACAAATAATTTCAGGTTTTCAGAAGTAGCCTTGCTAATCTTAATCATCTTCCATCCTTAAAGAACTAGTTATGGAAGATATTTAAAAGGAAGGTTAAATGTATACTGTTCCTCCTATAGAACCATGGTTATGTCCAGTTATAATTTAAGGGAATATTATTTAGCAAATATAGATAAATGCTTAGCTATTCAAAAGAGTTTCTGTGCCTCATTAAAATTTTGGCATCAGCGTTCTAGAAAAAAGAAAATGAAAAAATGTATTACCAATGGTGGCACATATCTTAATGTGCCCTTTTCTTAGAAGAAGGCAGTTAGGATATGGTCATTACTGTGCAGCTATGTGTTTTGTATTCTTTAAACCGAAATCATCAGATGTGTAGAATTCTTTAGCTAGAACTTGAGCAAAGCATTAAGGATTTTACTGATATCTATTATAAACTTGATTCCTAAAAATTTAAATAGCAGTTCTACACTTAAACTCAACATAAAGTGAAATATGAATTCCTGTTTCTCATATTGTTCTCATCAAGTACTTTTTACTTACTATAAAATTTTATGATAAGACTTCAACTTGGGCATGTTGTAGCTTTGATATCTCAACAAGGAGTGAATATATTGAGAAGTTAGAATCTTGGAATTTTATGCTACCAAATGCTAAAACTTCTAAAAATAGCCCAAGTTTTGTTTGCTTCTTAGATGGAGAAAAGTAATTTGTGGGTTTAGAGTGTCCTTCAGTCTTTTTTTTTTTTTTTTTTTTAGACAGAGTCTTGCTCTGTCGCCCAGGCTGGAGTGCAGTGGCAAGATCTTGGCTCACTGCAACCTCCGCCTCCCGGGTTCAAGCGCTTCTCCTGCCTCAGCCTCCTGAGTAGCTGGGACTACAGGTTCACGCCACCATGCCCGGCTGATTTTTTTTTTTTTGTATTTTTAGTAGAAACAGGGTTTCACCGTATTAGCCAGGCTGGTCTCGAGCTCCTACCTTGTGATCTGCCTGCCTCGGCCTCCCAAAGGGCTGGGATTACAGGTGTGAGCCACCACGCCCCACATCCTTCAGTCTTTTATATAAATAGTTGTTTTACCTTGGCTTCTGTGAGCATAACCAAAGCATAAAATAGGTGCTAATTCAGCTATCTGACCTAGTCATCCATGTGCTGGTAAAAGGTACAATCATGAAAAGTATTAAGAACAAAGGATACTGTTCTGAATTGTAGAAACAATTAAGCTATGTTTCTTGATGTTTTAGCTCAACAGAGGCAGAAGGATCCAAGGAAAGAGGCCTGGTCCATATCTGGCAGGCAGGATCCTTTCCCATAACACCAGAGAGATTGCCAGGCTGGGGAGGAAAGACTGTTTTGCAGGCAGCCCTCGGAGTGAAACATGGAGTTCTTCTGACTGAAGGTAATGAAAAGAATGGCGTAACAAATACGAACTGCAATGCTAACAAATGCCTGAGTGTGGAAGGTCAGGTATGGGAGTCATTGGATACTAGGGGTTCTTTTTCTTTTTCTTTCTTTTTTTTTTAAATTTTATTATTATTATGCTTTAAGTTTTAGGGTACATGTGCACAACGTGTAGGTTTGTTACTTATGTATACATGTGCCATGTTGGTATGCTGCACCCATTAACTCATCATTTAGCATTAGGTATATCTCCTAATGCTATCCCTCCCCGCTCCCTCCACCCCACAACAGGCCCCAGTGTGTGATGTTCCCCTTACTGTGTCCATGTGTTCTCGTTTTTCAATTCCCACCTATGAGTGAGAACATGCGGTGTTTGTTTTTTTCTCCTTGCGATAGTTTGCTGAGAACGATGGTTTCCAGTTTCATCCATGTCCCTACAAAGGACATGAACTCATCATTTTTTATGGCTGCATAGTATTCCATGGTGTATATGTGCCACATTTTCTTAATCCAGTCTATCCTTGTTGGACATGTAGGTTGGTTCCAAGTCTTTGCTTTTTTTTATTTTATTTTTTTTGAAACTGAGTTTTGCTCTTGTCGCCCAGGCTGGAATGCAATGGTGCAATCTCAGCTCACCACAACCTCTGCCTCCCAGGTTCAAGCAATTTTCCTGCCTCAGCCTCCCGAGTAGCTGGGATTACAGGTGCTCACCACCATGCCCAGCTAATTTTTTTGGTATTTTTAGTAGAGATGGGGTTTCACCATGTTGGCCAGGCTGGTCTTGAACTCCTGACCTCAGGTGATCCACCCGCCTCGACCTCCCAAAGTTCTGGGATTACAGGGATGAGCCACCACGCCCAGCCTAGGGGTTCTTAATGAACTATTTCTGTTTTCAAGATATATTCTTACTCCCTTATCAGGAATCAGATTAGTTCTTAAATTTAAAATATACTATTAACTAGAATAAAAGGGAGAGTTATAGTTTTAAAATTTTATGGTAATAAATACATGAAAAATTAACTTTTTAAAAGGTTACCTATTCAGAGACTCTTGCTATAACTTTTGTTCATTAAGTCTATCAGAATACTAATGCTAATAATAGCTAATGTTTGTTAAGCAGTTGTATGCCAGACACTATACTAAGCCCCATGTGTTAGTAGATAACAAGTTAGTGAGATAACAAGTTCCATGTGTTATCTCACTGAATCTGCACTGCTACCTTATGAGGTAGCTTCTATTATTATTCACAGACAAGGAAACTGAAAGTCAGGGAGATTAAATTTTCCCAAGCACACACAGCTATTGAAGTGTCAGAGTCAGGACTGGAACTCAGTCTGATTTCAAAGCCTGCTTTTAAAGCCACTTGGCTGAACTTTCTCAATATAATTTTTTTTTTCAGGCATGAATAGCAATTCACAATGCATATTATAAAATCTATGAGTCTATTACCGAAACGTGTGCTGTAATTTATAGAGGTACCTTTAATCTTAATGGCACTTTATCAACTCAATCATGACAAATTTGACTTGGGCACCAATTGCCATCTACTTCACTAATTTATAAATTTCTGCTCTGTAAGTATTTATTAAGGTATTAAATAATGCTTTGGTATTTTCTTTCTAGGAACTAAAGGAAGACAAATTCTAGGAAACAAGGATTAAATCTGGTCCTGGTGGTTGTATGGGATAAACATGGATTTCTTTCTAGTTTGTCTTATATCAGTTTTATTATAATATTATTCTTCAGGACTTTAAAAACAATCTTACTTTAAAAGTGTGAACTATATTCAATACCTGTCCTATGAGATTTAAAATATATAGTTCTCAAGCAAATATAAGTGGAATTCTGTTGTTGTTTTCAATAAGATATTTGGAATATTTTCATTAAGCTAATGAAACTGGCTGGGCACAATTGCCTATGCCTGTAATCCCAGCACTTTGGGAGGCCAAGGCAGAAGGATCCCTTGAGCCTAGGGGTTCAAGATCAGCCTGGGCAACATAAGGAGACCATGTTTCCTGGGCAACATAGGGAGACCATGTTTCTACAAGAAATATTTTAAAAATTAGCCAGGCATGGAGGCCTGCGCCTGTAGTCCCAGCTACTTCAGAGGCTGAGGCAGGAGGATAGCTTGAGTCTGGGAGACCAAAGCTGCGTGCAGTGAGCTGTGATTATGCCACTGCACTCTAGCCTAGCTGACAAAGTAAGATCCTGTCTCAAAAAAAAAAAAAAGTTATTCGACTATAAACATGGTATCTTTAGAATCATACCTTCAAGGCTAGGACAACTGAAGGAAAACTTTTCAAAAATATTTAAATAGCCTATCGTTATTCATGTTTAAGCAGTGTCCTGGTATTAAGTGTCACAGTTACCAAAAGAAAACGTCGTCTAACACAAGTGTATGTTTGAAATTGCATACGGACCTCCAGTGCTATCTTTTCCAGCTGAGGAAATGGTTGAGTGCTAGAAATTTTCAAGGTTCTTCATCTCTATTAAATATGACCATTAGCTCATAATTCAATGAAGATACCTCATTGATTCACTTTTATTTATTTATTTATTTATTTATTTATTTATTTATTTATTTATTTATTTTGAGACGGAGTCTCGCTCTGTTGCCCTGGCTGGAGTGTGGTGGCACGATCTCAGCTCACTGCAACCTCCACCTCCTGGGTTTAAGCAATTCTTCTGCCTCAGCCTCCCGAGTAGCTGGGACTACAGGCCAGTGCCAGCACTCCTGGCTCTTTTTTTTTTGTATTTTTAGTAGAGACAGGGTTTCACCATATTGGCCAGGCTGGTCTCAAACTCCTGACCTAGTGATTCGCCTGCCTCTGCCTCCCAAAGTGCTGGGATTACAGGCGTGAGCCACTGCACCCAGCCTGTTTCACTATTTTTTATATGCTCCAGTTTTTGTTTTTGTTTTTTAAGGAGAGGGATCTAAATATCCATTTCTTTGCAGTATTGCTCTTTCTAGTGGAATAATGTTAATTGAAAGACTTGGTGAGCTTTTTCAAGTATACTGTTGTATTAGGAAACAAAGTTTAAAAGAGCTTAACCAGTGAGCTTATTTTCTCATGTCAGTATTCTTGAACCAGACTATACATTTCCTAATAAATGCACATATCTTCCCTGTAGCCACTATTGAGTCCTTACTTATATAGATGATGTGATGAGTTAACTTGAGTGTATACATGTATCTGCCATGTATAATAGGTCAAAGATAAAGTTTGCATGTTTTCATCATCAACTCAATTGCTGCCTTATGAGAAAAAAAACAGTGCTTATTTCTTCATTAATTAAAAAAAATCATAAATCTCTGGTCATATGGAAAAGAAAGGATAGTGGGCTTGGCTCAGTATTTTTTAAAACCCGTAGCCAAGTCTTTGTTTCATTGAATTTTTAGCCAGCATAGCTTATGTGTACCTGCTCCCAAGCTCCCACAATACTACAGTAAAATTAAGACTTGGTAGCATAGCTGGACATACATGAGTTATTTATATACCCAACTCACTGGTGCCTTTCATTAATTCTAAAGCTAGCCAGTTATTCTGACAGGTTCATTTGCTTTTTTGCTTTGTTCTGTTGTGATGATTTGCTTTTTATTTTTAACATTTTTTAGGCTTACTTCACTTTATTTTTCTTGTATAAAAACCCTATGTTGTAGCCACAGCTAGAGCCTGGGTCCTCTGTCTGGAGACTCTGGTGTGGGTCTTGACGAGGTGGCCAGTGAATTCCTGATACGGAGACTTGGTGAATACAGTCTCCTTCCAGAGGTTGGGGGCCAGTTAGCTGTAGGTCTTGGAGATGGCATCATAGGTGGCCTTGGTGAAGTTGGCCAGGGTGGCAGTGCAGCCCCTGGCTGAGGAGTAGCAGTCATCGATACTGGCCATCATCAGCAGCTTCTTGGGCACTAGGGCTAAGAGAATGCCAGTGCCTCTGGGTGCAGGGATGAGGCGCACCAGCACAAAGCCACAGCAGTCTGTCACCTTGCAAGGGACTGCGTGGTGCTTGCTGATCTTGTTCCCCCAGTAGCCTCTGTGCACGGGGACATTGGAGAGCTTGGCCAGGATGATAGTCCCTTGGATGGCAGTGGCCACCTCCTTGGAGCAAGTGGCCATTGTAGTCCCCAGTGGCAACAAACACCTGGAATCTGGTGTGCTGGCCAGTGCGCGTCTGCTTCTGCACTGGCACAATCTTCAAAACCTCATCCTTGAGAGAGGTCCCCAGGAAAAAGTCAATGATCTCAGACTCCTTGATGGGCAGGGAGAAGTGATAGGTTTTCAGCAGGACTTCATCTTCGTGTCTTTGACCAGGCAGCTCAGCTTGGTCATGGGTGTCCACTCCTTATCCTCAGCCTTGCCTCCTTGAGCTCTGTGGCCCCGACCCTGGCCCCAGATGCCACTGCCCAAGCCTCCATGGAAGTCACTGTGGTTCCCCATCCCAGGGTCTCTGGGGCCTCTGGGCCCTCCTGCTGCCCTAGCTTCATCTGCCATTTGATGTTTTTTCAGAGAAGAAGCTGATTTGCTTTTTAAACAAATCTCACCTCAGAAAGACTAGCTAGTATCTAGTACATAAAGTCCAGGGTGAGCATCCCACATTAAAAAATCTGAAATCTAAAATGATCCAAAATCCAGAACTTTCTGAGTGCTGATGTGATGGTGCTCAAAGGAAATGCTCATTGGAACATTCAGATTTGGGATGCTCAGTCAGTAAGCATAAGGCAAATATTCCAAAACCTGGACCTGAAATCCAAAACACCTCTGGTCCCAAGCATTTTGGATAAGTGATACTCAACCTGTATATTTATGTAACATCTCAAAACTATATATAATGTGACATACAAAGTGAAGACAGCCATGTCTTGTTAAGAACTGGTGCTTCCTGTACAGCCTAGAGGCATAAAGTTAATTTCTTAGTTTTGGCCAAAATGAATCGCTAATATTTTTAAGCCATTGCATAATTTTTTGCTGTTCCAACTTGTTTAGTAGTAGTGAATTGTAGATATTAGTGAATGTGTCTGTTTTGTCTTATTTTTTGCTTATTTTATCTTAACATGGTTATTTATTTTGCCTTTGAACACTTGGAATCTGTTTCTATAATAGCCTGGATGATGGCCGTTAGGAGTGGATTGATGTGAGGAGTTTGTAGGATGAGGCTGAAGGAAAGGATTAGCCTCCTGCACTTTGTAGAAATTCTCACTATAGTGCAGAATATTAAAAAGAGTCATTTTTAAAAAGATGAATTAATGTGAAATACTGTGTGCTTGAACCAGATTTCTACAACTGCTTTTGAAAATTTAAAAAGAAAATCCAATTTGGTTAAATCTATAGGGGACTAAAAGTTTGCTGTTAAAATTTTTAGTTAATTCACTAACCCTTTTTTTTTTCTTTTTTCTTTTTTTTAACCTTCAGATGGTGAGGTCTACAGCTTTGGGACTCTTCCCTGGAGAAGTGGACCAGTGGAGATTTGTCCAAGTAGCCCCATTCTAGAAAATGCCCTGGTTGGGCAATATGTTATTACTGTGGCAACAGGAAGCTTCCATAGTGGAGCAGTGACAGACAATGGTGTCGCGTACATGTGGGGAGAGAATTCTGCTGGCCAGTGTGCAGTAGCCAACCAGCAGTATGTGCCGGAACCAAATCCTGTCAGCATTGCTGATTCTGAGGCCAGCCCTTTGTTAGCAGTCAGGATTTTACAGTTGGCGTGTGGCGAGGAGCACACTCTGGCATTGTCAATAAGCAGAGAGATTTGGGCATGGGGTACCGGTTGTCAGTTGGGTCTCATTACCACTGCCTTCCCAGTGACAAAGCCGCAAAAGGTAGAACATCTTGCTGGGCGAGTGGTGCTTCAAGTTGCCTGTGGTGCTTTCCACAGCTTAGCCCTTGTACAATGCCTCCCTTCCCAGGATCTGAAGCCAGTCCCAGAACGATGCAACCAGTGCAGCCAGCTCTTGATTACTATGACTGACAAAGAAGACCATGTGATTATATCAGACAGTCATTGTTGCCCATTAGGTGTGACACTGACAGAATCTCAGGCAGAAAACCATGCCAGCACTGCTCTCAGCCCCTCCACTGAAACCCTTGACAGGCAGGAAGAAGTATTTGAGAACACTCTTGTAGCAAATGATCAGTCTGTTGCTACTGAACTGAATGCAGTAAGTGCTCAGATCACAAGCAGCGATGCCATGTCCTCTCAACAAAATGTCATGGGAACAACTGAAATTTCCTCTGCCAGAAACATACCATCATACCCTGACACCCAAGCAGTCAATGAATACCTACGGAAACTGTCAGATCATTCAGTAAGAGAGGACTCAGAGCATGGTGAAAAGCCAGTGCCATCTCAGGTACCTGCTCAATTTTATAAAATAAAAGTGTGTCTAGAGTTGAACTGTATGGGCTTTTCTTTAGAAACTTTAAAATGAGTAAGGCTTGGTAGCATTTTTTATTTTTTGAGTTTGATTATAATTTTGTTTTATCAGGCAAGCCTAGATAAAGGAAAGAACCTGGATTAATTCAAAATCACTCTTTATGTTTGTTCTGGCCCTTTATGATATTGAAAGGTGTCATGTTGGGCTTGTTTTATAAGTAGGAGCATTTCATTTTTTTTTCTTGCTAGTACTTTTTTTCTATGGCTAAAGTACTGAATTTTGGTGGGCCCTGAATAGTTTAATATAACTAGAGATTCACAAAGATTCTTCTTACTTGTGTTTGTAACACTCTTCAGAATTCTGTAGAGAAAAGTCTTTTCCTTCTTTAACAGGGAAGATTGTTTTGTGGCAGATCCTTCAATTGTAGGCAGATTTAAAACTTACAGGCAATTACATGTTTCAGTTTTTTTCAATTATAGCTGTGGTCCTTACTGGGCTTAATTTGAAGAGGTGGCTAATATTTTATCTTTTTGTTTGTTTGTTTTTGAGATGGGGTCTTGCTCTGTCACCCAGGCTGGAGTGCAGTAATGCGATTGTGGCTCACTGCAGCCTCGATCTCCCAGGTTCAAGCGATCCTCCCATTTCAGCCTTCCAAGTAGCTGGGACTATACACATGCCACCACACCTGCTGATTTTATTTTTAAGTAGAGTAGAGCCTGTTGCCCAGGCTCATCTCAAACTCCTGAGCTCAAGCAATCCTCCCACCTCAGCCTCCCAAAGTGTTGAGATTACAGGCATGAGCCATCATGCCCAGCCTATTTTATATATCTTATTAAAACTATTTTCATTTTGAAGATTTGTGGTAGAATGAACAAAAGTTGTTTATCAGTAGCACATGGTAAAGTTTGAGTTCCCGCTTAAACTAAATTGTTTTAAAAGGATTATTTCTGTGTTTTACTCTTAGTGTGGCCTTTTGATTTTGCTTTACCAAAACTGTAAGAAAACAAAACAAAAGATCATACTCATAAAAGATCTGTCCTGCAGTGTTTCTTTTTAGGTTTTTGAAACCACATAGCCTCTTGATTCTCAATTCTTATTGTTTACTCTGTCAGAATGTGAACATGAAGGTATTTTTAGAAATAGTCTTTATTTCACAATCTATTCACTGAAACTTGTGGGTATTTGAATTTTTAAAAAAATCAAGGATAAGCTGTTTGGAGAAAGGTATTATAAAGTCTGAACAAAGCAAAAGTAGTAGTTTAACAAGAATGCATGTAGAAAATTCTTAGACTGTACATGCTTATCACATTTTACTTACTTTGTTAAACATTGGAAGTTTTTGTTACTTATGCTAGTAACAATGTGTGTGTTTCTATTGAATTAAATTTAATTTATTTAAATTAAATGTGTGTTTCTATTACATTTAATTTATTCTTTGTAAATAACATCTCAATCATACAGCTAATTCACAAGGAATTTATTTGTTTTAGGGCAAGTTTTTTCTCTTCTGGCGAGATATAACTGAGACTCTCTCACTTGGGAAATAAACCAAAGTATTACTGGTTGACTGGAACTCCTAAAATTATATATTTCATCAAAATTGCTAATTATGTTTTTTGTAGGGGAGGGCTTATTACTATATTTTTAAATATAATTAAGTAGAAGGAGCCAGTTAGAACAGTAGTTCAAGGTTTATATAAGGTAGAGTTTTGTGACTTTGCTGTACCTAGTGGTTAAGAACCCCCTAAAATAGTTACCTCTAAATACCATCACTGCTTATGTAAGGAGCCTTTGTAAACAAAAAGTGGACATAGTGACACTAGTTCTTCTGAACAAGCTATCGTGGGAGCTGTATCACCAAAGAAGTAATAGGCTTTGTATTTCTTTTTCGTTTTATTAAGTATATTTGTTTATTGACTATTTACAGACTAATTTGCATGGAAATAGCTCTTTTGAATTTAGCGTTTAATTCAACAAAATGTTTTGAGTACTTACATGTCAGGCACTTCGCTAGGTACCAGGAATTATTTCCTTTAGGAAGTCAGATGCCAATGTTAAAATATACAAACAAACACACACACACACACACACACACATGCGCACACACACACATTATATTTGTATTTTAGTTTAGGACAAATGAAGGAATGTGTATATTCCCTTTGAGATCTTTGGGTACAATAAGAAGCAAATTTTTCAATATGATCTATGCTGATGAGCTGAAAGCTTTTTTATGTGTTTGGTAGGTACATTTAATGACCTTCCTTTTTAGGGAACAATGATGTTTGACAGCTTAGAGTAAATTTCAACTGATTTTTTCATTAAGATATCAGAAAACTTTAGTTTGACTTTCTAGTACACTTCTAGAATCACACTAAGAACACTGGTTCCAAATGTTTAATTATTAACCTACCACATTTGCCATCTGTGGTAGCAAGAGCAAAGGTAATCCTACAGCTTTTCTAGCCCCTGGGTCATAGAAAATAACTCATTGATGAGCCAGTAAAGGCACTCGAGTTGAGCATAATTTGGGAGATGATAGGTTACAGGTATAACTTATTTTTCCATCTCCATATGCTATATCTAAATTTCAATTTATAAAGCATTTCAGGGAAAGCTTTTTTTTTCTTCATAAAATCTAATTTTTTTCCTGCCACTTCTAGGTAGTAGTCTGTATAAATTTTCCTGAAAGGGATCAATAATGAAATTTGCATTTTTTCAATCTTCTGTCCAGGGCTGTCACAGTGCACTTGGCATTAAAGGCAGTGTTTTCCATGCCTTTTCTTCTCCCTCCCTTTTTACTGTGTTTAATTTTATAAAAGCAGCCGAGGCTTATTTTGAAATACCATAGAAAAACACAACATCTAGACAAAAGGAAGTACTTTGGAGAAGGAACTGTATTTTGAGTACTCATTTCCATTTAATGTGTTAACTCCATGATCAAGAAGAGAATACCTTTAGTTGAAGATGAAGAGAACTTCTGTCGTTTTAGATTCTTACATGCAAATAGCGATGGATATTAGCCTTTCTTTTTATTGATTGCTTGTTGCATAAGGGATTATATTTTTATATAATTTTTTATGTGTGTATATTTTAGCCTCTTTTAGAAGAAGCAATTCCTAATCTCCACAGCCCGCCTACCACAAGCACCTCAGCCCTAAACAGCCTGGTGGTCTCTTGTGCATCTGCTGTTGGTGTGAGAGTGGCTGCTACTTATGAAGCTGGTGCCTTGTCACTGAAGAAAGTTATGAACTTTTATAGTACAACCCCTTGTGAAACTGGAGCTCAGGCAGGCAGTAGTGCCATTGGCCCCGAAGGTTTGAAAGATAGCAGGGAAGAACAGGTTAAACAGGAATCAATGCAAGGAAAGAAAAGTTCAAGTCTTGTGGATATCAGAGAAGAAGAAACAGAGGGAGGCAGTCGAAGACTCTCCCTCCCTGGATTGTTGTCACAAGGTAAGGAAATAACTAGGTTTTGTGAATTGACTTTTGGGGAATCCAGGATGCTCCTGACATCGCATGCTGTATTATTAAAAAAGCTGTCCTAATTATGAAGCTGACATATTCAAATGTGAATATTTATTTAATGGTGGTTTTAAAAGAAAGTTACATGTTTATCTGCTTTAGATATCACTATAAAGTTAGAACGTCACTTTTTCTTGATGTTTGCTCCTGCTTATGAACCTTATTGTGAATCTTATTTTATTGTTCTGGAGTGTTACAGTACCCTTCTTATTTCCTAATTGGGACCGATACTCCAGATCGATGAGGTTGGAGATGCGACCATTGGATAAGTGAATTACTGTACTTGACTTGAAAGAGGAGAGAATTCTTAAGCTTCAAGAAGAGAAAATTTCATTTTCTGAGACCATAGGCAATAAACTTTTTAGAATATTATGCAGTTGGTTCTTCTCCTTTTCTCAATCAGTTCAGCAGTCTCAGCCATCTGGACTTAATGCTTCTCAAGAGTGGCCTGCAGACCAGCAGCATCAGCAGCATCTGGGAACTTGTTACAAACGCAGACTCTCAGGTTCCACTCTCGACTTACTGAATCAAAACATGCATTAGAGCAAGGTCCCCCAGGTGATTAGTATGCACACTAAAGTCTGAGAAGCATTTGATGAGACCAGGATTTGGCAGACTTTTTCTGTAAAGAGCCAAAGAGAAATATTTTAAGGTTTGTAGGACATCCTGTCTCTGTGACAACTACTCAGCTACGCTGTGGTTATGTAAAAGCAGCCAGAGACAATATGTAATGAATGAGTGAAGCTATATCCCAACAAAACTTTATTTACAAAAACATATGGTAGGCCCTGTTTGGCCATGGGCTATAATTGACCAACTCCTGGTTTACATGATTTTGTGCAAAGCTCAAAAGTTAGGAATTCTAGACTGTACTAAAACTTACCTTTTTTACTCTGCACCTGTTTCTCCCCTTGTTCTACTTACTGAACACTCTTGTGCCACTCTTAATTCTCATTACCACCAGATTTTCCTCTACACAAATAAAACTTAAGTCATGATTAATGTGAATATATATGTATATATATATAATATATATGATGTATAAGAAGGCCTATGATCTCTATTAAATCTGAAGGAGAATCTTGCACCAAACTTTTCTTATTCTTAAGTGTCCTTTAGCATTTTAAGTATATAAATATATTTGCAATCTCTTTGAACTACAAATGTGGAATATTTTTTCATATCATTACATCATGAATCCCACTAATAGACTTATATCCTATGGTTAAATTTTACTTAGTAACCTAAAGTATCTTTCGAAAAATTTTACATGTACTCTTTTCCCCCTCTCTAAGAATTATCTGGAGTACATCCTTGAGGAATCTTCAAGTAGGTTTATTTGAGTCTCCGTATGCATAGAAACGATACATTCACCAGAAAAGATGTTGATATTAGGCAGTGATGATCACTTTCTTGTGGCCCTCAAGTTAATGACCTAATGACTAAGTCTCTACTGAGTGACATTTGATGATTTTCTTCAAATCTTATCCTGGCATCAAACACTATTCACATAGTGTTGTGTGTGTTTGATGTAATTTTGAACACTATAAAAGATGGCAATGTTCTTTTAAAACATTTTTTAACATCTCTGTAAAATAATTTGAAATAGGCAAGTACAAAAGCTTTTTAGTATATCCCTTTCATAATCTTTTTCCCGTCTCAGAAATGTTTACATTTTATAGCTAAAATGAATTCTTTATTACAATTATTCATAATATATTTCAACTTAGACCTTGACTTAGAAAGGCTTTTTGTGTTTTAAGAGATGGGAGCCGGGCACAGTGGCTCACACCTGTAATCCCAGCACTTTGGGAGGCCAAGGCAGGAGGATTACTTGAGATCAGGAGTTTGAGAACAGCCTGGCCAGTATGGCAAAACCCTGTCTCTACTAAGAATACAAAAATTAGCTGGGTGTGGTGGTGCATGCCTGTAATCCTAGCTACTCAGGAGGCTGAGGCAGGAGAATCACTTGAACCCAGGAAGCAGAGGTTCCTGCGAGCCGAGATCATGCCATTACACTCCAGCCTGGATGACAAGAGCGAAACTCCGTCTCAAGAAAAAAAAAAGAGACAGTGTCTTGCTATGTTGCCCAGGCTGGAGTGCAGTGGGTATTCACAGATGTAGTCATAACACACTATAACCTCAAACTCCTGTGCTCAAGGAATCCTTCCATCTCAGCCTCCTGAGTAGCTAGGACTACAGCCACTTTGCCTGGCTCGTTAATTTTTGTTTTCAAATGAGAAAAGTATTTGTCAGCCTTAGTATAGTATTTTGTTCAGCATATTCTTTAGAATACAAGTTCTATAGGATGTCACTAGATGTTGTACAGAAAAGGTTTCTGTGGCTAAATGTTTGGAATTCCAGCTGGGTTAAACATATTTAAACAGGGCTTTTATTTACAGGATTTGTCACCACCTTCAGTGTGTGCTAATGTGTGTGTGAATCTCTGCAGAGGAGGTAGTGGGAGGATAGATTGTAGCAGTGAGTATTTACCAATTTCATTTGACTAACAGGTCCCCTTTTCTACAGAGAGCCTCTAGAATATGCTTCAAAAATACCATTGGTGGCGTATGTTTTTGAAAATCTTAAGTTTGTCCAAATGATATGTTTTCTTACCCTCTGGACTCCCACTCCTTCACCCCACGTCTGGTTGGTTTTCAGTTTCCCCCAGGCTCTTAAGAAAGGCTGCACGGGTGAAAACGAGGACAGTGGTTCTGACCCCCACATACAGTGGAGAAGCAGATGCGCTCCTGCCTTCTCTGAGAACAGAAGTGTGGACCTGGGGGAAAGGGAAGGAAGGGCAGCTGGGGCACGGCGATGTTCTGCCTAGGTAAGCGCTACCAACATTTACCGATAGAAGTTGGCTTAAACAAATAATCTCTCTCCTGGGAAGGTCTCTAAATCTCACTTTCCTCATAGAGGAAATCTGGGCTCTTCTAGCTTCAGATTATTACACACCATTAACTCTGATAAAAAGCTGTCACTTTACTCTTGAATTTGTTCTTAACAGTAAAGGACTTGGCCAGGCCTGGTGGCTCACACCTTTAATCCTAGTGCTTTGGAAGACTGAGGCAGGTGGATCACCTGAGGTCAGGAGTTTGAGACCAGGCTGGCCAACATGGCAAAACCCAGTCTCTACTAAAAATACAAAAATTAGCTGGGCATGGTGGTGGGCTCCTATAATTCCAGCTACTCAGGAGGCTGAGGCAGGAGAATCGCTTGAATCTGGGAAGGGCAGAGGTTGCAGTAAGCTGAGATTGTGCCACTTCACTTCAGCCTGGGCAAAAGAATGAAACTCTTATCTCAAAAAAAAAAAAAGGAAAAGAAAAAAAAAGCAGTAAAAGACTTAAGTATCCATGGTGCGCTTTTCCATATCTTCTTCAATGTGTGTTCATCTTGGAGTACAGAAAGGGGTGTTGGGATAAGATTATATTTCACTGGAAGACAGGAATGGCTCAGATTTTTAATTGATGAAAAAGAGGCCCCCACCTGTCACATAGGAAAAGAAAAGAGCCAACAGTTTTTTTTGTTTTGTTTTTTAACCTGAAAGATGTCTCTGCCACTGCCAAAATAACTATAATTCAAACATCAGACTATGTCTATTCACATATATTAGGGTAAAACTGGCATTTTGTTTATTAGAAATTGTTACGACATTAACAAATTAGATATTGGGAAGTTTTTAAGTGAGTAATTGGAATGATTATCTAAAGTAGTGAGTTAATATAAATGTCTGTATTCATAGTAGAGTGAAGGCAACTGGAATTAATTTAAAAATTACCTTCCTTCTGTGGTTATTTTTTACTGTATCCTAAGTATACTTTTTGCTATAAAGAATCATTTGTAGTTTTATGATTCTTAACAGATTCTAAATTATGGGGATTAATTAGTGATTGATAGACAAAGGTTAAAACCTTCCAAAAATTATTCATGATATTTAGGAGTAGATTGACCATATATCCATTATGTTTATTTTAATGTTTTCTTTAGAAATGTTTATTTTTACACGACAGCACTTTATAATTTGAGAAAGGCTACGATTCTTGCTGAGAATACTTTGACTTTGTGTGCCTGTGTGTTTCTTTTTAAGGCTTCAACCGTTGTGTGTAAAATGTCTGGATGGCAAAGAAGTAATCCATCTGGAGGCAGGTGGTTACCATTCTCTTGCACTTACTGCGAAATCCCAGGTAGGAGGCAAACTATTAAATGCTTTACCTTATTTTCATGGAAGGCCAACATGACATTGTTGGACCCTCATTTGTTGATTATCTGCTATATGTCAGGCAATGATAACCGTATCTCATTTTAGCTTTCCAATATTTTGTATGGTATTATTTCCACTTTACAGACGAGGGAAGTGGAGTAAGAGAAATTATGTAACTTGTCTAAAGTCACACATACGTAACAGTAGAGCTTGGATTTAAACACTTTTCTGCCTGATTTAGGAGCTTTCTATAATGTGTTCTCACCTAAAAAGAGAACCCCAGATTTTCCAGGGTATTGGTGAATTTTTATTTGTTACAAAGAAGATACATAGTAAAACACTAAGAAAATAAAGTCATTTTTCTTTAAAACTGTGGGACCTGAAAGTGACCTCTAGCATTACTAAAAACCATACCCATGTACATAAACATAAAGAAGTTGTTTTAAGTTTTTTTTTAAACCCAGACTGCTCATCTGCAATAAGTTAATATTAAATATATTCATATTTCGATAATGGTGCTTCACCAATTCCTTTATCTTTTTAAGAAGCCAATAAAGGATTCGAAGCCCTTTTAATATTTGATTTGATTGCACATTTCACATACTAGGCTAGCCAAAAAACTAACATAACTTGTATAAATATTAATATTAGGAAAGAAAAAGGGGAATTTACTGTTTTTAACATGATTCATTCAAAAGACTTAAAAATGAGAGATTAGGAAGGAGGTCAGTTACAAAATAAAAATTACTGGCTTTATTATATACATATAATAAAACAAAACATACTCGAGGAAATTCTGCTCAGAACTACACCAAAAGTGTTAAGGAAGTAGGAATAAGTATAAAATGCATATAACCCATATGATGCAAACTTTAGAACTCTTTTGAAGGGTCATGAAAGCAGTAGTAAAGTGAGAGGTTTTATTTTTGGATGAGATGCGTCAGTTGTAAAAATGTCATTTCTCTCTTAAATCATTAATCAGCACAGTGAAAATTCAGTACAGTCCCCAAAATATTCCAGTGTAATATTTACAATTTGATAAAATAATCCCAAAATTACTTCAGAAGAATAAACATAGGTGAGCCAGGTAAAAAGAGAGATTTATCCTTATATATTATAAAATTAAACAGATCAATGCAACAGAAATATGCCTGTCGGCTAGAAATAATCTCAAGTATATATGAGAATTTAAGATATAAAAGTGGGTGTTTCCATTCAGTTGGGAAAACAAGACTTGAGTATCCGGTAAATGTAGTAAATGTTTACTGGCTTCGTATTTGTAGGAGAAAACTAAGATGGCTATACATATTCTAATTCTGGGTGTATTAATGATGTCATTAAAAACTAGAACTGTGTGTATGTGTGCGTGTGTGTGTATGAACAAATTAAGATGAGTCTTTTAGGCATAGAAAAAGACATAACATCAAAACTGGAAATTAGAAAGTAAGATATGTTTGTCAATATGATAATTCAACAGTCCCGAACAGCAAATAAAACAGTGTAAACAAAATGAAAATACGTAACAAACTGGGTAAAAATATCTGCAACATATGTGATAAAGTGTTGCTGCACTTATATATAAAGGAACAGTTGTCAAAGGATAAAAATTGTCAAAAGGATATTTATATTTTCGTCATAAAAGAAGTAGAAATGGCCAGCAATAAATGAAAAGATGATCATTTAGCAAATACATTTAAATTAAAAAACAACAGTACAGTGTTTTTCTCACCTATGAGATTAACCTATGCAAACCTAAGGATTACATTCAATGCTGAGCATTGATTAGGATGTAGGAGAAAATGTGCGTGCAGTGCAGGCAGGAATGTAAATTGGACCTTGCTGGAAGAGAGTTTGTCAGTATGTATCAAAAATCAGAATGGCATAGTCTTTGCCTAGGAATTTATCCTAAGCAAATAGATACATGAATATATGTATTCAAGGATTTTTCCTATCCTTTTTAATATTAAAGAATTGGAGGCTGAGTGTGGTGGCTCATGCCTGTAATCCCAGCACTTTGGGAGGTTGAGGTGGGCGGATCACCTGAGGTCAGGAGTTCAAGACCAGCCTGGCCAACATGGTGAAACCCCATCTCTACTAAAAACACAGAAGTTAGCCGGGCGTGATGACAGGCGCCTGTAATCCTAGCTACTTGGAAGGCTGAGCAGGAGAATTGCTTGAATCTGGGAGGCGGAGGTTGCAGTGAGCCAAGATTGCGCCATTGTGCTCCAGCCTGGGTGACAAGATCGAGACTCTGCTTCCAAAAAAAAAAAAAAAAAGGAATTGGAAAGAACTTAATTCAGTACGTAATTTGTTAAAGTATATGCACAGTAGAGTTCTAGATAGTTATTAACAATGATGTTACAGATCTATACTTACTGATGTGCAAAAGAGTAGGTGCCACCAAGTGGTTGATCAGTGATTTTCACTTTATTTCTATTTTTATTTTTGTACTGTCACAGTCTTGTACAATGACCATGAATTACTTTCATAATCAGAATAAACAAACATTTTAAACCTAGTCATTGCAATCTAGTTTCTTTTGTCTGTAGTGTCGTGTAGGTACTTGTGTTTCTCTTACAGTAACTCTTCATGTATGAAAGGTTTTCTGTTCATTCCATAGTACTTTTATCTACAGAGTAGGAAATCATGATTACTCTTCCTCTATATCACTTAATGTTTTTATTGCTTTCTCTAAAAGAGGCAGTATACGATAATTCCTGGGATTAAATCCTGCCTCTTACATATGAATTTGTGACCATGGGTAAATTAACCTCTCTGGGTTTCCTTATTTATTTATTTTTGTTAGGATTGTTGTGAGAATGAATCATCAATTAATATACAGAAAGTGTTAAGAACAATGTCTGGCAGTTAGTAAGCACCTGAAAAGTGTTAGTTATTGTTATTGTTATTGTTGACTCCTCAATTCTGCCTTCTTCTTTTCTTTTCTTTTTTTTTTTTTTGGGATACCGACTTTTGCTCATATTGCCTAGGCTGGAATGCAGTGGCATGATCTTGGCTCACTGCAACTTCTGCCTGCCGGGTTCAAGCCATTCTCCTGCCTCAGCCTCCCAAGTAGCTGGGATTACAGGCATGCACCACCATGCCCAGCTAATTTTTGGACTCTGTCTTCTTATGTACCAAGACTCTATTTGCGCATTATCTCTGGTCTTGTTAAAAATGAATTTCCTTAATATCTGTTAAAGAGTGAAAGACTAATATAAGTACTTAATGTATAATTGTTGGTATTTGTGTATATATGTTAATTATTATAAAGGTTCAGAGTTGATGTGCAAAATCAGATTCACAACGCTTAGCTACTTTTCTGTGTTTTTTTGATAGGTTTACTCATGGGGTAGCAATACCTTTGGTCAACTTGGGCATTCCGATTTTCCAACAACAGTTCCTCGTCTTGCAAAGGTACTTTTGTGAACTTGATAGCAACTTATTCCACAATTCTTAGCTGTAACACCTTATACTTCTCCATTTCTTATTTTAAAATATCGGGGGAATTTCATACGTACAACCTAAATTTGTTTTGGTTTTCATAAGAAAATTTTTAAAAACAGGAAGCCACGTGTTTTCAAGCTAAATATCCGTTTTTTATGTGTTTATATTTCTTAGCTTCAACTGTTCATTAAATATGCATAGTTTCTTTGTTTTTTTAAGTAAAAAAATGAAAAAGTGCTTTCTTTTAAAACATGTTTCTAGGACTCTGCTGTTTTCTCAGCGTTACCAGATAATGTCTACTCTTTGAATTCTCCATTGTTTGACTTTTACATAACATTATTTGATGGTGTAATTTTGTGTGTGCATTTAAAAATAACATGCAGAGTAGTAAAACATTTTTTTTTGTAAGCCTTTTCACTTTCTGTAGTAAAGCTAAAAGTAGAGGTGAATTTTTTTTTTTTTTACTGTTAGATGGATTGGTTTTAGTTTATGTAATGCCATTGAGAGATTGGTAGCTTCTAGTCTCTTTGATGAAGTTCTGTAGCAGTGTTTCTCCACCTTGTGTTCCGCCTCATCACCCTGAGGAAATACCAAATTCTCATCAATTGTACTGGTTCCTTGAACAAGAGTTTTAGGGTTTTTGGTAGAGATGCCCTCCATGTGACAGAATGGAATATGGAGGTCATAGATATGTAGTTGGATTCTGATATCTCCCCGTTCCCAAGACATGCTCCCTCTGGAGTAATGGAGATTAAAGAAGGGCAATTACGTCAATTTTAGGAATATGATTTGAATGTGACAGTTAATAAATATGCCAATAATTCATATATGCAATGTGCACTGTGCATCTGTCACTATTTAAGATTTTTACATGCTGCCTTTCCTTTTGGTGAACTTAATTTTACTGGGAAGAAAAGGCTTAATAAAACATTAGGGAACAATTATTACTTCTAGCTCCAATCTGAAATGTTTTCAGTATAAAACATCGTAGTAGTAAGCTATTCAGTTTCTGATACATTATCACAAACAAAGATATTGCAAATCATTGTTCCTTGTTTTTTGTTTATTTGAAGTGTGTGCTTATTCATACTAAGGAAACCTTTGTAATGTAGCATGGAGACCTGAAAATCAAACTCCTTTTTAACATTTTAGAGCAAACAAGAGAATAGTTTGTTACAAGATTTTAGTTTCATAACTCTCCGACATCATTGGGAGCTTGGTTTTTTTATTTGAGGAAGGCTGAGAAAAACATTTTTGAAGTCATCCTGATTAATCTGTGAGAATTAAAAGTGAAGGCAGAGTGAGATTTGAGTTAGTTTTGAGACTAGGAAGAAGACTCCTTTTGCAAAAATTGTAATGCGTCCTTTGCAAAATGAATGGGAAGTCCGTTATTTGGATCGCCTGAATTTGAGAACATAATGTCATGCCAGAAGAAGACTGCTATAAAATTAGTAGTAGACACACACACACACACACAACACACACACAAAATCACCTATGATTTGGAGCCTAGCTAGATACTAAGGATCTAATAGATTAGGGGTTGTTCGTCAGTCCAGGAGTCAGTGCTGAAACTATCTAAACACAAAGGATCTAACAGATTAGAGAGTGTATTTGTGTGTGTGTGTGTGTTGCCTATCAGTCTAGGAGCTGAAGCTGGGTCTAGAGGTTAGAGGTAGTAGTTTTTGCAGTAACACACTTTCTCCAAATGAAATCTTATGAGGAATCCCATACATAAAACCCACAAATGAGGAACTACTTTGGTTAAGGATGGAGTGGGGGCCTAGAGCCCTGGCACCTGCCTTGGCATGGTGGCCACTGAATCACTGTGTGGAATCCCGAGGTTTGAAAATTATTGGTTTAAAGGCAGTGGTTCTCAAACTTTTGCATACATCAGAATCACCTGTGGAGTGCTTGTTAAAACAGAGTGCTGGGCTGGGCGCGGTAGCTCACGCCCGTAATCCCAGCACTTTGGGAGGCTGAGGCGGGCGAATCATGAGGTCAGGAGACCGAGACCATCCTGGCTAACACGGTGAAACCCCGTCTCTACTAAAAATACAAAAATTAGCCGGGCGTGGTAGCGGGCACCTGTAGTCCCAGCTACTCGGGAGGCTGAGGCAGGAGAATGGCATGAACCCGGGAGGTGGAGTTTGCAGTGAGCCGAGATTGCGCCACTGCACACCAGCCTGGGCGAAAGAGTCTCAAAAAAAAAAAAAAAAGCGACCGAGTGCTGGACTCTATTCCCCATTCCCCTTCCCCCAGTAGCTCTGGGGCCTGGGAATTTGTGTTTCTAACATGTTCCCAGGTGATGGCTGCTGCTGCTGCTGCAAAGACCACTGAGAACCACTGGTCTAAGGGATCCCTGCAGATGGGCTTCTCAGGGGCTCTGCCTGTTTTAACATCCTGGGAGTAGGCACAGTAAAGTCACGTAGGACTGGTAGAGTTCCAAGTGGGAAAACTGAATTTTAGCACCCAAGAGTTTAGTTGGCCAGAATAGAATTTAGCCTTATTAGTTTGTTTTCTTTTACCTCGATTTTTGTGCACACAGCCAAATGTGGAAGGACAGAGGTATGTCCTAATTGTCACTTCAAGAGTAGGGCTCTGGAAGTTTCTGGGTCTCTTCATTATAATACAGTCTGTGCAGACTTCCAAAAGTAACAATAAAAAATTAGATGTGTGGTTTTTCCTTTTTAAATTCCAATTTTTCAGATTTTTATAAAAACAGTTCTAAATTTAAAAGCTGAACAAGGGATTCCGTCTTACTCCTGCACCTGCTCTGCATTTGATTGGGCAAATTGCTGGGTAAGTTTGCTCTCAGATATGACTGACTGCACCACGCTTATTTAAGCAACCTAACGTTTCAGTTCCTGTGGATCCGAAGTTCTCTCTGATTGCCTTTATCTTGGACAGACACTATCTTTCTGTCGTTGCAGATAAGCAGTGAAAATGGAGTCTGGAGCATAGCTGCAGGCAGGGATTATTCCCTGTTTTTAGTGGATACAGAAGACTTCCAGCCTGGGTTATATTACAGTGGCCGACAGGACCCTACAGAAGGTGACAACCTTCCAGAGAATCACAGTGGTTCTAAGACTCCAGTACTTCTCTCCTGTAGTAAGGTGAACAGGAATTGGATCCTAAGGCCCACATTCAGTAACACATAAGAAGTCTTTTGTTTTTGTTTTTATTTGTATGTATGGCTAATTATTAGTAAGCATCTCTAACTACCTTATTTAAAATTGCAAACTCCTTTCAAGCCCCCTTCACTCCTTATCTTCTCTCTCCAAAGGGCCTATCACCATCGAATACACTATATAATTTACTCACTTTGTCTATTGTCTGTCCTCCTTACTATAATGTAAGATTCAGAAGGGTAGGGATTTTAGGCTATCTCATTCACTGCTGTAGCATAGTACATACTTTATAAATATTTTGATGATATTTGATGAGCATAGTACATACTTTATAAATGTTTGTTGAATTAACACCCTCATGTAGGAATATTGGAAAGTACATTTTACTATGAAGTTTCCTGACTGCAGCCGTAGAGCCCTCGAGGTGAATTAGAAATAGAGTAGATGAATTTCTAACTATTAAGTGGGAAGTAACAATGCAAGAGCCTGAGATAGGCTCATGGCAGACCATGAGAGACCCAACAGACAACCAACAGTGTTCTGTTTTTCCCTGCTTCACTTCTCCACTTTTAATTTAATTAAATTAATTAATTTATTTTTTTGAGACTGAGTCTTGCTCTGTTGCCCAGGCTGGAGTGCAGTGACACAGTCTTGGCCCATTGCAACCTCTGCCTCCTGGGTTCAAGCAATTCTCCTGCCTCAGTCTCCCAGGTAGCTGAGATTACAGGTGCCCACCACCACGCCCAGCTAATTTTTGTATTTTTAGTAGAGACGGGGTTTCACCACGTTGGTCAGGCTGGTCTTGAACTCCTGACCTCAAGTGATCTGCCCGCCTCAGCCTCCTGAAATGCTAGGATTACAGGCCTCAGCCACCTTGTTTGGCCTTAATTTTATTTCCTACTGTTTACCTACTGTTTATCCCCTTTTTATTTGATCTGCTTTCCCACTCTGTTTTCCCTTCTTTTTTGTAAACTGAAACCATTGGCTTATTTCTAGCTTTCTTTTCCCCATAAAGTAACTCACATTCTCAAAGTGACATGCTGCAGGGAAATTAACCCCCAAAACTAGTATATTCTAGGATTTCTTATTTTTATTAAGTAAAATAGCATATGGGCTTTTTTTTTTAGTCTTTGTGTTTGTTTTTCTGGCTAGTAAGTTATGAATGTGTGGGGACAAGATCTTTCTTGCTAAAGGTAACATTGGGACCAAGTACAATGGTTCATCCCTATAATCCCAGAACTTTGGGAGGCCAAGACTGGAGGATCACTTGAGGCCAGTTCAAGACCAGCCTGGGCAACATAGCAAGACCCTGTCTCTACCAAAACAAAACAAATTTAAAGATTAAAGGCAACATTGGCCAAGATGTGTCTGTAGTTGCCAGTCCTGGCTTTACATTCCCCATGAATGATTTCACAGTCTAGATAGACGATCAAATAGGCTGATGAAAGGAATGAAGCTCTCGTGTGTGTCTTTGGTTACCATGGGATGTTAATAGTGCATTGGGTCTGTAGCTTGCCTGCCTGATTTAATGGGATATGTGAATAAAGACATGGAATGTTTTTTATACAGTGGTATCTGGGGTAAATGACAAAAAGTCCCTTTTTAAGAAAATCTCTTTTCATTGTACAAAAGGCAGGTTAATTCTTAGATCCTAGATATTTTAATATATAGCATAGAGATCCTCCCTGGTCTCATTAATCTTATTTTACTCGGAAAGTGGTCCTGAGACATGTATCCCTATCATTTGGATCTTTATATATCCAGGGGGTCTGTTTCCAAACAGTTGTAATGTGAAATGAAAGGTATCTTGGAGATAATTGAAAGTAGGTGTGTATAGTTATGTATAGATCTGGATATGCATATATAACAATGATGTACTGATGAACCAGCTCTAAAAAAAAGCGACCCCGACGACCCCCCCAAAAAAAACCCTAGTCTGTGGTGCTTGCAGATTTTCACTATGGCCAATTTTCAAGCTGCCAATGGTTTAATTACTTGCTTGCAAATTTTCTGAATATTTAACAGTTAGCTCTTGTCAGCTGATATAAGCCAGCTTCAGTATACCAAATTAGTAACATAATTATATGTTATATTTAATCCTTTTGTTTTCTTCTGTTTCAGCTTGGATATATAAGCAGAGTGACAGCAGGAAAAGATAGCTATTTAGCCTTGGTGGATAAAAACATTATGGGGTATATTGCCAGTCTCCACGAGTTAGCTACTACAGAAAGACGATTCTATTCAAAACTAAGTGATATCAAATCTCAGATTCTCAGGCCTCTTCTCAGTTTAGGTAAGTTGCAACCCCCTCTCTCCCACCATTAAACCATCAGGTCTTTATCTCTTCTTCCTATGTCACAAATAATGAAAACCTGTTAGTTTATGGTTTACTTCTTGCTATGCACTGTCTTTGTGTGTGTGTACACAGGTAGTCAACAATTTACAAACTGTTTCCAATTTGTCAATAGCCTCACTGCCCCTGCCCTGTCCTACCACTCCCAGAGCTCCTGCGGCTTCCAGAAGTAGAAAATGGAACTTTTAGGATATTCATGGCAGAGGAACAAAAACAACTTTGGGAAAGTTGACCCTACATAAAGTTAGACTTCCAAACAACACTTCTCCCCCTGCTGGTCCTAAGAGATCTTCCAGTATACTATCTGAATTTTTTATTTTCCTCATTATAGTTCTTAGAATTGTATCAAGTAGAGATTTATTTGGATTTACAAGTAGTCTCTTAAAGTTGTGGATAACTATAAGAGTGTTAAAGCTCTTATCCGACTGGGCTTGGTGGCTCACTCCTGTAATCCCAGCACTCTGGGAGGCCGAGGAGGGCAGATCATGAGGTCAGGAGTTCGAGACCAGCCTGGCCAACATGGTGAAACCCCATCTCTACTAAAAATACAAAAATTAGCCAGGTGGGTGCCTGTAATTCCAGCTACTCGGGAGGCTGAGGCAGGAGAATTGCTTGAACCCGGGAGGTGGAGGTTGCAGTGAGCTGAGATTGTACCACTGCAGTCCAGCCTGGGTGACAGAGCAAGACTCCATCTCGGGGACAAAAAAAGATCTTATCCCTCAGCATGAGTTGATTAAATCTGATTCTTTTTCTTAGCTATGCCCAGCTACAAAGAGGTTGGAAGTGACGGGGTAATACAGAGGCAATGGGTTACAGTAGTACTAGATGGGATGCCACTGTCCAGATATACTGGGTACCTGGGGGTCTCTGGGAGAATAGAAAGGAATGCAGAATGGAAGTTGAGGGAACTGTTGCAGATAAACTTTTCCTATTTCAAATTTTTTTTCTGGGTTTGGCCCTACAGTCAGAAAACAGGAAGTTTTCTTTCTCTTTCTCTCTCCTGCACTCCTTGCCCCACTGTGTTGACCCAGAATTCAGGTTAATTCTCTAGTACATCACTTTTGCCATGTTGAGGACATTGTCTTCTGCAGGTCAGCCCATTGTTTCTTTCTTTTTTTTTTTTTTTTGAGACAGAGTCTTGCTCTGTCACCCAGGCTGGAGTGTAGTGGCACAATCTCGGCTCACTGCAACCTTCACCTCCTGGGTTCAAGCAATTCTCGTGCCTCAGCCACCTGAGTAGCTGGGACTACAGGTGTGCACTACCACTCCTGCTAATTTTTGTATTTTTAATAGAGACGGGGTTTTGCCATGTTTCCCAGGCTGGTCTTGTACTCCTGGCCTTAAGTGATCTGCCTGCCTCGGCCTCCCAAAGTGGTGGGATTACAGGCATGAGCCACCGTGCCCGGCCTGCCCATTGTTTCTAGTGGAAAAACATCTTTTCAAACAACTAATTTACAGTCTTTGTGAATATAATCCCTTTGTAAGCTGAGGACTGTCTGCATTTGTGTTTTTGTTTTTATTACCTTCTGCCTTTTAAGTGTTGTGGAGTCTCTGTTCTATAAATTCCCCTCCTCTAGGTAGGCTGAACACTCCAGGACTTTGCCAAGAGAAAGGAAGCAATCTAAGCTGGAAGCTTCCTGGATTGCTCTGAAAGAAAGGTTAAATCTGCCTCTTTCCTGTCCTGGTTGCTGATTTCTTTGTTGGTCTTCCCAGTCTACTTTCCTAATTGCTTGGAAAGAAGTCCTAGAAATGAGGAACTTTAGACAGGCAAAAAGCAAATAATATCCTGGTGCCATCTCTGAAATTCAGAGCATCCTCAGTGGTCCAATGTTTGGATTGCCTTCTCTGCACTGAAGGGTTGGGCTTTTCAAAGAGGCAAGTAGAGCAGAAGTCAGAACAAAAAAGCTGAAAATGTTTACAAAGATATAACTCCCCAAGTGAGTTTAATTCCTGACTGTCACTAATCAGTGGCTTAAGTTAGATAATTGACTTCCCTTCTCTTGGCTTCAGATTACTTATCTTCAAAATGACCAGAGAGTTGCATTAGCTCAGTGGTCCTCAAATTTGGCTCATCTTTAAAATCACCTGGAGAGTCTTTTTTAACAGAAAAAGCCATCCTGGAATCTATAAGGTTCCTGTGAATGTGTTTTTAACAAGTTCCTCAAAGGACTGGATACTGTGATCTTTGAGGTTGCTTTAATACTGTAATCATTTGGGTTCCTTAGTTGAGAGCACATGGCAACAGGTTAAGTAGTCTTAGAGGAATTCATAATCATAATCACATCATAATAAAGTGATCGGTTTTCAGTTTGTGTTGTCATCATCATCATTATTTTGTTATAGAAAATTTGGGCACTACAACTACAGTCCAGCTGTTGCAGGAGGTGGCTAGCCGATTCAGCAAGCTGTGTTACCTCATTGGTCAGCATGGAGCCTCATTGAGCAGCTTCCTTCATGGGGTAAAGGAAGCCAGGAGTTTGGTCATCCTGAAGCATTCAAGTCTCTTCTTGGATAGTTATACAGAGCAAGTATCCAGTCCCGTGTCATGTTCAATCTCTGCAGGGTTATTCTGCCAAGGAGAACAGCTCCTTAATCAGAAGAGACTAGATTAGGGAGAGTGATATAAGGTAATAGAAATTGCAAAGCAGTATTTTAATCTTAAGCCAACTATAGTTCTGGATTGCTAAAATTTAGTCTTCTCTAAATGAAAAAAAATTTAAAAATAATGAATTATCATGTTTTCTTCTATATTCTAGCAGAGTGATAGCATAATTTACATTAAATGTACTATAATAAGTCTGGTTCTTTAGAAAACAATTTTGTTTACTTAACTAAATTGTACTAAAACTTGGAAGAAATTAGTAACTAAACAAATTATTTCAAGACCAACTGCTGATTGTAAATATGGAGCTGTTCTGATGTCTGCTTTTGACTTTTATATAAATGGAAGTTTTAAAAGACCCAACTATTTTTAACATGAAGATGTTTTTCCTTAATAAAACCTGGAATAGTTATTCAAGGTTCTTTGCATATTTTTCAAGCAAAATATCCCAAGTGTACTTGAAAATGTAACTTAAAATGTTTCTCACGTTTTCTTAACTTGTATTTTGATATGATGATGTGAGGCATAATTTAAGTGTTATTTTAATGTATGTTAGGTTATGCTTTGATCTGAAGTATGTATAGGTTTTGTTCTCTATTCATTCACACCTCAACCATCCAGCAAACACTGAGTGCCCACTCAGTGCCAGGCATTTGCGGGGAGCTCCAAGCCCACAGCAGCACAGCATGGGGCCTGCGAAAAGCACCAGCCCTCAGGGAGTTCGTGTTTTGTTGGTGTTTTGTTTTGATTATTTATAACATAATAACATGTGTTTATTACTGAAAACTGCACAAATAAAGATAATCAAAAATCACCCATAATCCTACCACCAGAACTAACCACTGTTTATCATCTTAGTGTATTTCCTTTCCAACCTATATAATATGTACAGATAGTTGGATGCTATTTTAATTCTAAGCAAAATTGAAAATATTTGAAGCTGTTGTCAAAGAGGAAGTACCCTGGTTTGAGTATTTTAACTCATCATCTTTCAGAAATGAAAAATAAAAATAATAGAACTTGATACTAGTTTCTTTTTTAAAACTAGATTTTGTTGTTTCTGTGATTCCAGCTTTTACTGGTATAATTTTCCTTTTTTGACTTGAATTCATCTCATAATACCTCTATTTCACTTCTTTTTCTTCTCTGGTACTTTAGGCCTTATGCTTAAAAATGCTTTTGATACTTTGGGCTTTTTTTAACATAACAGGTTATTCCTATAGATGGGGCAAGTAAAATATTTGGGTTTATGTATGAATCTTTAAAATTATTTTTATAATTATAAAGTTATTAAAGCCTGGAGTGCAGTGGCACCATTACAGCTCACTGCAGCCTTGACCTGCCAGGCTCAAGTGATCCTCCCACCTCAGCCTCCCAAGAAGCTAGGACTACAGGTGCATGCCAGCACATCCAGCTAATTTTTTTAATTTTTTGTAGAGATGGGGGTCTCACTATGTTGCCCAGGCTGGTCTCAAACTCCTGGGCATAAGTTATCCTCCTGCCTCAGCCTGCAAAAGTGCTAGGATTGCAAGTGTGAGCCACTGTGCCTGGCGAAAATTATTTTTAATTGTGATAAAATACACATCACATAAAATTAACCATTATAACCATATTTAATTGTATAGTACTGTGGGCTAATTTTACTAGGAGTTTCCCTTCTTCCTCAAAGTCAGTTGATTCCATTTGCCAGCCCAAGTGTGTACAAGAAATGTACAGGGCTCAAAGCAGTATAACTAGACTTGTTCTTTAGCAGCATATCAATATTTAATCAACATTTTCTAACACTGACTCAAGCACTTTTAACATATTTTCTTACCTTCACTGTCATTTCTTTTTTCTTTTTTTTTTTTTTGAGCTGGAGTTTCGCTCTTGTTGCCCAGGCTGGAGTGCAATGGCACGGTCTTGGCTCGCCGCAACCTCTGCCTCCCAAGTTCAAGCGATTCTTCTGCCTCAGCCTCCCAAGTAGCTGGGATTACAGGCATCCGCCACCGCGCCCAGCTAATTTTTATAGTTTTAGTAGAGACGGGGTTTCACCATGTTGGCCAGGCTGGTCTCGAACTCCTGACCTCAGGTGATTCACTTGCCTCAGCCTCCCAAAGTGCTGAGATTACAGGAGTGAGCCACCGCCCCCAGCCTTCACTGTCATTTCTTAATTGGGAAACCTGAAGTGAAGATTACAGAAAATTTTCATCAAAAATTCAACTATTTTAATTATGTTTTCTCAAGTATGTTAATTAAGTTACCACGTAATAGATATTGCTTGGTAGATACCAAGTAAATTACTGCATTTTCTGCTTAGCTTTAGGTGTTTTTAAAATTTCCTTTTATATTACCATCTTTTTTTTTTTTTTTTTTTTTTTGGGAGACAGTCGTATCCTGTCACTCAGGCTGTGCAATGTTGGAATCACAGCTCACTGCAGCCTCAACCTCCCAGGCTCAAGGGATCCTCCCACCTCAGCCTCCCAAGTAGTTGAGACTACAGGCATGTGCCACCATGCCTGACTAATTTTTCTATTTTTTTGTAAAGTCGGGTTTCCCCATGCTGCCCAGGCTGATCTCAAACTCCTAGGCTCAAGCGATCCTCCCGCCTTAGCCTCCCAAAGTGCTGGGATTACAGGTGTGAGCCAATGTGACCAGCCTTATATTACCATCTTTACTAAGCTGGAATTCCCCTACCACTCCCTTTACCTCCATTATTGTAATTATTACACAACCTGCCCTTCACAAATGTTGACATCACAAAACTTCTGAAATTCATTGGTGAAATAATCAAGAATTATCTATTCCAGGTATGTGTTTGGAAACTGAAGAACTAATTTACATTTCAACTAATGTACATGTGTTTTCTTTTCTGCTCAAGGTATTGCACATCTATTACAAATTTCCTGGTTATGGGAGGATTCCAGCTTCTTGCTAAGCCTGCCATGTAAGCAAACCCACACCTTCCAGTTATCATTCTCTCCGCCAAAGATGACATTTTATAGTGCTCTGTTTTCGAGTGCTCAGGGAAAGCTTTGACTTCATCATTTTACCAAACAAGTCAAAATATAAACTTTCAGTAAGTCTTATAAAGGACAGGTACTATTAGCCACTGGTTATCATTATAAGTAGTATGCTATTGAAAAAGTACTGAATGACTAGGCTCAGGTTCGGGGTCCTTCTGTGCTATCCTTGAGACTTTGGACAACTCTCTTTACCTCAGTAGGCCTAGTGTTCTTCATCTGAAAAATGGGAATGTTCTCTCCCATTGGAGAGGAACAAATAATGTATGTGATGATGCACAGAAAAAAGTGTTTGCGCAGATACAACCTATTTGCATTTAGCTTCTGGGTAAATAATTTAAAGGCTCCTTACACAAGGCAATAATCCTGAACAGATAGTTTCTCAACAAGTGTTGACCCAGCAACAAAGCCAAGGTTTTAAAAATTCTGTGTTTAAGTTTTTTTTATTTTTAAAATAGAAGAGATAGGGTCTCACTGTGTTACCCAGGCTGGTTAGGAACTCCTGGGCTCAAGGGTTCTCCTGTCTCAGCCTCCCAAAGTGCTGGAATTATAGGCATGCACCACTGTGCCAGGCCAAAAATTCTGTATTTTAATAGAAAATACTTTAAATATGTACTTACCACCCAGATTTAGCAGATGTTAATGTTTTGCCATGTTTGCTTTTTTTTTTTTGAGACGGGGTCTCGCTCTGTCATCCAGGCTGGAATGCAGTGGCGCAATCTTGGCTCACTGCAACATCTGCCTCCTGGGTTCAAGCAATTCTCCTGCCTCAGCCTCCCAAGTAGCTGGGGCTACAGGTGTGCACCACCACCCCGAACTAATTTTTGTACTTTTAGTAGAGATGGGGTTTCACCATGTTGACCAAGCTGGTCTCAAACCCCTGACCTCAAGTGATTCACCCACCTCGGCCTCCAAAAGTGCCGGGATTACAGGCGTGAGCCACCATGCCCAGCCCCATGTTTGCTTTTGATTTTTTATCCTAATAGAAGGAATGCTAACATTCTCATCTCATTTCTAGTTTTAATGAGAATACTTTTAATATTTCACCATTAAAAATGATTACTTTAGGTTTTTGGTAGATATAATTTATAGGGTTAAAAAGGCCCTATTTCTAAAAGTTGTAGAGGAATTTTTATAATGTTAAATATCTGAGTTTCCAAATTCCAAAATTCAGTAATCTTAATGTATTAAGGTTTTAATACATTGCTGAATTAAATTTACTTATACAGTTGTCTCTTGGTACCCATGAGGGATTGACTCCAGGACCTCCCAAAGGAAACCAAAATTCAAGGATGTTCAAGTCCCTGATATAAAATGGCTTAGTATTTGCCTATAACCTGTGCACATCCTTTCATATATGTTAAATCATCTCTAGATTACTTATAACATCTAATAAAATATAAATGCTATATAAATAGTTGTAATATGGTATCGTTTAGGGATTAGTGACAAAAAAGTGGTAGAAACATAATTTTTTTATGAAATATTTTTGGTCTGAGGTTGTTGAATCTGCAGATTTGGAACTCACAGATATGGAGGAGCTTTTTCTCCTTTTCTGTTTCCTGGAAGTTCATAGTTTATATGAAGTAGGAATTATTTGTACTTTGAAGATTTAGTAGAATTCATCTGTAAAAATAATCTAGGTTTCATGGGGGCATTTGCTGTAGGGAGTTTTTACTGATTTAATGAATAGGTATGTTCAGGTCTTTATTTCTTCTTATGGCTTTTGTTATTTATATTTCTCTGGAAAATTGTTCATTGCACCCTTGTTTTAAAGCTTATTGGCATAATGTTCCTACCATAGTCTTAAAATGATTACACCAGAATAACTGTAGTTGTACCCCCTGTTTCTCATTCTTACGATTATTCATTTGGGCCTTTTATCTTTTTTATCTTGATCAGTCTTGTCGGCAGTTTACCCCTTTTTAAATTAATTTTTTCAAAAATTAGGGAATCATTTCTTTCGCTTTTAAAAAATTTCATTAATTTCTGCTTTTTATTTCCTTCTACTTTCTTTTTGTTCACCTGTTAACTTCTTAACAACTTCTAGTTTAGCACTTGGTTCATTAATTTTTCAAATTTAAAATTTTTCTAATGTAGCCATTTAAGGCTATAAATTTCCCTCTAATTGTTGCTTTAGCTGAATCTTACAAGTCTTAGTACGTTTTGTTTTTATAGTCATTCAGTTCTAAATATTTTCGAAAGTATTTTTCTAATCCATTATGAATTATTGGACTCACATGCTTGTTGATTTCCAAAATATAGGGGTTTGGCCTTTATTTTTTTAAAATGACAGTTTCAAGAATATGTCTTTAACCTTATGTAGTAACTTTAAAATTCTTGATCTTAATACACCACAATTTTCCATTCTTTTACTTTCAGCCTGTCTGCATTGTTTTGATATATTTCTTATAAGCAGCACATGGATGGACTTATTGTTTGTTGTTGTTGTTGTTTACATTTGAGAACTTCTGGTTTTGACAAGTTTACATTTGTAATTACTGATTTTATATTTATTATTTTAAATATCTTTATTATAATGAATAAAATAGCTTAGTTAACCTATAATGTTGGTGAAATGCTGAATCATAGCCAAAGAAAATAGGAGAAAATGGGGCTGTAGCCAAACCAATAATTAAATGGAGCAGAAAGAAAATTCAATAGTTATTTTTGCAAATAGTAATGCTTGAAGAAAAGCAAGTTTAATTACAGGAAGATGCAAAAAATAGATGGAGACTTGTGACAGTTTAAATGGAAAGCTTCTGGGCTTCCTGAAGGGCTACAGCAGTTACTGACCCTGGTTCCTTATTCTGCTGTTGTTGACCTTCCTCTGGTATTTCCGAGTTAGATTCACAGTACTGAAGAATTGACCTTGTTAGAGCAGAAAAATGAGATGACATAAGTTGAAAGCCTCTTGCCTTTTGCACAGCACCATGCCCAGAGCCTGGGTTTTACATAGTTAAAGGCAGCAATGACATCTTTTTCCAACTTCTGTTTACAAAGTCAATATTTAAAATTACCGTAAAGATTTCATTTTCAGAGGAGAGTTTGAGAATGTCTAAAGCACAGCTAGGCTGCCCACATGGCTGTTAGTGGATCTTGGATGATGATGCACAAGCACTTATCATTCATCTAATTGATCACTCAGCTGCTCACATCAGGCTTGCCTGGTGGTTTGATTATTATGCAAGTTTTTTTCCTAATGTGATAAAATATATGTAATGTCATATTTATCATTTTAATCTTAATTGTACACTAATAAGTGTACAATTTAGGGGGCATCAAATACATTCGCAATGTTGTATAACCATCACTATTTTTTCATTATCTCTGAGAAAAACTCAGTGCATGATAAATAATAACTCCCCCCATACTGTCTCCCCCTGCCTGCCTGGCTCTGGTAACCTCTATTCTACTTCCTCTCTGTTTGAGTTTGCCTGTTCTAGGTACCTTATATGAGTCGAATCACGTATTTATTTGTCGTTCTGTGTCTGGCTTATTTCTTTAAGTATAGTATTTTCAAGGTTCATTCATGTTGTAGCATACGTCAAAATTTCATTCCATTTTATGGCTGAATAATATTCTCTTGTATGTACACATTACCACATTTTATCAATCAGTTCATCTGCTGATGGACACTTAGGTTGTTTCTACCTTTAATATTTTTTTATTTTAAAAATCTGAGTAAAAAGTACAGACCTTGCCATATAAGGAAAGAGTGATATTGCCACTATTAGATTAAAAACTCCCAAGAAAAGATAAGCTGATCAGAGATGGTTTCTGGTTCAGATTTCTTAGGAGTGTAGCTTGGCCTCTTTCGGGGAAGATTATAGGTAAGGACATGAGTGAGTCCTGGAAAGTAATGGAGTTCACAAGAGTTGGAACATTTCTGGTCTACTGTAGACTGGGTACTGGGTATTGAGGAGAAATATGGTCCAAGGGAGTTTGTGTTCACTATATCTTACCTCCGTCTCTCAGGAGCAGGTCAAAGCAGAACACTTGTGTAAAATTAAATAAGTCCTCAGCTGATCTCTGCAGTAGAACGTGGAGAAAGAAGTAGGAACATTAGCACCAGCCAAATATAAATAAAATCTGGGCACTTTATCTAAGATCTTTTTTTTTTTTTGAGACAGGCTGGTCACCCGGGCTGGTGTGCAGTGGCACAACCACGGCTCACTACAGCCTCAACTTCCTGTGCTCAAATGATTCTCCTGCCTCAGCCACCTGAGCAGCTGGGACTACAGGTGTGCGCTTCCATGCCTGGCTAATTTTTGTATTTTTTGCAGAGACAGGGTTTCATTATGTTGCTCAGGCTGGTCTCAAACTTCCGGGCTCAAGCTATCCACCCACCTTGGCAGCCCAAAGTGCTGGGATTGCAGGTGTGAACCACTGCACCCAGCTCACCAACTCTTACTGCTTTACCATTAAGTATTTTGGTTTGGTGAGCTAAGCCTGAATGGGTTATTGATCAGCATTAAAATTTGGAATAAAATTTTAACAATGAATTTATTAAAAACTGAATATTAGCTAATTTTTGGCTTCAGTTTGAAATGCTTTTGAAGATCTCAGCATTGAAATCTTCACATATAATCATCTTTATTGTTTCTTGTTAACTGTAATACTAGTTCTTGCAGCTTTTTATTACTTTCCTATAATAAACTCTTGTTAGGTGATCAATAATTGAAGGAAAAAAGAAGAAATTAGAAGTGTTTTAATATCCACACTAATTCTGTTGGAGCAAGGAGCTTTGCTTTTTCTTCCAGTGTTTCTATTTAGCACAGCTGCCTAGAACAATTAGTCTTGCCATTTATTGCTGTGACTTTTGGCTTTGAAATTAACAGGTAATGGTGTCAGCTGGTCTCTGATTATTCATCTTAAATTGTTGGATGCATGATTCATTTCCTAGAATATAGGCACAAGTCTGTGATTAACCGTTTGTATTGCTACCATTTGCTACTTTTCATACTAAAAATCCTGTCTTATAGATAGGGAAATTCTTTTAATTATATCTGGCTTATTTCATTGTATTTCTACTTTCACAGCACCTAAAAAATGTGCATTCTGAAAGAGGTACTTTCTAGTGAAATTTTTTATTTAATGTACATATTACCAATTCCAAAATGATTAACTAAATTTTTTTTTCCTCTGCCTCTAGTGATTTCCTAAATAAAAACCAAGAGCTGTTGCAAGATTTGTCAGAAGTGAATGACGAAAACACTCAGTTGATGGAAATACTGAATACTTTGTTTTTCTTGCCAATCAGACGACTTCATAATTACGCAAAAGTTTTGCTAAAGCTTGCTACTTGTTTTGAAGTGGTAAGCTCCCATGTATACCTCTTTGGACATTTGGAAAGCCAAGGATCATAGTTGTTTGTATGGATTATGCCACCACAAGATCTGGAACTCCAGTAATTTAATATTTACCTGTGTCTAATTAAATTTAATTTTCTTCAGGGAAATGACAGAGGAAAGTATGACTGTAGATAAATTGAGTTTTCTGTGGATTCAGTTTCCCTTTAGGGCCTTATCAAGATGAATAAACTGTATTCATTTTATGAAACTGTCTAAAGTTGAGACTCTATCAGATGCTACTCATTCAGTAGTTGTCAAAATTTATTGGATGCATGCTGACTATGAGTTAAACAGAGCTCTTTAAAGCCCTGGCTTTCTGTATAATGGCATACACCTGTAAGGCAGGGGTGTTACCCAGCCTGGATTCATGCTAGACTTTATGCCAGGTGTTTAGGTTACCTTAGCAAATGCTGAGAGGAATCAGTTACAGGATTTTCTCAAATGTTAACTAGTCCACCCTTACATAAAACTAGTTAGGTGGAATCCTAGGAAGTTAGCACCACACTAGGATATAGATGTATGTTAAAACTGGTCCTGAGACATTCACCTTTCAAATCCCATCGAAATATGTGATTTCATTTTGTTTCTACCCTGAAAGGCTCTAGAAAAATTATAATGACTCCAAAGTCCCTTATAGGTTTTTTTTATTGTTGTTGTTGTTTGTTTGTTTTTGAGACAGAGTCTCGTTCTGTCACTGGGGCTGGAGTGCAGTGGCGCAATCTTGGCTCACTGCAACCTCCACCTCCCAGGTTCAAGTGATTCTCATGCCTCAGCCTCCTGAGTAGCTGAGATTACAGGTGTGTACCACAACACCGGCTACTTTTTTTTTTTTTTTTTTTTGTATTTTTAGTAGAGATGGGATATCACCATGTTGGCCAGGCTGGCCTCGAACTCCTGACCTCAAGTGATTGGCCTGCCTTGGCCTCCGAAAGTGCTAGGATTACAGGCATGAGCCACCACGCTGGCCCCTTGTAGGTTTAGAATCCTCTTAATCTTTGGGTCTGTCTCTTGATCTAAACAGATTTCACCCCTCAGAGTGACCCAGGAACTGATTGATGTAGGCTTTCTACATTTGAGCCTGCTGTGAAACCAGACTAAAGAAAAGACCTACAAGGTCTTTAAACTGATCTAGCTTTAGCTGTGAAGGTTTGACCTCTCAAATATCCCAATGAGATACAGCTTTCACCTCAATATGGC